>NC_000003.12:140372240-140675270 GCF_000001405.40 Homo sapiens
TGATCCCCGTTGCTGGTCTCATCTATAGATGCTTGTCTGAAGTTACCCTTCTCTTTAATTGTGCTGAGCTGTCTGCAGTTCTCCCAAGCATAGCATGCTGTGCTCCCTGGCCTTTGCTCATGTTGTTTATTTTGCTAGAGCATCTTTTCCCACCTTCCTGGTTAGGTATTTCCTCTTTCTGGATGCCATCCCTGAATGCAGATGATGACTTGGGATGAGCAAAGTATCCCTTCTCTATTTCCAAAGCACTTTATTTGCTGACAGTAACATTAGGCGATGTGGTGTTGCCAGCTGTGATGCACTAAAATTCCCCTGAATCCTTGAGATTCTGGTCTCAAGGCAAGTAATGGTGAGGTGAGTCTGAAGACAACCCTCAGAACACAGGCAACTCCATTAACATGGAGCTGGCAAAATGGTGAGATGGCCATTTGACCATCTATCTTAAGCATACCCTGTGAAGCACTAGTCCCATGTAATGCTCTATAAAAGTGCAGCTCCAAGAATGCATAGTAATGGGAACACTGGTTCTCTTGGAAATTCACAGTGCAAATGAGTATACTAAAGGTTCTGGCTCACACCTGTAATGTCAGCTCTTCAGGAGGCCAAGGTGGGAGGATGGTTTGAGGGCAGGAACTGGATGACATAGAGAAACCCCTTCTCTACAAAACATTTTTAAAAATTAGCCAGGCATAATGGCATGTGCCTGTAGTCCTAGCTACTCAGCAGACTGAAGCAGGAGAAATCAGTTGAGCCTGGGAATTAGAGACTGCAGTGAGCTGTGATTGAGCCATTGCACCATCCTGGGGGACAGATTGAGACCCTGCCTCTAAAGTTAATAAATAAATAATTTTTAAAAAGCTAAAAAGGCTCTGAAAAGTCTTGCAGTTAAGAAACCTGTTTTTAACTCGGTATTTTCCAAAGATATGTAGCTATGAAAAGAACTGTGACTGTGTATAACATTAAGAAAAAGCAGCCATGCCCTGGCAAATTCTGTCACAATTCTATTCCAACACTGACAATAGGAGAGATCATCACATGAAAACCCTGAGGACTGTTGTTCTTATTCTTAGGAGAAGCTGAGATCAGCCATTAGAGAAAGATGGCCTCTTCCCCCTACTGCTCCTTGAGTAACCACCAAGCATAAAACATGCCCAGTGTTAACAACTACATTTTCAACTGGAAAATGATCAGATTTCTGCCTTGCTGCACTCTCACAAAAGGTGCATTCTGAGTGCTGCTCTGTGATGTGCTGTCTATTATATTGAGCAGGAAAATCAGAGACCAAAAGCCCAGAACAAATCTTTCTGTCCTCCCTTGATTCAGGCTGTGGGGCTGCCCATCCAGAGTGCAGAGACCGTCTTTAAGAGAAAGAGCTCTCTAAGTGCAAAAGGGCACTGACAATCAGTACTATTAGCTCAGAAGAGAGAGAGCTCTATTTTAGGGCAAAGGAACAATCACTCTAACCTACATACACCATCATGTGTGAGGCTCTGACTGTTGGTAAGTCAGGAAATGCAATTGTCTCTTTGGAGAGCAAGGTGAAGCCTATCTTCCCAATCATCAGGAGGGGACAGGGTCAAAGCAAGGAGACAGGGAGTTCTCCACCAGCACTGGAGTGCTAAAATGGGCCATTAACACCTGCCAGGACTTTCTGATAGACTGGACATCTTGAGTGCTCTCTGCACTCTTCCCTTCCTGAACATTCAGGCTCTAGACCTTCTCTCCATCTTCTCTGCAGGCTCCAGTTGCAGGCCCTTGTCACTGAGCCTGGATGGCTTCCATCACCTCCTGACAGTCTTCCTGTCCCATGTTGTTTGTTCTTTGTTCCCCTGCAGAAAGGACCTCCTACAGCATGGCATCCTTCCTACACTTTCAATGGCTGCCCCTGACTTCAGCATATTCCACAAACTCCTTCCCACTGGTGTTGACATCACAGACCTTTATGATCTGGTCCTGATTTACTGTTTAATTCTGTGACCTTAAATTCTATGACAGAAGCCAGGTTGATCAGTTATCTGTTCTATGTCTCTGCTTAGGCCTTCTTCCCATCTCCTCCTCCTTTTTTTCTTCTTCCTTCTCCTCCTCCTCTTTCTTTTCCTCCTCCTCTCAGTCTGTCTAAACACTGTCATCCTTTATAACCCAACTCAAGTTCCACATCCTGCCTGGTGTGTCCTCACAGAGTGATCTTATGTCTGTTTACTATTTCATTAATCTCTATTCTTTGGGTATGTTTATTGAAAACACTAATAAAATTGTTAAACCTCTACTGAAGTTACAAAGAGAATAATAAATTTCCTGTATAATTTTAACAGGAATGAAAAAAGAAGACCCCAGATATTAAATAATATGGTATTACAAATAACTTAGGACAATAAATTTGAAATTTTAATTTTTAAGACCAAATTTTAAAAATAGAGCTATCAAATTAATGCAAGAAGAAATAGAAAACCTAAATGATCCTGTAGCTCTTAAATAAATGAAATCAGCAATTTTGTTAAGTAGATACCTGTTCTTTCTGAGCCTACTGAGAGCTTCCTGATAGCTTTCACGTTAGTCTTACATAAATAATATATATCTCAATTTTGCCTGATTGCTGTTATCAGCAGACCCTTTTTAGCACCGTGGTAAGGTTTGAGAGAAGGAAGTTGGTCACAGACAACTTTATCACTCCAATTATTCCCTCTGACTACACCAGCCCAGCTTAAAGCCTTTGCATTTTGCAGAATTTAAGACTCACAAGTTTCTTGGCCTTCTCCCTTCCTTTGCTCACCTAGGAGCCAATGTGGTAGCTCTGAGTCTTGATGCCTGGACTCTATAATGATATGTATGGATGGACAATGCTCTTTGTTGCTCACAAAATGTAGCTGAGGGGAGATGTAGTTGAGGGGAGATGTAGCTGAGGGGAAGTGTAGCTGAGGGGAAAGGTAGTTGAGAGGACCAGATGATCTGACTCAGTTTTCACTGAAAATGTGAGTCATGCTTTCATTCTGGTACATTGAAGAAACTGGAATGAGGAGGAGACACACATTCAAAGGGAGTTCAAAGGGAAAGGATAAATGTCGTGCTTTGTGATCCCTGGGGATCTCCACTCAGGGGATGTTTGCTTGAGGAAGGGGACCCCTTGCTATGGGTTGGCAGCTGTGGGAGGCCTGTGCACCTGTGGTGACTGACATGCCTGGGAAGGCCATGACAGTTTTTATTCATGGGGACCCAGCCTTAAGCACATGCCTCATGACCAAATGAGCTCTGTCTTCTTTTCCATTTTGTTTTATTGCCCAATTACCCTAGTTTTATACTTTGTAGATTATATTCTTTTAGTATCCGCTTTGCTCTTTTGTTTCTTGTATTTTAATTGTTCTCAGCTGACTTGTGCCTTAATGGCTCTCTTTTATCTCACTTTTACATTTACCCATGGCTTATATTTTATCTGGTCCTCTCATCACGTTCAACTTTTATTTTGGGCCTTATTTTTATCTTGCTCATTTTTATTTTAGCCCTGTTATTTGCCTTACATGTTGTTTTAAATGATTCTGTCTTTGATTCATCATTTTGTTGATAACTTACTATTCCTTTATTGTCTTTTTTGCTCTTTAATTACAAAACAGAAAGTCTGGGGCAGAATCATGAGGAAACTAGTTGTGAGGGTTTTAGAAACATCTTGGATGCCCAGAAACAGTAAACTACTTATGCTAACACCATACAATAAAGACTTATTAGGAGAATGCAGAAAAATATCAAAAAAAGAAGTGCAGTTTAGGATGTTTAAGCCTCATTAGAAATGAAAAGTTATCAAAAACTATAATCTCCCTGTGTCACTCACTCTGGGGTCCCTCTCTGCTCTTCTGCTCCATGTGCTCTCTCCAAACAATTGAGGTCTGCTTTTCCAAGCCAACCTAACCACTGAACTCAAGTTTCATGCCTTACAGTCCAGAACTCCCTACTATCTAACTGTCTCTGTCACTGTTAGCCAATTCCAAATGCAAAAAAGAAAGGATCAGAGTGAGCAGTTCAGCTTGGCTCAGTTTTCAACTTCTAACCTTCACCCCACCTCCATCAGCTATAGATGACAGAGGGCAGTGAGAGGTACTCAAGGCTGCCCCTTCTAGGCTGCTGCAGGTAGGCTCCTAACCAAGGGTGGTGATGGAGACGGATGGAATGGAGGCCTGATGCTTTCTTCTTTCCAGATAATCTTGTGGCAGCATCACAGCCTCCTGCCAAAGATTCCCCTCCTTTCTGCATTTTTCCTCTATTTCTTCTCAGTTTAAAAATATTTAGTAGAATAATCCAGTAGACAAATGGCCAGAATTCTAAGTCTTCCTTCTGATAGGTAAACTCTACATGGATTTTGCTTTTAAATGCTATTACAAAGTTGTTGCTGTTGTTTTTCACAACATGTTGCATAGGGTTCCTGTGAGGAGTTATATCCTAAATCCCATGTCTTGTCTGATTGTGCAATCACATTTGGCAAGATTTGCCAACAGGAGAGCAGTATCTACATTTAATTGAAATAAACTACCATGTTATTTGTAGTATTCTCATAACAATTCTTGGAAGGAAGAATAAGGAAAGGTCCACAGGCTGGGTTTGTATTGTTCTTCTATCAGTTTGTCTTGATGAAGTCTTAAAGTGAGCAAGAGCCATGTCCCTGCCCTCTGAAGTGAAGGAAAGGAACATACTTTTGCTATAGGTACTCCCTTGTCTTTTTCCCTGGTAGCAGATGCATACAGGAATTGGCCAGAGATTAGAGGATTTCAGGTTAGTGTGTTACACACACACATACACAGAGAGAGAGAGAGAGAGGATGTGTGTGTGTGTTATATGCCATAAAATGATGTTTTGGTCAACAACAGACCACATATGTGACAGTGGTCCCAAAAGATTATAACGGAGTTAAAAAATTCCTATTGCCTGCTGATGTCATAGCCATTGTAGCTCATATCATTGCACATTACTCATGTGTTTGTGGTGATGTTGGTATAAACAAACCTACTGCACTGCTAGTCATATAAAAGTATAGCACACACAGAAGGTATAGGACATAATACTCAATAATGATAATAAATGACTATATTACTGATTTATGTATTTATTTTTTATTGCTATTTCAGAGCATAGTCATTCTACTTATATGTTAACTGTAAAACAGCATCAGACAAGTCCTTCAGGAGGTATTTCAGAAGAAGGCATTGTTGTCCTAGGAGATGAGAGCTCCATGCATGTTATTTACCCTGAAGAACTTCTAGTCAGACAAGGTGGAAGACAGTGATATTGATGATTCTGACCCTGTGTAGGCCTAGGCTAATGTGTGTGTTCATGTCTTAGTTTTTAACAAAAAGCTTAATAAATAAAAATAAATTGCAAAAGTAGAAAAAAGCTTATAGAATAAAAATACTAATATAAAGAAAGAAAACATTTTTTTACAGCTATACAGTGTGTTTTAAGCTCAGTGTTACAAAACTCAAAAAGTTAAAAAATATTTAAAAGCTTATAAAGTCCAAAAGTTATTCACTAAGGTTAATTTATTATTCAAGAAAGAAAAATATGTTTAGCACATTTAGTGTAGCCTAAATGTGCAGTGTTTACAAAGTCCACAGTAGTGGGCAGCAGTGTCCTGGGGTTTCATATTCACTCACCACTCACTCACCCAGAGTAACTTTCAGTCTTGCAGGCTGCATTCATGGTAAGTGCCCTGTACAGGTTTACCACTTTAAAAAAATCTTTTACACCATATTTTTACTGAGCCTTTTCTATGTTTAGGTATGTTAAGATACACACGTAGTTACTATTTTATTATAATTTCTTTCCTACAGTATTCAATACAGTAATTTGCTGTACAGATTTGTTGCCTGTGAACAACAGGCTACACCATATAGCCTAGGTGTGTAGTAGTCTGTACCACCTAGGTTTGTGTAAAAGTCCACTTTATGATATTTGCTCAACAATGAAATTTCTAATGACAATTTTCTTCAAATGTATCCCTATCGTTAAGTGACACTTGACTCTCTCAATGTATATAAATGACCGGATACTTCATTTAGCACCTACTCTGGATGACATGTAGTAGATGCTCAGTAAATATTTGATGAATAAACTGCAAAGCCATCTGGCTCTAATAGAGTAAGGGAACTAATATCTAAATATGTTTAATTCTATTCCAGGCCCTTTACAAGCTTAGGCTGTATGAGGCCAAGGACCACAACCTTCCTAAATGAATAGAATTTTTCCATAGGTGAAGAGTGTTCTACTGACACTAGGAAAGGTGGAGCTCAAGACGCAGTTAATTTAATCTGTTTATTTATTGTTGGTGCTATAATATCTGCCTGCCAGGGACCCGAGACCTAGGCTTACTTGTTGGCACTATGATCCTATTGTTCATCTGAACTTGGCCATGGAGAAAGCAACAGGGAGGTTGTGAGTCCAATTGGAAGAGCTTCTTTGGATCCTTGTACTCAGAAAGAGCATGGGCACAGGAATCAGAAATACTGGGTGACTTACGGGCTGTGTGGCCTTGGGTGAGTCACGTAGCCTCTCTAAGCTCCAATTTACTTTTCTCTAAAATGTGGTAAAAATAGCTAGCTCTCAGGAGCATTACCCAGGATTAAGCATGCTGATATGTGTGAAACACCACATCTAGTGCTTGATGTATAGTAGATGCTCAGTTATATATGGTTTTACCCTTCCCTCCCACCTTTCCTCCTTCCTGCAGCAATCAGTGCAACTTAAATCATAGCCTCAACTTACTGAAATGAGCTTGAGATCTGAAGTCTTTATCTGTTGTGGTTGACTGTCCACATTAGCTTAGCAGCTGGGCTTCCCCTGCAGTAGCACATTCTGCTCCATTCCAATCTTGTTGTCTGGCAAGAAAGGTGCTAATTCAAACCCCAAAGAGCTCCCACATTCTGGAAGAATGAAGAGGCACAGATGAATCACTTTCCCCTTTAGTTGCTGCTGAGTGTTTGCCAGCAGGAGCTGAGACCATCTCACTTAGGCCTGTTGTTTCTCTGCTGACAGTGTTGGGTGCCAGCATGACCAAGAAAGGAGGACACAATCTCTGGACCATAATGAGAGGGATGTACACCCAGAGTACCCTAGGAGACTGATCCAGGGGAGGTCACAGTCATCGTGGAGGTTGCCGAGAAGGGAAGGGGAAGGAGGAGACAGTGACTCTTCAGAGTAGCTCAGTGGCTGAGACATTCTGTGGATTGTAGGGAAATCATTCAGCCAGGGTCTTCGACCACTATGGTGGCATCCACCCCATGAATTGGAAGGCTTGCTTCATTTCCTAGGAGGTTGACATCAGAGTAGTGGAGTGCTGAAGATGCAATGCCTTTCCTCCTGGGGAAGGGAACATGGGAGGCTTCATTCTAAAGTAAAATAGCAAAACACAGCATCAATTTTAAAATGTGCATGCCCAGTATATCCACTTTTAGGAATTCATCATCATTTTGTCATTGGGTACAGGTTAAATATGTTTGCCATATCCGTAGGATGGAATATTATGTAGCCACCAAAATAAAGCTTGTAGGGTGTCTTTAATAAGCTACGAAAATGATCTTATAATATGAAATGAAGATGCAGGGTACAGAATTATACATAATGTATGATCTCTACTATTTAATGAAAGCTCACTGAAAGAAGACTGTGGAAGTAAATATGCCTAAAAGTTACTACCAATTGCCTCCAAAAAATAGGATTACCATTCCTTTTTTGCCTTTTTATATTTATAAATTTTATCTACTGAGCATAAAAATTGACAATGAAACAAAACCCACCAAGAGATACTACTATAAGTGATACTGAATCCAAAGACATTGACTTTCTGGTGGAATTTCAGACAACACCAGGGGAAATTGTTGGAATAAGAGCCATCTCATGCCTGTTGAATGACCCCAGCCAGACAGTGATCTGTAGAATGGACCATTGAGCCAGCTCTGACAACACTGGGCTTGAGGAATGCCCAAAAATGTGTGAGGGGCAGTTGGGAGTGTGTGTCTGTCACAGAGTCAGGAGACCCCATCATAATCAACCCATTGTGGGGCCCTGGTGGAAGGGGAGGCAGGGCTTCTACTATGGGTTAGCCCTGTTCCCTGAGCAAAACAAATGGTGCCCTCGTGTGTGATCTAAGACTGTCCAGCCAGGTATAAATTGGAATGCTTCTCAGATTGTCTCCCTCAGGGGATGGCACTAACAATGAAATAATAACAGGTTTATTTATAGCTCTTTTATTGAAGTACTTGAGAATTTCTTTTTTAATTCTGCAATTCATCCAAGTTTTGGAAACATTGACAATTATTTTCATTTCTTCTTGAGAAAATATGGTCAGTGGCATGAAGCCTATTTAAGCACCTTCAGCAAACTCCAAAACACCTTTCTTACTGATCCTATTTCCTACAAAGTACCACCTTCTCTGCCTCACTGACTGGGCATCCATGGCCAACTCTGATGCATAACTCCTCACTCATTCAGTAAGCATGCTGTGAGCCCCACCATCTGCTGGAACCAATCTTTTCTCACAGAGACCGTGATACAGGGGGATTACAGACAGGCAACCCATGGCTGAACTGTGCATTCCTTCTGGGGTCCTGTCTTCTTCTTCCCCTCTGGCTTATGCGCAGGACCAAGGTGGATCTTGAAGGGCAATTGAAGAAGTGTAGTTGTGGGCCTGGTAGCTCAGAAAGCAGAGCATGTTTACCCTGGGTTTGGAGTCTGTGTTCGTTTTCTATGCTGCCATAACAAAGTACCAAACACTGGGTGGCTTAACCCAACAGAAATGTTTTGTGCCACAGCCCTGAAGGCTAGAAGTCTGAAATCAAGCTATTGGCAGGGTCATGCTGCCTCTGATGGCTAAAGGGGAGGATCTTTCCTCGTCTGTTCTAACTTCTGGTGATTGGAAGCAGTCTTTGGCTTTCCTTGGCTTGCAGATGTATCACTCCAGCCACATGGCCATTATCTCCCTGTGTGTTTTCACATCATCTTCCTAATGGTCATGTCTGTCTCTGTGTCCAAATTTCCCCTTTTGATAAGTACATAGTCATATTGGATTAGAGCCCACCCTAGTGACTTCATTTTAACCTGATTACCCCCTATACCAGATAAGGTCACATTCTGAAGTTAGGACTTCAACACATCTTTTTTGGGGGGACACATAATACACCCATAACAGTTCCTAAGGCAGACTCCACCAACTCTGTAGCATTGGAAACCATACAGTGTCTTTGAACCTCAGCCACCTCCTACTCTGTAAACTGGGAGTAAAAAGAATACCTAAGTCCTTTGTTGTCATTGTGAGGTCTAAATTGTGTAAAGCTCATAGCATGATACTTGACTTATCATAAATGTGAGTTCTCATTGTTCCACTTACTGGCCATACTGTTACCCCATTCAGGTGAGATTGTCTGGCTTTAACCAACTAGGGCTGACATCATGGCCTTGACTCCATAGGGCAGAGGATCTGAGTGTACCACACCAGCAGGGACCTCCCAGGTGGATCAGCCAGATGTTTCCAGCAAAAGCATAGTGCCAGAAACAGGCTGGTGATAAATCAGTTTGCTGAACTGAACAATTGGAGCTTTCCATTATTACACAAAGTCACAGAGGTCATCTTTGCCATGAAGTCTGCCAAATATTGGAAAACAAGGGTTCTTCAAAGAATAAATCTGGGGTCAGACCAGCAAGCATTGAATTGAATAACATGATGTGTCCATGCCTACTCTTTTATGCTACCAACTTCTCCTTCTCTATGTCCAGATTCCCTTTCTGTTCCATAAGAGGAGGTTTGTACTCCTGCCTCAAGGCCTTTGCGCTTGCTGTTTTTCTACCCAAAATGCAGTGTGTAGGTACCCTCCACCCTCCCATCTCTCTAATTTGTCTGCCTAATTTCTTATTATTTTTTGCTTACCCATTATATCTTCCCAGTTATTTTCCTGTTTATTTCCATCCTAACATTTAACACAGTTTGCAATCACATCTTTAATCTTGTGGTTCTTCATTTGATACTTGCCTTTTCTATTAGGCCTGGTCCCAGACTACATGGATCATGTTAGCTTGAGTCTCCATGGGCCACCCACCCTTAGCTCAGATCCTTCACAGAGTGGGTGCTGGACTGTTATGTGAATATCCTGTGAAGGGAAACAGTCACTATTCCCCAACAATGTGAGGGCCATTATGCTGAAGAAGGCTGATCATCCAGGGAAAATGAAAGGTTTATAGTCTGTACTTTCAGTTAATTTATATTTAAGCAAATCTGTCAGGGAAGTCAGTTCAATTTCATGGAAGTTGATAATCACTCCTACAGCCAGTGCCATCTTTGTTTGGGTCTGTGGGCTGTGCTCTACCTCATTCCTTTTGGGGCCCAGGTTAACAGGATAATTGTCTTAGTTCATTGGAGCTGCTATAATAAAACACCACACACTGGGTAGCTTATAGAAAACAGAAAATCTTTTCCCACAGCTCTGGAGGCTGAGAAACCAGCAGGTTGCCAGCCTGGCATGGTCAGGCTCTGCTGAGGGCCCTCTCCTGGCTTACGGACTGCTGGCTTCTTACTGTGTCCTCACATGGCAGAAGTGGCAAGCAATCTCCCTTAGACCTCATTTATAAGGGCACTGATCCCATTCTTCAGAACTCTGCCCTTATGTCCCAGTCACCTTCCAAAGGCCTCACCTCTTAATACCATCACACTGCGGATTAGGTTTAAACATATGAATTGGGTGGGGGTGGGGGTGGTCACAAACATTCAGACCACAGCAATAACCCTGCTCAAAAACCTCCTTCCCACAAAGAAGTAAAGTCAAACAAAGAGGAAACACCAGAAGATGATATTTTTTGCATAAACTCTAAGCATTCAAGCATATTTCACATACACTCTGTGAGGATAGTAAAATGACTTTATTACCTAAGGAGGAGAAATGAAGAAAATCTAACTAAAAGGTTTGGATATTTTCTACTGTATGACACTCAGTTGACCAGGAAATAGATTGTTCAGCTCAGGGGGACTATGTGAACCCAGCTTCTCTTCATAAGGGGATGTCACCTTAAAGCACAGAGATGTGGTCATATTTCTTTACCTTCTTTGAACTGCCTGGTATATAATGGGTGCCCATTAATTATTTCTAATATTCTGTGCTTGAGTTTGATTGGCTGAGAGAAGGGCAAGTGAGGAAAGATTTAAGTGATTGAATTCTAAGCTTATCGTGGAAGTTCTGGACCAAATACTATTTGCCAAACAGCTGATAAATTTGTGCAAAAACATACCATGCAGACTCCCCAATCAATAAAAACATAGGTAATTCTGAGCAGCTACAAAATGACTTCTGTCAATTTTATTTTTCTGAGGTATACAGAATTTCAGATCTTACTGGGGATAGTATAAACATGTGACCTTTGCTGCTGGGGGCAGGGAATTAAATTATCCTGGGCCTTCTACAAATATCCACTATATAGAGAGAGGAGGGAATTCCATCTCTCTTCCCACTTCTAGGCAGCTTGAAAAGTGAAATGCATCCAAATATATTTTGCATGAAAAGTAAGAGGTAGCATAAGGGTATTTACCATACAGTGAGATGGACCGTGTGGCTATAATTTATCTCACATTGGCCCAGTGGGGAAATGAAGCATCCTATTAGCATTGCTGGTCTGTGGAAATCACAATAGGCAAATTAGGGATAGAGCAAAGCACCTGTAATACCAATATCCACGTACTGTGAAGGAAAATGTCAAAGCAGGGTTTGGCTCTGCTGGAAACGGGTTACATTTAGAATGCATTAGCTCCTGACACCCAGGGCCTAGGTAATCTACAGCTCTTTCAAGTTATTTACTGTAAACTTGGAAGCAGCCAACCTTTCACGTTTACATTGGCTTTTTGTTGCCAACAGAAAAAAATAAAAGGTACATGAAAAGAAAATGAAAGTTGTTGTGAGGCAGTTGGCTGATAGGCTGTCTCACTGGAGTGCATGTCCCCGAACTGGGAATGCCTTGGCCATCATGGCTCACAGCCCAGGGAGCACGTTCCACTCCACCATTTCATTCCTGCTCCAGCTGATTTCCTAGCAAATAATCGTTTTATTTTGCTCCAGAATTAGAAAATGAAAATGAAGCTGGGAGTTATGAGTCTTAATTATCCTCCCTGGTCTTTTCTGCAGGAACCTAAAATTGATTTTCAAACTTCCCCTCCGAGTTTGATTTAACATTTCAGTCAGCATGCCTTCTGTGGGGGTTGTCAGCAGTATTGATGACAATGCAATGAAGAATTAGCCAGTCATATCGAAGGTGCTTGTTATCAGCTGACCAGTCCTAGCCTTGATGAGAGGTGCCCAGGGGTCGCCTGGTGCATGTTTAAGAAAGTCCCTTCATTTTCCACTCACTCGGATGAGAATGAATGCTGGAGTCACACCTGACAGGAAGCAGGCCTCTGAACTTTTGTTTTAAAGTATGAAACTGTGCCCTGAGATGCTGACTTATTAGCTCCAAGAATTGACAGAACAGTAAAAGAGTCCATATACTCCTGTAGTATTGATTGGGCTGTCATTTGTCTTTCTTCTTCAGCTCAAAATATGGATTTTCCTGACACTTTCTTTAACTTGAATTAAACATTTAAAATATTCCTGTTCCCCTTTGGGGTTCCCCACATGAACATTTGGGAACTTGCAATTTTGGGGTTATGGGTGAGACTTGTCAAGGAGTGGAAATATGGGATCTTTTGCACCTGCCATTGTTCATCAATTTCACGGGCAGCTTGGTTTAGTGTGTGGGCACCAGAGCCAGAAAAGAAGTGGGCAAATCCTAGTGTGACCTTGAACAACTCATCCAGTTGCTCTGTGCCTCTTTTGACTCATCTGTCAAATTGTTTGAAAACCCTGAGCAGCAGGGTTGGTGGTAGGGTGAGAGATCATGTAGTCAGTGTGCTCAGTGACTGGCAGTGAATTTGGGAAGACTAAGCAGTGTATCCAGCTGTGTTACTAAGGCAGAAGTAAGCCAGGGGAAACCCCTTAGCTTACATAAGGTCTCACACCTAAGAAGCATCTTGGTTCATAGTATGGGATCCATGAGACGGCTCACTCTCATGATGGCTCAAAAGATTAGAAATTTGGCTCATTCATTGCCAGTTGGGTCCCTGATGTTCTTTTTTTTTTTTTTTTTTTTTTTTTTTATCTGAGATGGCGTCTCGCTGTCGCCCAGGCTGGAGTGCAGTGGTGCGATCTCGACTCGCTGTAAACTCCTCCTCCCGGGTTCACGCCATTCTCCTGCCTCAGCTTCCCAAGTAGCTGGGACTACAGGTGCCCACCACCACGCCTGGCTAATTTTTTGTTGTTGTTGTATTTTTAGTAGAGACGGGGTTTCACCGTGTTATCCAGGATGGTCTTGATCTCCTGACTTCATGATCTGCCTGCCTCAGCCTCCCAAAGTACTGGGATTACAGCCGTGAGCCACCGCGCCCGGCCCCTGATGTTCTAACCTTAAACCAGCAATTTCAGAGCGGGGCTTCTCTCTGCCTGAAGAGGCCCTTGTCAAGCAGGTATGGGGTTACAGATAAACATCACACGTTTTCTTAGAATTCTAATTACTCACTGCACAAGGCCTGAGAAGCAAGCTGGGGTCTAGGGCAGGGGTCTGGGGCAGGGGCCAGACAGACCTTGAAATGAGGCTGGCTAAAGGAGCTGAAACTTGACAGCTGGCAAAGAGAAGCACGGAGGCAGGAGTCCAGAAATGGCCCTATTTGGATCTGACACTGGACAGTGATCTGCTCTGAGGGTCATTCCCTCCTATGAAGTCAAAACCATAAGAACATGAGTTTCACCTTCAGCATGAAGGTGCCACCATTCATGTTATCAATCACCAACCTTTACTATGTACTTTCTTCATGCCAGCATTATGCAAAGTGCTTTAGGCATTTTGCCTTCTTGACTTTAAACTTCACAATAGCCCAATACAGTATAATCTGTTATTACTCCCATCCTGTGCCTGAGAAGATTGAGACAGGAGAAGTTAACGTACTTTGGCCAAGGTCACAAAGATAGAAATGCTGCCGCTGGTACTTGAAACCAAGTCATTCCAATTACAATTCCAAAGACTCTGGTCTTAGCCAGTATAACTTTGTTAAACCCAAATGCCAGGGTCCAGTGTTAGGGTCCGGTTCATGCTGAGGTCCAATGGGAGTGGATGGATAGGCAATGGCTGAAATAACACTTGAGGGGCTGTAAGCAGATGAAATGTAGTTGTATTCAGCAGCTCTCTGATTAACAGCTCTCTCACACTATCTCATCAGCAGCTTTCTCACACTGTCCGCCCTGTCTCAGCTGCTTGAGCTGGTCGCTCCCACACACAGCTGTGCAGCCAGCTCTCCCCTGCCTTCAGGGTCAGCAGCTTAACTCTTTCTCTCTCTGGGTGTGAGAACAAGCTGTGCCATGCTGTGCTGTGCTGTGCTGAGCCATGCTCTGTCTCCCCTCTGTCCATCTGCAAGATGGACAGCTCTGGTTCTCAATCTCTCTCTCCCTTTCTCTGGGCACCAGCACCTGCACAAGAGCCATGTTGAGCCATACCCAAGAGCCAAGGCCTGTGCACAGTGTCAGCAGGGCAGCTATAATTTTTACAGACAATAGTAGCTCCAAGCCAAGTATGAACTTACACAAGCAGGTTATATAACATTTGGAGTATGCGCCTGTGCCCTAAACTTGCTGAGTCATGCAGACCTGGATGTCTGCCTTGGCCTAACCTTGACCAAAGCACATCCGAGTACCTTACAACAGTGCTTCTCCTAAACTTACTAAAATTTAGTCTTTTCTACACCCAACCAACTTTACGGCCTAGCTTAAGGCATAACTTAACATAGGTGTGGGCTGTGAAGTCAGGGAGATGAGATGAGGAAGTACAGATTCTTGCCTCATGGAGCTCTGAGGAGAAAAAAGATGGGTGAACACAATTGAAAATGCAGGAAGAAAAGCATGGGTAGGAGGAGAGCAGGGGGCACAGTGGAGCATCAAGGAGATCTCCACTGAGACCTTGGCTTGAGAAGCCAGAGCAGGCTTCTTAGAAGAGATTGTGTTTATGCTGGATTTTGAAGCTTGTGTAGGAGTTCTTCTGGTAGCTATAAGAGAGAATTCTCTGTTAGTTGATGAAGAGCATGTAGGATGGCTTATTTTCTTGGCAACAAAGGCTACTGGTGGCTATAACAGCAGTTTACTAACCTCTCCATTGGGCAGCCTGTGAGCCTTTCTGCTTCCACAGGTTCCTATTTGCGATAAATTGCAAAAGCCTGCTTGTTAATAGTGTTTGTTGTTCCTCCTTAATTTCCAGATAAAAAATTTGGCTCATTCTTTGCCAACTGGGTCCCTGATGTTCTAACCTTAAACCAGCAATTTCAGAGCAGGACTTCTCTCTGCCCGAAGTGGCCCTTGTCAAGCAGGTATGGGGTTACAGAAAAACATCACACATTTTCTTAGAATTCTAATTATACTCAAAGATACAAGGGTAAAATAGAATTAACTTCAAATTAAAAGATATTTAGCACTTTATGGAGTGAATTTCAAAATTTACATGATTTAATAATAAAAGCTTTGCTTTTTTAGAAATGTCATAGTAGACGTGGGCTACATTTTGGTATAGCAATTCCTTCTCCATAATTGGGAGATAATGGAATGGTTGAATGATTCAGATTTTTTGTTTCTGGCCAGTATAACACTTGCGATCATTCATTCACCAGTCCAAGAGCCAACCACTCATTCTCCCTATTGAAGGGACTGGGTTCTATTCCTTGCTGTATAATTTGGTGGTGTCTACTCTTTCATATCGACAAGCACCACGATTGCTTCTCACGCTTCACCAGCAGTAGCTGAAATCTTGCCGTGGTTTAACGTCTTGCCTGAAATTAAAGTAATGGAGATACAACCATAAGAAACCCACTACAGGCTGTGTTGAGTCATAAAACTGTAATGCTGTGAAAGTGCGGCAGCAAGAAATCACTGGTGATGTGAAAGGAGCAAAATAAATATCTGCTGGGTTTTTAATTAACTGACTGTAAATAATGAAAATGAGCAAGTTAGACTCACTTTTAGGAGGAAAATACCATTGTAATTTGAATATGGCTATTGATGGAGAGCATGGCACCTTTGATGGAGATACATAAATCACACAGCAACTCTCTAGCATCTCCTATAAACTGTGTGTTATTTAGCCTGTCTGCTTTGTCCCCAGTGGACAAACATCAGCAGTTATTTTTGCATCTGAGCCTGTAGAGGGTAACGTGTAAAGAAAAAGCCAGGCACAGAAGCTTCTACTCTCCCTTTAGATTCCTATAATGGTAATTATTATTATACTACTGAGAAGACAGTTGTGGTTAAGAGGTGGACTCTAAAGGCAGGGAGACCTGAATTCAAATTTTGGCTTATGATTATTTCATGACATTGGGCAAGTTTCTTCGCCTCTCTGTGCTTCAGTCTCCTTCTCTGTATAATGGAAGAGAACTTGGCACTTGCACAAAGGTTGCTGTAAAGCCATTGACATAGTACTTGGCACATATTAAGTATTCAAGGGCTATTAAGTGGTGAGAGCTGGCATCCTGACTTGTTCCTGATCTTAGGAAGGAAGTATCTAATATTTCACCATTAATGTTAGCTGTAGGTTTCTCATATATACCCTTTATTAGGTTGAACAAGTTACCAATTTACTGAGAGATGTTATTATATATGAATGTTAACTTTTGGCAAACTGTTTTTTGCATCTGTTGAAATGACCATATAGTTTTTCTCTTTTATCCTGTTAATGTGATTAATTAGATGGAATCTTGTGTTTCTGTGGTAAATCCTACTTACTCATAATCCCTTTTATAGAGTTGAATTAAATTTGCTAACATGTATTATTAAGGATTTTTATATCTATGTTCATGACAAATAGAGCTCTTTAATTTTCTTTCTACTTTAAGTTCTGGGATACATGTGCAGGAAGTGCAAGTTTGTTACATAGGTAAACATGTGCCATGGTGGTTTGCTGTATCTATCAACCTATCACCCAGGTATTAAGCCCCACATGCATTAGATATTTATTCTGACGTGCTCCCTCCTCCCACACCCCTGACAGGCCCCAGTGTGTGTTGTTCCCCTCCCCATGTCCATGTGTTCTCATTGTTCAGCTCCCACTTATAAGTGAGAACATATGGTGTTTGGTTTTGTGTTCCTGTGTTAGTTTGCTGAAGATAATAGCTTCCAGCTCCATCCATGTCCCTGCAAAGGACATGATCTTTTCCCTCTTTTTGGCTGCATAGTATTCCATGGTGTATATGTATTTTCTTTATCCAGTCTATCATTGATGGGGATTTGAGTTGATTCCGTGTCTTTGTTATTGTGAATAGTGCTGCAGTGAACATACACATGCCTGTGTCTTTATAATAGAATGATTTATATTCCTTTGGGTATATACCCAGTAATGGGATTGCTGGGTCAAATGGTGTTTCTGGTTCTAGGTCTTTGAGGAATCACCACACTGTCTTCCACAGTGGTTGGACTGATTTATATTCCACCAACAGATTAAAGCATTCCTATTTCTTCACAACCTCATCAGCATCTGTTGTTTCTTGACCTTTTAATATCTATTTTGACTTGCATGAGATGGTATCACATTGTGGTTTTGATTTGCATTTCTCTAATGATCGATGATGTTGTAGCTAATTTTCTTTACTTTGATATCTGTGACAGATTTTGGTATTAGGGTAATGCTAGCCTCTTAAAAAGAGTTAAAAACCATTCTTTCCTCTATTTTCTAAAAACAAATTATGTATGATTAATGTTATTTTGTTTTTGAATGTGATAGAATTCACCAATGAAGCCATCTGGGCCTGGACTTTTCTTTAAGGAAAGGTTTCTTAAAAAAAAAAAATACATAACATATTCAAATTCCTTAGCATATTACTTAAATATGATAATAAGTTTTGTGTTTACTTACTTTAGGTTTACTTTGCTTTTCTCTTTCTAGCTTCTTGATTTTATATTCTCTTTCTTTTATAATACATGCTTTTAAAGCTATGAATTTCTCTCTAAGCACAGAATTGACTGCATCCCACAAATTTTGAGATGTAGTGTTTGTATTATCTTCAGTTCTAATTATTTTTTCATTTTTCTTTTAATTTTTCCTCTGATCCATGATTCTTTTAAACGTGTACTGTTTAATTTACAAATATCTAAAGTTTTTCTAGATCTCTTTATTGATTTCTGATTTATTTCCATTGTGGTCAGAGAATATATTCTGCATATTTTAAGCCTTTTAAATTGATTGAGACTTGTTTTATGTCCCAGCATATGGTCTTTATGAACATAACATGTGAGATAGAAATAAATGTGAATTCTGCAGTTGGATGTAGTATTCTATACATATCAGTTGGGACAAAATGGTGATAGTGTTATTTATATTATCCATTACTTTCTTGATCACTTCATGCCTTATTCTTTATGATTGTGGAGTGTCTATTTCTCCCTTTAACTCTATCCATTTCTCCTTCAAGTGTTTTGAACATACCAATGAGAACTTATTTAATGTACTCATTTGAGAATCCAAACATCTGAGTTATCTCAGGGGTGACCTCTGTTGTCTTTTTCCCTTAGGAAAAGGTCCTATTTCTTGGCTCTTCACATGTCAAGTAAGTTTGAACTGTATCCTGGATATTTTGAATTGTTATAATGAAAACACTCTGAATTGTCATAGTCCTTCAAAAATTAGTAATGTTTTGTTTTAACAGACCATTAACTTGGTTAAACTCAAACTGCAAATTGTCTTTTTGCCTGCCATGGGCAGCAGTTCTGGTCTCGGTTCAAAAGGCTGGCAGTCTGTCCCCACATGCAGGGGACTGGGGGCAGCCAGAGACTTGGAAACGGTTTAAACACAGAGTTTGGGCCTCCCCTTCCCTGGCTATCTTCTCTCCAGGATTCTACTCTCACACTCAGGCAATCCTGTTTACCTGCTAGAAAGACAACAGGCTTTCTATCAAAGTTTTAGCCTCCACGCTGTACCACGGGGTTGCAGCTGCCCTCAGGGCAAAGGATCAAAACAAAAAACTCATCCATCCCTAGTAGCTTCCTCCAGGTTTCAGCTCCCCCACCAACATCTGCCTATTTTTAATCACTGTCTAGAGCCCTTCACTATTTGCGTGGGGGGGTGGGCGGGAGGGGCGGGTATTTTTCCAGGTTTGTGATGTTATTGTGAGAAGGTCAGTGTGCTTACTCATCCACAGCAGAGGCTGAACTCCCCAGGTCACTTTGCTTGCTCTCTATCCCCAGATTTCATTTAAACATGTGCAGTACATGACATTTTATATGAATTTGAATTATTCTAGTTAGAACTAGTGCAATAAGAATATTAACATGATATGATTTGATATGCGATATATAATTTATAGTGATTTTATTAAACTAATACTAATATAATATTAAATTTATTTTACAATATTAAGTTTTTTTAAGAATTATAATGTAATGACTAAGCAAATTATGAACTAGAACCCTATTGCCAAAAGACTTCCACCTTAGCTGATAGTCAGTCAGTGAAAGCCATTTCTCAGTACATACATCTGGATTTCTGAAAGTGACCAAGATGCTATTATTTTAAAATGTAATGTTTTTAAATTTTTAAAATATTTTTATATACCATAACAATACCATCTAAGCAATTATTAAGAGGCGATGATCATTTAAGACCTGATAACCAGCAGTTTGGGAACTGAAGCTAAATGTGAATTAACCATCTAAAGAAGGTCAAATCCACTGTTGTTTTAAGAGGGAACATTATCCTAAATATTAGAAACAATGCCAAGAAAACAAAAGTGAGCATAAAAGAGAATAATTTTATAGTTATTGTAGAGTGTATCCTCTTTGCTTTACATTTATTTCTATGAGCTTTTAATGATATGTGCTGTTGATTAGGTAGAGCAGCAGTATCCAACAGAAACATTACTCAAATTATACAAATAATTGTGTAATATATTATCTAGTAGCCACATTTAAAAAAAAGAAATAGGTAAAATTGATTTCAGTAATATATGTTGTTTAACCCCAAAATATCCAATATTATTATTTCAACATGTTATCAAATAAAAAATTGTTAATGAGAAATTTTCTATTCTAATTTTAGTTTAAAAAGTCTTTCAAATCCTGTGTATATTTTACAGTCTAAGACATCTCAAATAGGACTCTAGGTTTTTATCAGAAATATTTGATCTATATTTAGAGTTTATGTAATTTATAGTTGAAAAATTGATTCACATAACCAAACATACTTCAAAGTTTTCCAGTAACTAAATTGAGTGTGTTATTAAATTTAAATTTTTTAAAAATAAAGTTTAAACTCTAGTTTCTTGGTCATATTAGCCACATTTCAAGCATTCCAACACCACATTCTGGCTAGTGGCTTCTGCACTAAAGAGTGCAGACATAGAATATTAAAAAAGTCATTTTTCGAGGAGGAGTTTTCAATTTGTGCCTAAGTTCCTAAAGACACTAGTGATGAGAAATACTCAGAAGGAAGCAGAGGAAAAAAATAAATTTAAAAAGTAGATGGTGTCTTAGTCTGATTTCCTGGTGTTTATAATATAATAGTTGAAACTGGGTAATTTTTTTTAAAAAAAAAGAACTTATTTTTTTTTTACAGTTATGGAGGGTGAGAAGTCCATGGTCGAGGGGCCACAACTGGTGAGGCCCTTCTTGCCGGTGGGGACTCTGCAGAGTCCTGAGACAGCATAAGCATAAATATGACAAGAAGGCTGAGTGTTGTCATTCAAGTCTCTTTTCTTCTTTTTATAAATCCCCCAGTCCCACGCCCATGATAACCTGCTAACTCATTAATCCATGAATTAGCAGAGCCCTCCCGACCCAATCACCTCTTAAAGGCCTCACCTCTCAACACTGCCACATTGGGGATTAAATTTCAACATGAATTTTGGAGGGGACAAACATTCAAACCATAGCAGATGAGGACAAACAGACTTTGGGTAAACTTCTGACTGGTTCAACTTTGGGGCCCCATCTCAGCCCCATGTTTGGACACTGAAAAAATGGGGAGAGAGAGATTCCAAAGATTTTACCTGTCAGCATGATTTGCACCAATTCTATGTGAATATTAAGTCTTCCTCTGGTTAATTGAGGAGGCTGCAATATTCAGCCCCTATATCTTGAGTGCTCATTGACACTCAAAAACCTCAAATACGTTTAATTGTTTGGGCCTATGTGTAGCTTCTGTTTCTGAAACTTAACTTTAACCCGCTGAATGGAGTCTTGGGCTTCTGGGAAACTCCATGCCTGCTAGATTCCTCCTTACAGGAGGTGGCTGCTTACAGAGATGTTGTTGACAGAGGTAATCGGACATGGTAAACGGCCATTATATTTGTATGGGACTTCTTTAACTCTCCAAGGTGTTTCAATGTCTATTATTTTCCTAAAGGACAAGTAAGAGTTAACCAAGGTAGGATCTAGGTAATGATCATGGAGGGGTCTGACTAATGTATCACCTGAGAGCTGTGGGCAAATGAGATCCCTTCCTTGTTTAATAAGATTCTCTACTCCTGCTTGACAGTGGGAAAACAATTTATCCAGATCTTGTAACTGGGTCCAGGGCAGTATTTCTTGAGACATAGGGTTTAAAATGCTCTCTTGGCAAATATTAAAAATTTAGATATTACAAAGTCAGTCATCATCCTTTTCCAAGTGTTTTCATTGCTCTCTTCCTCCTCTTTGCAATCTTCCAACACCTGACTAGAATGGTGGGCACCTCAGAATCAACCAGTGCATCAGCAGGAGGGCTGGGAGTCTGTAAAAAGGGAAAGGGCACAACAGCAGAACCCGGGAAGTGCCTGTCTGGGCTGGTCTGCCATCCCTTTGTGCTGGCTTGCTCATAAAACTGTCTGACAGTTAAACTAGCTTTTTATAAGTCATTCAACCCACTCCCTGACTTACTACATTCTCAGTTTTTTCAAAAAAGAAAGTTCTATTCTGATTGTCGTATGATGACCATAGGACAATGGTTTTATTCCCATTTTACAGATGAGAAGATGGAGGTATGGTTCATTTTCAAATTTATCAAGATGATAAATGAAGAGTTGGGATTTGAATCCAGGTTTACCCTTCTTTTAGGCACTGACCTGTACTACCTGCAATATCTTAAAATAGAAGCACTGAAATGCCATTGTAAAGAAAGGGACATGACAGTGTCCAGAGGACAAGGCCTTGTCTCAGCAGAATCAGTTTCAGGAGCTGAAACTCCTTCCTTCTTACAGCTACAGCACTTCTCTGGTGGTTACATGACAGCAAGCAATTGATTCTGGAAGTATTTAGGAGGCAAGATTAAGCCATCATTGTCTGTGTTCTCACAATACCCAGAAACAACACCTATTGCAGCCTTTGCAGTACTTCATTGCACTTAACTTTTTGTCCATCTGCCTCCTTCTCCTGTCTGTAAACACGGAGGTGGTTTCTGATTCATCCAAATCTCCAGCCCCAGGCAGGTCAGGGCACAGAACGATGTAGGCTGTTTTCACTGTTCCCCTAAATAAGTGCCTGACCCATAGTAAACACTGAATAAGTATGAACTACAGTGATTTTTGTAAATTGTTATTATTATTCATTTTGTTCTTACTATATTATTTATGTCCAGGGATGGTTTGCTGAGTGAATGAGTACAGTAGGTTTTTGTACTTGGACTCCTTTAATTCCAGAACCACTGGGCACCAGGCAGACCATTATTTCAAGTTCCACTTGACCAAATTATGACTAGCTGAGTCAGAGGGACCTCTCCAAGTCTCTCAGCATATAAATAAGTTTTTACGTCATGTATTCACCCAACAAATATTGCCAAAGAATAAAAAAAGAATCACCTTTATTTGCTTTTCAGAAACATAATAACTGCTTTGTTAATCTTCCAAAAGAGGGAGATTTTGATCTTGGCACAAAGCTTTAGAAAAATGACTTTTAAAATAAAATAATATGTTTTATTTTGCTCAATTCTAAGTAGAAAGAAAGGTATAAATGGTGAAAACTGCCCCCTCCCCCTGCTTTGGTTGAATGGGAACCAAGGTTAAGTTATCACTATGCACCTAGCTGCTTGCAGGCCAGAAGGCAGGATTTATTATAATTGTAATAATAAAAAGTAGATAGACCTTTATACTTCCCACATCTCTTCCACGTTTAGTGTGTCATTGTAGCCTCATGGAACTTTCAGGATTAGGCATGGTAGTATCTTCAGCTGTAATAAAGAGAAACTTGAGAACCACCCAAGGTCACACAGCTGAGAAGGGCAGAGATGGAACTCAGCAGGGCCTGTCCGAGTATCCCCAACCCAGATGTGTGAAGAAACACCCTACGTAACATCCTGCAAATGTTTCCCTTTAGCTTTCTACTTTTGAAGATTTTAAGTGTTTCATCTGAAGTGGGAGGGTTTAAACTCAATGTTCTGTTACAATATGGATTTATTTCTACATTCAGCCCTAAAGTGATATTCTGGACATGATTACCTCTTGATGTGATTGGCACTTTTCCTTTCCTGTCTTATTATACTTAAAGTGACTAGAGATGATCCCATGTAGAGAGGGACTTTAAAAACTTCATCCACTCAGCCCTCTGGCAGTGTGGTCAGTGTTGACTGTCTGCCAACTGTGTACTAGAGAGGACAGTGTGCAGCTGAGAGCAGATGATACCATAATCTGTCTGGAGGGACCTCACCAATCTGAAGGAGAGGCTTTATAAGAGCCAGCTATTTCCTCAAACCTGGAGGCAGAGACTTGGCCAGGTGTTCGCTCCAGGAAGACCGCCTTCATGTTTTGAGTTCAGTGTTTCTCAAAAGAACCCTATAATCATCTGCAGTGAGATGATTCTTGGTAGTATACGACTGATCTGCTTAGGGCAAGATATTTAGCACCTTGACTCTTGCCCAGTGAATGCCATTAGCAATTCCCCATCACTGCGATGAGCAAAAACAGTCAAACAAAACATCCCCCTCACTAAACTCTCCCCGTGGGAGCAGTGCTGGCCCTCGATGAGATTATGAAAATGTAGAGGATGTTGTCATTCAGAGAAAAAAATGTGTGTAATAAACTGTGGCTGATAGGTGCAAGGTGCTTCAAGGAGTCAGATTGTTTGAATGTCACACATGTGACATTCAAAATATTTCTGATGTTGAAATGATCTCTACCTTCAGCCTTTTCAGTTCTTAAACAGGAACAGGGAGTTTGCCTGAGGTGTGTGACTTTTCTTCAATATAATAACAGGGAAGAGAGCTAACAATTACACAGTGCTTAGCATATGTTAACTCATTTAATCCTCCCAATAACCAATAACCCTATGAGTTAACTACTATTAATACCATCCCACTTACAGATGAGGAAACAGGCACAGAGAGGTAAGTGACTTCCCTACAGTCCCATGGTAGTTAACTGCATAACTATTTCATTCCAGCCCATCTGGGCCAGATTTGGATAGAGATGTGGAAATAATTTCCCCAGCCCCCCAACAATTTATTATGTGGACATGCAATTCTTCTTACTCTTACTACAAAGGCCTAGCTGTGGAATACAAAGCAAACTGAGCCGCTCTGAGGCTGGGAGCACTCTGCAAGGTGATGGGTCATGTTTTTAGCATCAGGAGCAGGGTATGGAATTATGAGCTGGGGGGACACTATTATTGGTAAATTGTAAAAACAGCAGTTCTCATGTTTTTTGGTCTTATGACCCCTTTACACTCTTAAATATTATTAAAGATTCTCAAGAGTTTTTCTTTATGTGGGCTACATCTGCATGTCCAATATTTACTATATCAAAAATTAAAACTGAGAAACTTTCAAATGTTCATTCACTTAAAAAATAACAATAAACTCAATACATATTAACACAAGTAACATAATTTGACAAAAAAAGATATATTTTTGGAAAAAAAAACAAATTAGTGAGAAGAGTGCCATTGTTTACATTTTTGCAGTCCCTAATATTGAGCTTAATAGAAAACAGCTAAGTCCTCATATCTTTTATTGCCTTCAACCTGTTGTGATATGTTATTTAGGTAGAAGTATATGAAGAAAATATGACCTCACCCAGGTAGGTAGTTGGAAAGGAAGTGGTATTTTAATAATATTATTGTAGATAATATTAAGTTATAGATATTCTTCTCTGATAGTACACCAGAGCTCCACAAATAATAATTTCTTAAAGATTAGGTAAAAACGAATCTGAAATTGCATTAAATTTATGCACTGTCTCCAACCATTAAAGCTGCTGTAACGAAATACCTTAGAGTGGTGTCTTATAAAGAACAACAATTTATTTCTCACAGTTCTGGAGGCTGAGAAGTCCAAGATCAAGGCACTGACACCTTCAGTGTCTTTTGAGGGCCCATTTTCTCATAGATAGCACCTTCTCACTGTAACCTCACATGGCTGAAGAGGACAGGGATCTCTCTGGAGGCTTTTATAAGAGCACAAATCATGACCTAATTAACTCCCAAAGGCTCCATCTCCTAATACCTTCACTTTGGTGATTTGGTTTCAATGTATGAACTTGGGAGAACATAAACATTCAGTCCATTGCACGTTGTTACATTAAAATCCATAAAAGTTTCTTGTGCTTTGAATCTTTTACTTGTACATGACTGTGTGACATTATGCATTGGTTGTTTGAGAGATACTGGTTCATTGTTAAGTGGTTCCTTCAAAAGTTGGTATATTTCATTATACAATATCAAAAGTCTCATGCATTAATATCACTACCCATCTTATCAGACAAGTATCAGACACAGGCTTCCCCAAACTGAAAGCTTCAGTTTTATCATTGACAGCAAATACTCTCAGTTCTTTTTCTTGGTGGGACAGGCTTACTTCCAAAAACATCTGCCACACATTCAAGTTTGAATAAACATAGTTCATCTGTCAATCATTCTTTCAAGTAAAAAATGTCATTTTATGAAAAAAGGTCCTAGTTCAGTTCACAATTTAGATCACACAAGTGCTTTTCCTAGACACAAACCAGCATACTTTGCCATGCCAAGGTGTTTAAAGTGCACTTTCCATTTCATCCCACAGAATATTAAAAAGACATGAACTCATTGTGATTTAATAAAAATTGATAATATTTACTGTATCATTAAAGTCATTCTTAAGTGAAATTGGCTTTTTTCCCCTACATGTATGCTTTGATGAAGAATGCAGTTAGCCACTCACTAAGCCACCAGCACTTTTACTCCCCATTGCTTTTATGTCATCAGTGCAAATGTCAACACAGACAAAAAGTCAAATAACATCTTAGTATTAATATGATGATCACTTTGACTTTTTGAACCCTTACAAAGTGTCTTGGGGATGCCAGACTGACAGAGCACACTCAGAACCACTGTCCTAGAACATCACACTCACCCAGTAAGTGATAAGCTGCATGAAAGAACAAAAAGGGTGCTGACCGTAGATGCCAAGATTTTAGTCCTTAGTTGGCTTTATGCTGTCAAAGTGACCTTGGATGAACACGTAATCTCTCTGAGGCTCAGTTTCCTCATCTAAAAAATTGAATTAGCTTACTTTGTTGTTCAAAAGTATTCAAAGGAAGGAGCAAAATGTGCTCTAAAAATCAAGTTAAAGACCTTTCCCCCAGAATCCTATGTGAGGTATTAGGAGACAACTACACCAACTTCTGCTGGTGTCTTTCTGCTGAGAAGCAGGTAACTGTGAGATACCTGCTCACAGGACTGAGGGTCCGGAGTGGTCATGTCTCACTCAGGCACAGCAGGGGCTCATCTTCTGGTCTGGCCCTGAAGGGGGCTCTTGGTGAAGCCCCAGTTCAGCCACCTTGGCCCACAGCCCATGTGAGCCTGGTGGCCTGGTGCTGCTGGCCTCCTTTTCCACGCAGCCCATGGCTAGCCTCACACCCATGCTCATCTGTGTGTTGTCCACACACAATTCCTGGCACAGTAGCAGTTCTCTCACCCAAAAGCATATTGGAGGGCAAGATTTTGAAAATGATATCTTTATATGAAAACCATTAGGTCTGATCTTTTACTTTTAAATGTATCATCCTCCCACTGCAGTGCTCTGTTAGTATAATAACAAATGCTAGTGACAAGCCTCACAAAAAAAGTTCTTGTATAAGACATAAGACAGCCTAATGTGTCTTACACTGACACTGAGAACTGCTGTTTTAAATATCTTTCTATCTAGAATTTTGTCCTGGGACCTTTCTTCCAGAAGTCTCTGTTTCAACTTGTCATGACGTTTTAAATATTCTATTTGGTATAGTTCTAAGTAAAGATATATTTAAAACTTTAAATTATTAGCTTGAATTTTACCTTTTCTATTATGCAATGTCCATTTTTAAATACAAATATAAGAGCATTTAGCTAGCATACAGAATACCAAAATTACAGAATTTGTATTTTACAGTTCATATATACATATGTATTTAATTCTTACCACAACAGTATAAATACTACACAAAACAAACTCAACTGTTTTAATTTGACTTCCATTTTTTTCTTTTTCAACTTTTATCTTAGATTCCGTGGGTGCATATTCAGGTTTGTTACAAAGGTATATTGCTTGGTGCTAGAGTTTGGAGTATGATTGATCACGTCACCAAGAAAGTGAGCATAGTACCCAATAGGTAGTTTTCCTGACCTTGCCTCCCTGCCTCCCTCCCCCTGTTTGTATTCCCCAGTGTCTATTCCCCATCTTTATGTTCATGTGAATATTACTCTTTACCTTTGGGTTACTGATAGCAAGGGCAGCCTGAAAAAAAAAAAAGCAATGAGTCGTCTGATCTTCCCTTTTCCCCTCCACCATCGTTTTCAGTGTAAGTGATTGGCTAATACAGGATGTAATGTGAATAAGACAGGCTACAACAGGGTTCCTTGGTTGTTCACATTTCTCAGTTTTCTACTCCCTCTTTTTGCATTTGAAACAAGTTCTAGTTCAAAGGGGAAGTGTGGCCTCTTGGGGAGGTCAGCTTCCTACTTAGTCAGTTGAAGACATAACATGATTACCTTGTTCTCACTCTGAGTCCCACTGAAATCCCACATGTTGTTGGGTCCATGGGAATTCTGAAAGCTATATGCAAATGGGGCAGCAAGACGTGGTGGACATGCGTATTGCAGCCTTCTCCTCTGCTCATAACATGCTCCATTGTCCCATCAGACTTTATTCACAAAACAGAGGTTCAAAGATAAAATTATTAAGAACTTCAAGGCTGAGCACAGTGGCTCACACCTGTAATCCCAGCACTTTGGGAGGCCGACAGGAGAATGGCTTGAGGTCAGGAGTTCGAGACCAGCTTGGACAACATAATGAGACCTCCATCTTTGCAAAATAAAAAACTTAGCTGGTTGTTGGTGGCACACACCTGTAGCCCCAGCCACTCAGGAGGCTAAAATGGAAGGATTGCTTGAGCTCCGGAGTTTGAGGCTGCAGTGAGCTATGATCACACTACCGCATTCCAGCCTGGGTGACAAACCAAGACCTCATCTTAAAAAAAAAAACTCAGGACAGAGACAGAAGAGATTAAAACCAAGCTCAGGATGCTTCTGAGCACAGGACCCTGGGTGGCTCTTAGGTCCCAAGCCTGTGAAGCTAGCTCTGCCCCACGGCCTCCACTCCTGCCACACTGGGCCTGCGGTCCCTTGGACTCACCATGTTCCTTTCTTCTGAAGGGTCCTAAGCCACCACATTCTTAGGGAGGCCCTCCCTGCCTTGCCTGACCAGGCCAGAATACTTTTAGCACACATAGCTCTCCTTCAGTGTACTCATCACCATCACCATCCTTCTTTCAGGTACTGATTATTTGACTGCTTATTTCCCTTTCTACCAGACTGCAAGCGGCTTACAGGCCAGCGCTGGGTCTATTTTTGTTTATTATTGGTTTACCAGTGCTTGGCACATAGTGCCTAAAAAATATTTGTGAGAAGAATGAATATTTATGAGGTGGATGAATAAATGAATGAATGTTTTTGCAACCAGAACCCAAGTGTCAGGTGAAGAGGTGGGATAAATGAGGGTGACATGAATGTTAGGTTCTGTTCTAGGTTTTGATGAAAACAAAGTGGGTCTTGATTGTCCTTTTTACTTGTCTGTCTTTTCTATCAGGTAAGAAGTACTTTAGGATAAAGCATCCTTATATTTTAAGGTACCCAAGTTGTTAGTCTTTGTGTCCTCAGACCTAGCACAGTGCCTGAGACTTAGCCCTCGGAAAAATTAGTTCTATTGAATTGAATTGTTCCGTAGATGGAAATATGTCACCTAAACTTTATCTTGTCTTCCCTTTGTATCTCCTCTTTCCTCTCCTCTGTCTTCTTTCCCTCTCTACTCTCCTTTTCTGTTGTTAAGGATTTCTGCATCTTGAAAACTACTTAGTTGTGATCAGATCTTTCCAAGAGAAGATTACACTCATCTATTCTAGGTTTGACTTGAGTCTTCAAAGAGAAATGGTCTGATTAGCCTTATAACCATGGCAGTGGTTGGGCACTCCAGAGAATGCCCCAGAAACAGTCTAGACACATTTGTTGATAATATTGTCATATTGGCATTGATCTTGGGAGAGAATCAAAAAGCAGCTACTTTAGAGGTTCATCTATTCAACGCTTCTAATTTAGAGAAGAAATTAAACTTGAGAATTTGAGAAACCCTATTCTCCTGCCCTGGAGGCTGCAGAACTTGTCAGAATGCACAGTACTGAAATGCCTAGTGATCCCAAAAAACGGAAGTGAATGGGAACTAGCCTTCTTACTGGAACTGGGTCCATAACCTGTCTTGTCCATTTATTCCACAAGTACATTGAGAAATGGCTAGGAGGGGTGGCGGCGGGGGAGTGGGAGATGGGGGTGGTAGTGAAAAGGAAATGTTAATAATGAAATTGAGGATCAATGAAATTCTTTTTGAAAAGCATAAAGGTAAGATTGGTATTGATTGAACATCTTGGAAAACATTGTTAGTAAGAGATCATGGCATGATTCCTATATGTAAATCAGAGGATTTCTTTCCTGAATGAGACTTGAATTGGAATGTAGAGAGTTTCTCCAGGCAATCCATGGAGTGGTTCCTTAGAAGTTATGGGGCTGTTTGGAGATGGTGTGGTGGGATAGAAAGTACATGGACTTAGGAATCAGCCATACCTGGGTTTAATACTTAGCTTTAGCTCTGTGACATTGAGCAAATATTTAACCTTTCTGATTTTATTTTTTAAAAATTGGAATAAATTGATATAAAATACTTGCCTTGCAGGTTTTTTATGAAGTTCAAATGAAGTTCTCTGGGTATGGGTACAAAGCTTGGTGCCTGGTGCAGAGCAAGCATGCAATCATCTCATCCCTTCTCTTCACTGTGTCAGCTCTTACGAATAGTTGGGCAGGACCTGGACTAGGGTGAGGCAAGAAGGTGCCTGGGTTAACCTGAGAGCAAGGCCCCATTAAATGATGCACCGTAGGTACCTTGCTTGCCCCTCCTTGGCCTCAGCAGTGCAGCTGAAGCATTGTCAGACCAGGGCTGGAGCATCTTAGGGTAGATGCCTCCCACCCCACCACCATCTCTGGGACCATCTTACGGATGACACAGTAGAGGCCCAGACAGTCAATATCATTTGATTTAAGCCAATCAGTTAGTAAGTGGCAAGCCTGGAATGTGAATCTAGGCCTCTGGGCTCTTGGCCTCTGTTTTGCTCCCTCAAAGCCTATAGCTAAACTCTTTTCTCTAATAAGTCTGTAAATTTTCTCAATAGGGAAAGAGGACATGTCTCAAATTTTCAGCACTTCCCAAGACATTTACTACAGGTCTTGCATGCAGTTGGGGTTCAATAAATAAACATGCACTGATTGAGAAAAAAGGAGATATTATCATGGCATTATAATTTTAATGCATAGAAATAGTTATAATAAACATTAACGCAGCTGAAGGAGAGAAATGCATTAATTTCACAACATGTTCAGCTCTTTAAGATGTTAGCTTTTCAGGCTCCACAGGGGCTCTGGAACTCTGGAACTCACATAGACTCACGCCCACTGTTTCAAAAGAGAAAACTGCAACTTGGAAGGGGAAATGGTAGCTGGAGACAGAAAATGGAGAAGTGGGGGAGGTAGAGGGAATTTAGCTTCAGCAATTTAGGCAGTGATTAAACCAGGAGTAAAGGAAAGAGGAAAGCAGTGCTGCTCATACATTAGTGAGCACACACATCACTTGAGGATCCTGTTAAAATGCAGATCCAGTTCAGGAGGTCTGGGTGGGGCCTGGGATTCTGTATTTTTAAGAAGCTCCCAGGCAATGCTGATGCTGCTGGCTCGTGGACCACACTATGTGCGTGGAAGAAATTGCATGGAGGCTTTGAGTTTGTGAATCTGGTCCAATGGAAGCACTGTCTTCAGTCTGGCAATTCTCAGGATTCCCACTCACTGTTTTCCATCCTTCTGCAGGGGAAATCTGTGCGTTCAAGATCCATGGCCAGGAGCTGCCCTTTGAGGCTGTGGTGCTCAACAAGACATCAGGAGAGGGCCGGCTCCGTGCCAAGAGCCCCATTGACTGTGAGTTGCAGAAGGAGTACACATTCATCATCCAGGCCTATGACTGTGGTGCTGGGCCCCACGAGACAGCCTGGAAAAAGTCACACAAGTGAGTGGCCTGACAGAGCCCTCTGGACGCCCCTCCCTCCCGTGCCCACCCCACTTCATTCACATGCTGCTCTTCAGATATGTTTACCCTCTTGTCACACAATGGTGCTCCAACTTTGCTCAACTGCTTGGCAGTTTCCTGGTCCCATGCAGGCATCTTCCCAGTCTGCTTTCCACACCTGCAATATTCTACTCCCTCTTCTTCACTGGAAGACACTCTTGTTTCACCCTCAGGTCTGAGTTTAGGTGTCACTTCTTCCAGAAAGCCTTCCCTAAGCTGGCCCACCCCCGCAGACCTGGTCAGGACCTTTCCCTGGGCCTCTGCCGTGCCATAAGCTGCTCTCTGTCACAGCAGTTTTCACTGTGGGTTGTCACTGCTTTTTCCCTTATGTTTATCTCAGAGCCTAACAGAGTAAGAGGGGTTAAATTCTTACTGAATGGAGGAGTGGATGAATAGAGGGAGGAATGAACAGTAAACCTGTTGCCTAAAGCTGGTGCAGAGGGAAGGGCATAAAAGTCTCTCTGGGATGGATTCATCTCAGAGCGTCAGAGCAAGGGCAAGTAGAGAGTCTCCAGTGAGAGGGAGGATGGGACACTCAGACAACTGCCACAATTGGCTGATGGTTTCTCCTTTCACTTGGCCTTGGGACCTCAGTCAGTGCCCCCAGGAGGTACAGGAGGTTGGTGTGACTCTTTCTTTACCACCATCCCTTCCTTTCTGTGTGTGGTCCCAGGGCCGTGGTCCATATACAGGTGAAGGATGTCAACGAGTTTGCTCCCACCTTCAAAGAGCCAGCCTACAAGGCTGTTGTGACGGAGGGCAAGATCTATGACAGCATTCTGCAGGTGGAGGCCATTGACGAGGACTGCTCCCCACAGTACAGCCAGATCTGCAACTATGAAATCGTCACCACAGATGTGCCTTTTGCCATCGACAGAAATGGTGAGTGACCTCAGAGGACCCCTGTGGGGTCAGGAAAACAAATCCATCGCCTCCACTCTGAAGACCCAACATGGGCTCTGAATATGCTTGGCAAGTTATGCCTTTCTTGCCATGTTTGGTCTAAGCTCCATAACCCAGAGCTCAGTCCCACACTTGAGGGAATGGCCTTATCTGATTAGCAGCCCTGCCAGGTCTAAAACACCCTCAGGAAACCTCAGAAACCTACTCACTCAATGTAGTCTGTACAACTCACAGTGCCACACATCTAGATACCGAAGATGGTTGATTTCCTGGTCAAATTTTCCAGTTGTCATCCAGATGTGAGCCATGCCATCAGCTTGGCCATATCTGGGTCCGTTTCCTATGTAATAAGTCATAATACCAGCCCTATTGCCTCTAGATGAAGACATGCTAACAGAGGAGGTGGGACTTTTGAAATCCCTTCTAAACCATAGATTCATTCAGGATTTTTTTTTTTGAGATGGAGTTTCGCTCTTGTCGCCCAAGCTAGAGTACAATGGCACAATCTTCACTCACTGCAACCTCCACGTCCTGGGTTCAAGTTATTCTCCTGCCTCAGCCTCCCGAGGAGCTGGGATTACAAGCGTGCGCCACCATGCTCGGCTAATTTTGTATTTTTAGTGGAGATGGGGTTTTACCATGTTGGTCAGGCCAGTCTCGAACTCCTGACCTCAAGTGATCCACCCACCTCGGCCTCCCAAAGTGCTGGGATTACAGGCGTGAGCCACTGTGCCTGGCCTCATTCAGGACTTTATAAAGTTCTTGCCAGTGTCCTTTTGAGAATTTCAACCCCAGTGAGAATGAAGAATGAAAGAACCCTCCCATAATAACCCAATCCCAGACTGAACAAGACTGGAAGCATTCCTATAAAGCCATTTGGACATTTCCCCATCACCACGAATAGAAAACTCATTGTAGTATAAACGCCACAACCAGAGCCCCAACAAACTCAGCCCACTTTAGCTGTAAATTTCAACACCTTCAACACCTAAAATCAAGTGTAATTATTTGCCAAGTACATTGTTTAATTATTAGTGTGAGTGTGTGGGTGTTTATATGTTCTTCCTACTTTGTTTCCAATAAGATTTAAGTAGCACACAAAGATGCAAAAGTTGCAAAATTCAAACTCCATTCACTCTGTAATTATTTATTGAGTGCCAGGCATGGTGCTGAACACTGGAAAGGAGATAGAGTGGAACTTAAAATAGACATGGGCCTGTCCACATACAGCTCATCATCTAGCAGAAAAAAATAGAAAATCCAGTGGCAGCAAGGGTGAAGATGGTGCACAAAGAATGCCATGAACCAGGGTTGGGCAGCAAATTAGCTCTGTACCTCCTGATAGCCAATGTCTAGAGGAAAATAGCATCAGCCACCTGCTTGTACACCTTCAGGAGAAACCCAACACTTCATGATGTTGAGACCAGGTAGAAACTTACTCTATGGCATTGTCTTCTGTACCCTGAGACTGCGGCAGATGCCATAGGGACTAGAAGTGAAGGAGACACTCTCATCCCTGTCTTTAAGTAGCTTAGAATCAGTCTTGGAAGACAGAACTAATATTCATAAGACAGAAAAAAATAATAATAAGGTAATTTCCCTCTAAAATGCTAAAACATGGGGAAAAGACAATTACATACCTGGATACCATGAGATAATTATACAGGCCACAGTGTCAATGCACAAGCAAGTAAAGGAGGAAATATAGGACTTTAATTAAAGTTTGGCTCAAAACTAAGAAGAAGGTAATTTTAATTAGTAGAGCCTGTCAGAATCGTTCCCCGATAGTTTCTCCCACAGGCTCTGTGAAATGACTAGCCTGTCCCCACCACAGAGGCACACATGTGCACACACCACTCCATAAAATATTGAACAACTTCTTTGTATTTTTCTCCTCTGGGTTTCTTTTTCTGTGTAATCAGTTGTGCAGTGTATCCCATAAAAGCTTTGGAATTTGGGGAGTGACAAGTCCATGGTGAATAGCAAGACTAGACAAGTGGAGGTATCTGTGCTCAGTGGTCAAGCTCTACTTGGCCTCCTGCCCTAGTTCTGAAGAGCCACAGCTCAGTGAGATGAGATGCAAAGTCTTTCTTTGGAGGGTAAACTGCCCCAGTCATGAAGATAATTACTCACCTTGATGAGCCATTTTGCTAACATATGCCAATTTATTTCCCTGGCTGTCTCATTAAAAGTGAGTAATGGGCCTTTGCCAGGCCTCTGCCTCTAATGCTGGTTTACAACCTAAGATGAAGAGGAGAATGGGCCCTCTCAGGGAGTGTGGGCCCCTGACAGCGAGGTGTACAGAAGCAGTCCTCCAGGTAATGAAGCAGGACCTAGGGGCAGACACAGAGACGGCTCCCATTCTAATGAGCTTCCCAATTGGCCCTTATCCATCAGTTTCTCTGAGCGACCTTTCTGACTCCTTGAAGAAGTACTTTGCATGCTCATAAGGAAAGTGCTTCTGAATTTAGAGCCTGCTCATTGAGGCCTAGGTTTCCCCTACCCCATGGCTTCAGATGGATGTCTCCTGGCCCCTCCAACTTTCCAGGCTCTGCTTGTGGGGTAAAGAATGGCAGCAGGGAGAATAGAAGACACAATGTGGAGTCAACCTGACCTGTCTTTAACCAGAGACTCACCCTCTTCCTACCAGAGGCCCTCAGACTCCCTCCCTTTGAATTCCTCCCCATGAAATTATGGCATTATCAGTCCTTACCCCATTGTGGGGTTGTGAGTATTCAAGGAGAAGCAGTGTGTGGGGATATTGTTTGCAGGGTATCTGGCATAGAGAGAGCACTCAATAAGTGGTGCAACAATTATTAAATATTTACCTGGATGATTGGGACTTGAGATTTATTTACCAGGCTTAAATTATGAGCAGATAACTATGAGTTCATCACATCACCTTCCTCTTGGAAAGTTCTGGATCTATTTGAGATGGCCTCATCTGCTAGCTAGTTTTTCTGAGATAAGTAGAGCTTGGGTCCTCAAAATTGAATCCTAAAACATAAAGAGCTAGCCTAATAACACTGTCACAGTGGTGATAGAGCTAGGACTCAACCCAGGTCTCCTGAGTGTTAGCCCCAAGACCTTTCCATCAGATCGCACCTCCTTGATGATAATTTACAGGATGCATGGCAGTGATGTTTAAGTTTGCAAACACGAAGTATGGGGCGATGTCAGCAAAAAGGCAGAGAAGGAGATCCCAGCCTTCATTCCCCGACAAAGTACAATCAGACAGCTATCTATGAAAGAAAATAGCTGTAGGAGAGCTCAGGAGTCCAGTTGAGAAGATACAGCAACACAGTATAAGAAAAACAATGAGAATAATTGTGCAAAAAGAGTAGGAAGAACAGTTTCATCTTGCATGCATCATCCCATCCCCCAGACCAGAAGTGCTTAGCACAGAGAGAGAACTCCTTAGCTCAAAAGTTACCCTTGAAGAGAAAAGGATAACAGGATGAACAATCAGTTTCCTGAGCTTTCAGGACACTCCCCCAAATGACCTCTTTCAATTTCACCCCACCCCATATAGCTAGGGAGATCAGCATGGCTGAGACATTTGGAGACATCTGGGAACAAAGAAGGGCGGGGCTATCAGTATCAGCCATGTCGCAGGAGCCACCAGGTTCCCTAGTGACTGCTCTGCATGGGACCCCAGCTGTCTTCTACCCTCAGGATCTCAACAGCCTCACAGCAACCACAAACCCCTGACTGGCTTTCACTGCCAAGGAGCCTACAGTGTTTACCATTACGGAACTCAGCAGCTTCTGCCACTGAGGAAACCAACAACCAGTATAGCCATAGGGGCCCCTCACAATTTTTGCTGAGGACCCCACAGTTTTTCACTTTTGCAGTTTCTAGGTACTTGAGTTACCACCTCTCTTCTTCCCCTCTCCCCAAAGCTGCCTTAGCTGCTGCCGTTGTAGACACCCCAACCCAGGAACCCAGGGAAGCCACTACATGTATGCCCCAAAATGGCCTGGGCTCCAGCCAAATATCCATCTGTCACAACCATGTGTGTACCTGTGGTTAACCCCTTTGCTGTGTGTACCTGAGCAGCTGCCCCAACTCCCATCACCAGGTCTAACAGTTGAAAATGTGTCTGTATCTGGCTTCTGTGCCTACATGCGTGCTTACCCAGCCCTGGCTCCTATCGCTGTACACGTGCAAGCCCCAACTTTTGTCCCTGGCCCCCACCACTGTGCTTGTACCTGCAGCTCGCCCCTGCAGCTGCATGCATGTACACTTCCAGCTTGATCCCCATAGCTGCACATGCATATGTAGCTGGTCTAACTCCTATTGGTGGCCCCCACCACCACATGAGTGCATGCAGCTGGTCCTTACAATTGCACATATGTATACCATGAGCCTTGACTGCTATAGTCATGCATGTACATGCCACCAGCTGCCATATAACCACAGTTGGCTCTGCCCCAGCCCTAACCATTAAGTGCATGTCCACAGCTGAGTGTGAACACACCAATGGCCCTGACTCCCCCTGCTGCCTGCACGAGTCCTTTGTCACTGGACCCAGGGCACCACTGAGTATACCTACAGTCCTGTCAGACACTGTGGACCTCCCACAGCCTTTGCCACACCAAGGAACACACAGTTGCAAATGTTACAGACCCCAGCTACCTGAACCAATAAGACATTGCATCCCTCTCCAAAACCTGGAGCCACCCATACACTAGGCACTAAGCATAGTGCCACAGTGCTCTCCAGCATTACCCATCCCCACCCTCACCTACCCATAGGTGAAGGATTTTCCTTAATGAATCCAGTTCATAAAGTCTGGAAAAGGTGATTATTTCTTCAAATGCTCAGACTCTTACACAAGACTACAAGTATCACGAAGGATCAGGGACATGTGGTAGCACCAAAGCAACACAATATACTGTCAGTAAGTAACCAACTCCAAAGAATAGCCATTGAATTCCTGATAAGAATTTGAACTAAATTGTTCTAAAGAAACTCAGTGATCTACAAGAGAACACAGATAAACAATTAACTAAATCAGGAAAACTTTGGAAGAAAAATACCAGAAGTTCAACAAAGAAAAAATATAAAAAGAACCAAACAAATTTTGGAGCTTGAGAATACAATGACTGAATTTTAAAAATGCAATAGAGAGCTTCAGTAGCTGACTCAACCAAGCAGAAGAAAGAATAAGCAAACTTAAAGACAGGTCATTTGAAGTTGTCCAGTAAGAGGAGAAAAAAGATGAAAAGAATAAAAAAAATCAAGAAAGCCTACATAATGTATGCAACACTATCAAGAGAGCTTATATTCATGTTTTGGGGGTATTTATATGGCTAAGAAAGAGGTAGAAAGCTTATTTAAAGGCATACTGGTGGATATGTTCTCAAATATGGAGAGAGATATGGACATCTAGGTACATGAAACTTAAAGTTCTCTAATTACATTCAACCCCAAAAGACTTTGCCATGACACATTATAATAAAACTGTCAGTAAATCAAAGACACAGCGAATTTTGAAAGCAGCAAAAGAAAAAAAACATATACATGGGAACCTCACTGAAGCTATCAGTATATTTCTCAACAGAAACCTTGCAGGCCAGAAAATAATAGAATTATATATTTAAGATGCTGAAATAAAAAGCAAAAAAAAAAAAAAAACCTACCAACCAAGGGTACTTTACCTGGCAAAGTTATTCTTCAGAAATTAAGGAGAAACAAACACTTTCTCAGACAAACAAAAGCTTAGGGAATTCATCACCACTAGACCTGCCTTACAGTAAATGATAAGGGGAGTTTTTCAAGCTGAAACAAAAGGATGCTCCTTGTTAATACAAAATCATATGAAGGTATGAAACTCACAGGTAAAAATCAGTAAATATTCAAATTCAAAATATTCAAATACTGCTAAGATGACATGTAAATCACTTATAATTCTAAAGGCTAAAAGACAAAAGTATTAAAATCATTATAGCTAAAATGACTTGTTAATGTATGTACAATATAAAAACATAAATTGTGGCACAAAAATATAAAATGGGAATAAAAGTGCAAAGCTTTTATGTGCATTTCATGTTATTTTTATCAGCTTAAAATAGACTGGTACAACCATAATATGTTTTATAATATGTAAGCCTCAGTAACCACAAAGCAAAAGCCTGAGTAGATACACAAAAAAATAAAGAGAAAGGAATCAAAGCATACCACTACAGAAAATTATCAAGTCACAAAAGAAGACAGCAAAAGAGAAAGAAAGGAACAGAAGATCAACAAAACAACCAGCAAAGGTTGACAAAATGGAGATATTAAGTCTTGACCTATCAATAATTACTTTAAATGTAAATGGACTAAATGCATCTATCAAAAGGCATAGAGTGGATCAAACAAGACCCAACTATATGATGCCTATAAGAGATTCACTTCACTTTTAAGGACGTGAAAATAATAAAAGTGAAGGTACGATAAAAGATTTTGTGCAAATGGAAACCAAAAGAGATCAAGGGTAGCTATACTTATATCAAACAAAATAGGCTTTAAGTCAAAAACTGCAAAAAGAGACAAAGAAGGTCATTATATGATAATAAAAAAAGTAAATTCATCAAGAAGATACAGCAATTGTAAGTGCATATGTACCCAACGCTAGAGCGTGTAAATATATAAAGTAAATATGAACAAATCTGAAGGGAGAAATAGACAACAATACAAGAATAGTAAGAAACTACTTTCAACAATGGATAGAGTATCAAGACATAAAATCAATAAGGAAACACTGGATTTGAACTGTTATACTTTAGATGAAATGGACATAGCAGACATATGCAGAACATTTTATCAAACAGCAGCAGAATATACAGTACACATGGAACATTCTCCAGGAAGATCACATATTAGGTCATTGTTTTCAATGAAACTCTTCAAGTTTCTCTACCAAGCTAGCTGGTATCTACTGTGCCCAGCAACCACCAGAAGCTCAGACAAAAGAACATCAGCAGGGGAATTCACCCATAAGGATCCCTTCGAGGCAGCCTTGCCATTAGAAATTAGGCTGTGGGCACAGCTTCAATGATACAACCATAGTGTGAAAGTTTAAAAGGTTTTAGTACGTACAGATTCTGGGAATACATGGCATGCCTACAGGCCACACAGAGAACAGGAAGTGCAGGCTGGTAGAGAAAAACAGACCAATGGGCCTATGTTTTTACTGAGTTCAAAGCATTAATTAAACAGATTTTCCACGGGGAGATTTGTTTTTGTTTTTGTTTTTTGAGACAGAGTTTCACTCTTGTTGTCCATGCTGGAGTTGCAATGGTGCAATCTAGGCTCACCATAACCTCTGCCTCCCGGGTTCAAGTGATTCACCTGCCTCAGCCTCCCGAGTAGCTGGGATTAACAGCATGCGCCACAACACCTGATTAATTTTGTATTTTTAGTGGAGATGGGGTTTCTCCATGTTGGTCAGCCTGGTCTTAAACTCCTGACCTCAGGTGATCCGCCCACCTCAACCTCCCAAAGCACTGGGATTACAGGTGTGAGCCACCACACCCAGCCCCATGGGGAGTTTTAATTGTTGGCTTTAAAACAAGCAGGCATGAGTTCTAGGAGGTCACATGTTCACTGAAAGGTAGTCACTGTGGCATATCTGAACAGTCCATGCAGAGTATGAGGGGCAGCAGGACCAGGCAAGTAGTCTGTATCTAGCTGTCCCATAGGGAACTGGTCACCAGGAGGCTATTGTATAAGGCAGTTGTTTGAATTAGCCACACAGAGAAACTTGGAGAACTGGAAGCTGTGTTAAGAGTGACTGAGTCCTGCTTCTGGTGTGGGGAAGTCCAACTAATATTCAAAATGAATGCCAAGGTAACATAAAATTGTAAGCATTCACTATAGCCATTAAGTCTTACATTTAAGATTTAAATCATATAAAATTTTTTTCTCAACCATGACGGTATGAAACTAGAAATCAATAGCAGGACAAAAAGCTAGAAAATTCACAAATATGTGAAATTAAATAACGTGGTTCTGAACAACAAATGGGTCAAAGAAGAAATCAAAAGGAAAATATCTTGAGGCAAATGAAAATGAAATCACAATATGTCAAAACTTTTCGGATGTAGGAAAGGCCATTTTAAAAGGGAATGATATAGGAATAAATAGAAATAAATGCCTAAATTTTAAAAGAAGAAAGATCTCAAATAAAAAACCTAATGTTATACGTCAAGGAACTAGAACAAGAACAAACTAAACCCTAAATTAGTAAAAGGAAAGAAATAACAAAGATTAGAACAGAAATAATGGAAATAAACACTAGAAGACCGTATAAAAGATCAATGACACCAAGTTTGTTTTTTTAAATAGATAAACTAATTGATAAACCTTTACCTAGGCTAAGAAAAAAACAGAGACAAGACTCAAATAGATGAAATCAGAAATGAAAGAGAAGACATTACAACTGATACCACTGAAATAATTTTCAAAGGATGGTAAGAGACTGCTAAGAACACTTTTATACCAACAAATTGTATAACCTAGGAAAAATAGATAAGTTCCTAAGGACATGCAACCTTCCAAGACAGAATAATAAGGAAATGAGAATCTGAACAGACCAATAATGAGTAGGAAGACTGAATTCATAATAATAGTTTTTTTAAATATCCCATCAAAGAAAATCCCAGGATCTGATGGCTTCACAGCTGAATTCTACCCAACATTGAAAGAACTAATACCAGTCCTTCTCAAACTTTCAAAACACTGAAGAGGAGGGAACACTTTCAAACTCATTTTATTAGGCTGGCATTACCCTGACATCAAAGTCAGACAAAGACAGTTCAAGAAAAGAAAATTACAGGCCAATATTTCTGATGAGCATAGATGCAAAAATAGTCCTCAACAAAATACTAGCAAACCAAATTCAACAGCACATTAAAAGGATCATACACCATGATTAAGTGGGACTTAGCCCTGGGATGCAAAGAAAGTTCAACATACACAAATCAGTAAATGTGATATACTACATTAACATAATGAAGGACAAAGATCATATGATATCTCAATAGATACAGAAAAAGCATTTCACAAAATTCATCCTTTCATGATAAAAATTCTCAACAAATAATGTATAGAAGGAATGTCTTCAACACAATAAAGACTGTATATTACAAGGCCACAGCAAACATCATACTCCACGGTGAAAAGTTTAAAGCTTTTTTCTCTAATGTAAGGAATTAGACAAAGATGCTCACTCTTGACACTTTTATTCAACATAGTACTGAAAGTTCTATCCAGATCAATTAAGGAAGAAAAAGAAATAAAATGTACTCACATCAGAAAGGAATAAGTAAAATTGTCTGTTTGCAGATTACATGATTTTACATAGAGAAAACCCCAAAGACCCCACCAAAGACTGCTGTAACTAATAAATAAATTCAGTAAAGTTGCAGGATAAAAAAGCAACACACAAAAATTATTTTCATTTTTGTACACTAACAACAAACTATCCAAAAAAATTTTTAAAAATGCATTTACAATAGCATCAAAAGAAATAAAATACTTAGAAATAATTTAACTAAGGAGGTGAAATATCTGTACACAGAAAACTATAAAACATTGATGAAAGAAAACGTAGAAGACACAAATAAATTACAAGATATTCCATGTTTATGGATTGGAAGAATCAATATTGTTAAAATGTTCTACTCAGGAATTGAAAGCCAAATACTGCACATTTTCACTTATAAATGGGAGCTAAGCTATGGGTATGCAAAGGCATACAGAGTGATATAATGCACATTGGAGACTCAGAAGGAAAAGGATGAGAAGTGGGAAGGGATAAAAAAAACTACCCATTGGGAACAATGTACACTACTTGGATGATAGGTGCACTAATATCCTAGACTTCACCACTATACAATTTATGTAAAAACCCACTTGTACCCCTAAAACTATTAAAATAAAAAAATTTAAAAATCTAATAAAATGTCTATACTACCCAAAGCAAGATAGAGACTCAATGCAATCTCTATCAAAATTACAATGGCAGTTTTCATAGTAACAGAAGATACAATCCTAAAATTCATATAGAAGCACAAAAGACCTCAAATAGCTAAAGCAACCTTGAGCAAGAAGAACAAACCTGGAGGTATTACATTTCCTGATTTCAAACTATAAAACTATATTGCAAAGCTATAGTAATAAAATCAGTATGTAGCTGTCATAAAAACAGACACATAGACCAATGGAGCAGAATAGAGAACCCAGAAATAAATTCACACATATATAGTTAGCTAATTTTCACCAAAGCCACCAAGAATACACAATGGAAAAGAATAGACTTGTGAATAAATAGTACTGAAAAAAACTGGATATCCACAAGCAAAACAAAGCAAAATTGGACCCTTCTGTTACACCATACACAAAAATAAATTCAAAATGGATTAGAGACTTACACATAAGACCTGAAACTATAAAAACCCTAGAAGAAAATACAGGGAGAAGGCTCCTTGGCATTGGTAGTGGCAACAATTTTTTAATTTGATAGCAAAAGCATAGGCAACAAAAGCAAAATGAAATGAGTGGCACAATATCAAACTAAAAAGCTCTGCATAGTGAAGAAAGCATTCAACAAAATGCAGAGGCAACCTACAGAATGGGAAAATTATTGGTAGACCATATATGCAATAAAGTTATCCAAAATATATGAGGAACTCATATAACACAAAATAGCAAAAAAAAAAAAAAAAAAAAAAAACAAACTGATTTTAAAATGTGCAAAGGACCTGAACGGACATTTTTCCAAAGAAGATACACATATAAATGGTCGACGTGCATACAAAAAGATGTTCAATGTCACTAACTACCAGTAAAATGCAAATCAAACCCTCAATGAGCTATCACCTCACAATTATTAGGATGACTACTGTCAAAAAGTCCATGAGGAGAAGCATTGGTGAAGATGTGAAGAAAAGGGATTCCTTGTAGACTGTTGGTGAAAATGTAAATTGGTACAGCTATTACGGAAAACATCATGAATGTACCTCAAAAAATTATGAATAGAACTACCATAGGTTCAGCAATTCCACTTTGGGGTATGTATCCATAGGGGGAAAATAATCCAGTATCTTGAAGAGATAGTTGCACTCCCATATTTATTGCAGCATTATTCACAATAGCAAAGATGCAGAAACAACCTAAGTGACTGTTGACAGATGAATGGATAAAAAATATGTGGGAGATACAAACATACAATGGAATATTACTCAGCGTTAAAAAAGAAGGAAATCCTGCCGTTTGCAACAACTTGGATGAACCCGAAGGACGTTATGCTAAGTGAAATATCCCAGACACAGAAATACAAATGCCTCATGATATCACTTGTATGTGAAATCTTAAAAGGTTGAACTCACAGAAATAGAGAGTAGAATGGTGGTTGCCAGGGTTTAGGGAGGGAGTGGAGGAAAAGAGAAGGTATTGATCATAGCATATAAACTTTAGTTATTAATATAAGATGAATAAATACTGGAGAATGTACAGCAGGGTGACTATAGCTAATAGTAATGCATTATATACTTGAAATTTGCTGAGAGTAGATCTCAACTGAGCTCACCACACACACACAAACACACACACACACACAAGAAAGGTAACTATGTGACATGATGCATATGTTAAATAGCTTGATCATGGTAGTTATTTAGTAATGTATACATATATTAAAACATCACATTGTATACCCCAAATATATACAATTTTTATTTGTCAGTCATACCTCCATAAAGCTGGAAAAAAATCCTGCAAGTTGGTGGACCCCACACTTGCATCTACCACTCGTATGTGTGTGTCTGTGTGGTCTTTGACAAGTTACTTGAACTTTGTCTCAGACCCTCACCAGTAAAATGGAAATTGAATATTGTACCGGTGCAGTGTGATTGTTATCTGAACTGATGCCAAAAAAATACTGGAGCCTCTGGCACAAGCCAGCCACTCAGCCATGTTAGAGAATGACAGTGGAGGGAGCGGTAGGCTCTCAACGACACCCAGTTACCAATTGGCAGATTTTCTACTTTTCAAGCAATTGTTTGGTCTTCATGCAGCCTCAGCTGGGCTCTCTCTTTGACAGAAGGCTGCCCTAGTGAATAACAGGATTCATGCTTCTGAGCCAAATGTATCCTAAAGACTGCTCATTCTTAAAGTGAATGAAAATGCTTATTTCCCATATGAATGGAAAAGTGTTATATGCCTTGTGTGGGAAATTTGGAAAGCACAGAGAAGTATGAAGTCACCCATAATCCTGCCAAAGTAACCATTATTAACAGTTAACCATTAAATCATTGTTTGCCAAATTTTCAATAGTTTTTCTGTAAAGTTTTTAAACAAAATTAGGGCCGCAATGTCCTTGCATTTGTCTGTCCTCCCTTTTTTCACTTAACATTTAACTATATGTATTTTCCCCATCTTTAAACGTTCTTTATAATCACCACTTTTACTACTGAACAACAATCCATCTTATGCATAGACATTATACTTAGCTCTTCCCTTATAGTGTCAGGCTATTTTTCAGTGCAATAAATACTAGATGAACATATTTGTACATGTATCTGCAATTGTATCATTTTTCCAGAATCAATTTTTAGAGGAGGAATTGCACTCCCAAAAGGTATAAGCAATTTCAAACTGACTAGCATATATTGCCAAGTAGCTTTCCAGATAGGTTGTTCCCATTTAAATTCTACTAGAAGAGTGTTGGTCAGTATGTCTGTTTTATCCCCTCAGCCCCCACTCTCCGAGTTTAAAAAAAAATACCTAAACTAATGTGTAAGGTAGGGACTGGTTGTTCTTTGAAGGTGAATTTTTCAAGTTCCTTTGGAGAAATAGCTCCAGGGACTTATGTTCACCATGGTTAACTGTGGGATTAGGTCTCCTGAGAAGACCGTGATAGAAAAATCATTCAAATATGGGAGAAAAAGATACAGTTGTAACAGAAGCAAAACAGGTGACTTTTCTGAGCTTTCAAAAAATTTTAAATGTGTATCTTATTGAAATATGACCTTCTCCCATGCAACAATTCATCACAATACTATACCCTCAGTTTTTAGCTAATGCTTCAAATTCTGTGCTTTGAAACTCATTTTCACATGCACAAATTTGGTGGTGGTGGAGAAGGTAAATTAGTTTCTCAGACACTTTCATTAAGACTTGTTATGGAAGTAGACCTGCAACAAATTGAGCCAAGGATTCAGCTTGTGTGTTTATTTTTCTACCACAATCAATAGTGTTTGGTCTGCTTAATGTTGTACACATTGTAAACTCTGAGCCTTCCTTTTGTAAGAGGAGTATCTTTTGAGGGCCATTTAATTTTAAAGAAAGTTAATTTTTTTTTTCAAAATTCAATGTGATGTTGTGAAAATATACTTCTCATGGTTATATTAAAGTGCTTCCACCTGACAGAATTCCTCCCCTGTGACAACTATAACCACATATAAGTTTGAGTGTTACCAACCAATACTGAGCCATTCCAGACCTGTGCAAGCCCTCAGAACTGAGAGGGAAACAATAATTGAGGAGAAATGAAAGGGATTCCGAACACCAGCCACTAAGCTAGAAACACATCAAACACGTTTTTATTGAGATATTTTTGACTGACTTTGTTAACTAAATTCTATCTCTAATTGGTGGATGAAGCTGTATTGTTAGAAGTAGTCCAGAGAAGATAGCAGAATAGATTATTCTAGTTCTTTCTTTCTTTCTTTCTTTCTTTCTTTTTTTTTTTTTTTTCTGAGACGGAGTCTCACTCTGTGGCCCAGGCTGGAATGCAGTGGCACGATCTCGGCTCACTGCAACCTCTGCCTCCCGGGTTCAAGTGGTTCTCTTGCCTGAGCCTCCCGAGCCACTGGGATTACAGGTGCCTGCCACCACACCCTGCTAATTTTTGTAGTTTTAGTAGAGACAGGGTTTCACCTTGTTGGTCACGCTGGTCTCGAACTCCCGACTTTGTTATCTGCCCACCTCAGCCTCCCAAAGTGCTGGGATTGCAGGTGTGAGCCACTGCGCCGGGCTGATTATTCTAATTATTGATCCAGTGTCTTGGGCAACTTCGTATTCCCTCCTGGACATCAGTCAGCGTCCAGGACAAGTTACTTGAACTTTGTCTCAGACCCTCACCTTCCCATTTCCTGCTCCTTCCACCCTCACATAGATTCACATGTGCAGCACCTGCTCATGGCCTGGGTACCAATACTCTTTCACTAATATTGTGTAATTGGTGGACCTTTTTTTAAAAAAAAAATCTTTCAAGCATTATTTGACTTTTCTAATTTTCCAAGCTTTCTTGTTTCATTCCATGTTCTCTCAATATGCATAAACAATACATAGCAGTTAGAAGAAAGCTCATTTAGGCAATTTTTCTTTAGTTTTGATGAAATATAAAAATATACCTGAGTCAGGCTGGGCATGTTGGCTCACACCTGTAATCCCAGCACTTTGGGAGGATGAGGCAGGTGGATCACCTGAGATCACGAGTTCGAGACCAGCCTGGCCAACATGGCGAAACCCCATCTCTACAAAAAACACAAAAATTAGCCAGGCGTGGTGGCATATACCTATAGTCCCAGTACTTGGGAGGCTGAGGCGGGAGAATCACTTGAACCCAGGAGGTGAAAGATTGCAGGGAGCCGAGATCATGCCACTGAACTCCAGCCTGGGTGACAGAGCCAGACTCTGTCTCAAAAAAAAAAAAATATATATATATATATATACACACACATATGTGTGTGTATATATATACATATATACGTGTACGTATATATGTATATATACATATATACGTGTACGTATATATGTATATATACATATATACGTGTACGTATATATGTATATATACATATATATGTACACGTATATATACATATATGAATATGTATATACGTATATATACGTATATGAATATGTATATATGTATATATACGTATATACATGTATATACGTATATATACACATATACGTGTATACACGTGTATACACGTATATACACGTATACGTGTATATACGTGTATATACGTATATATACGTATATGTGTATATATATGTGTATATATATATGTATATATATATATGTCAGCCATTACCTCTTTGTTTATTTTGTTGATTTTTTTTTTCAGACAGTCTTGCTCTGTCACCCAGGCTGGAGTACAGTGTTGCGATCTCTGCTCACTACAACCTCCACTTTCCAGGTTCAAACAATTCTCGTGCCTCAGCCTCCTGAGTAGCCGGGAGTACAGATGTGTACCATCACACCTGGTTAATTTTTGTTTTTTTAAATAGAGATGGGGTTTTACCATGTTGGCCAGGCTGGTCTCAAACTCCTGTCTTCAAGCCATCCACCCACCTCAGCCTTCCAAAGTGCTGGGATTACAGACGTGAACCACTGCACCCAGCCTATTTTGTTCATTTGTTTTTTAATTTCAGTTTTTAAAATTTAGTTTCTGGTAAACGATGATAACATTTGAGTTCTAATTTGCTGTCAACTCTGCCGCCAAAAAAAAAAAAAGTAGTAGGAATGAAATTATTCTCAGCAAAATATTTTAATCTATTAGAATTTAAAGCTTAAAAGTATTAAATTCACTTTAGGTCTTTATTAGTTCTTTGGAACTAAAATTGTATTTCAGCAAAAATAATGAATTAACATTTTGCTCATTAATTACCAAATATTTATTTCAGAACTATAATATGAAACCCACAGGAGCAAAAACACACAAACAACTCAGAAAAAAGTTACTTGGTCTCTCTTAGAGAAGAAAAATGTCTTCTTCGGGGCGAAAAGTGTGTTATTCTATGTCGCTTTCAGAAGGGAGGTCACACGTTTTCTTATTGATTTTACTTCCTATTTGGTAGCAAAAATAATGTGAGATGAGGCAGTGAACATTCCTGGCGACAAGCCCAGATGTTAAAAAATATGTGTCAGGACATTTTCTGAATTCCATCTTTTTCCCAGAGATATCCTTGCAGATGAATGGTCTTTGCCCTACATCAGGGACACAATCACACGGCTGTACTTCAGGAGGAAGTCTTCTGGCAGCCCATTACTTATAAACACAAGCCAGCTGGATTCCAGGCGTGTGCTCGAAATTCCCTGGCAGTCCTATTGCGCAGCTAGGTGGCTTCAGCCAGTGGGTTCCCAGGAATTTGCCACCAAAGCATAAGCACGCTACAAGTGGAGCCATGCTCCTGTTTGCCCTTGTTTTTACAAAGAGATAAGGAAAAGGGTCACTTTCTTCCTGTGAAGGTGGGTGGAGTGGAGAAGAGATTTGGGAGAAGTACAAGTGCAGTTAAATTGACCTGAAATGCTTTTGAACATCTCTGTTCCTCAGGCAACATCAGGAACACTGAGAAGCTGAGCTATGACAAACAACACCAGTATGAGATCCTGGTGACCGCCTACGACTGTGGACAGAAGCCCGCTGCTCAGGACACCCTGGTGCAGGTGGATGTGAAGCCAGTTTGCAAGCCTGGCTGGCAAGGTGGGCCTGTTTTATCAGTCTTGTGTGAAGGCAGCATGGTCTGATGTATAGAAGGTGGTGTACTTGTCCTCAAATCATCACAACACATAACTTTTTAAAGTACAGTCACTTTGCTGTGAGAAATAAAGTAGCTTGCTTATTCTCACAACTCTTAGGTGATATATTATCCCCATTTTTCAGCTGAGAATGTCGAAGACATCTCCTCTAACCTCATGTGCCCAGTTTGTCCAGTGCTCCCTTTCTCCAATCTCATGACATCTTCGATCAATAGTAATTATCTCACAGCATGTAGGAGAAATTGCCAGCAAGCCTATTCACTTTACCCCAGGGTGCTGGGTCTACCTGATGCATTTCAAGTTTTGCATCACGGATCAACACCTGGGGAAAGTCGCCATGTTCTTTGTGCTCACACAGAATGCACACAGGCAGAGGCGGGAGACCCAGAATCCAGACTCTGGATTAGGGAATGTATAAAATGTTGACTCTGGGAATGAAGAAGCAATGGCTTTGGATGGAGGTGGATTTTTGTGTCAGTTTAGAGCTCTTAGAATGCAAAGGAAACTAAATGCTTAGGTCACCCTTAGATAACAGTTTATCACTGAACTGAGGGCAAGTAAGGAAGGTGAGGACAGCTGCATAGATGGACCTTACAGAGATTTGAGTGATTTGTGGAATAATAATAGCTTTAGTGGTGATGCCAATAGATCTGGTGGCTGAGCAGGGATTCTAGAATTATCTCTGCACCATTATTTTGGCTGCCCGATGACTCCCTCTCTCTACTTCATGTGTTGAAGATGCTGCAGGCTATTGCTTACTCATAACTCATAAACTGCTTCATTTCTGTGTACTGCCTTCTCTTGGTGTGTCTTTAAGCTTCTGCCTCCCTCTTATATTCTCATATTTTCTCTCTTTCTTTCTCTCTCTCTCTCTCTCTCTCTCTCTCTCTGCTATCTTTAATTCTTAAATTCCCCAGAAAGAGTTGGTGTTAATCACTCACATCCCTGTAGGGAAGACTGATGCCAGACCACCCTATAAATCTCTGGTCAGTCTTTGAATGACTGTCTTTTAGTCAGTTATTCATTCCTAATCCAATTCATCAGGGTCAGATTGGCAGGACATCATGGTACAAAGTAAGGACACCTGTTTCAGAAGCTGCCTGACATCATTCCCCTCAGAAGGCAGTTCTCAAAGCACTCCTCCCTTGCACAACTTGATCTCCCTAAAACTTAAAACTGAAAAGATCGGAAGGGGTAATTTAACCCACCTCTGGAGAGAGCCAGAGTTGTATGCCTTTGAACAAAGTAGAAAAGATGAAATGCTCAGTAAAGGAACCACAGGTAAGGCACATGAGAGGTAAAGAACAAAGCAGAGTCATCTTTGTGTCAGTCTGTTAGGATCAAGGAAGAGACATAGAAAGAAGGACAAGCCAGAGTGGGAAACTTTGTTTTCCCAACCTCAGGGAGCCTGAGCTCTGATTGGCTATAACACTAGACCCGAGGACCCTGCAGACAGAATTCTGTCTTGTTCACCACTGAATTTCTCAAGCTTGGTGCAGTGTCTAGTGCCAATTGTGGGTGCTCAAGAAATAGTCATTGAATGAATGAATGAATAAATGAATGAATGAATGAAAGAAAAGGTATATGAGTTAAGAAGAACTCACCTTGTTTTGTTTTTAACTCATGAAGATTAGCTCCAATGAACGTGTGGCCTTTGAAGAGAAAACCTGGAAAGTATATATAAACTCTGTATGCATGAAATATGTTCACAATGAGAATTTAAGTAGGAAAAGCAAAACACACAGCTATGTCAGAAGAATAGTCCCAATGCTTCTTTGACTTTGACAAATGAGGCACCTACAGATGTGTGATTACATTTTTATTCCTAAATTTAAATATAATTTCCTAACAGAATTTGTACTTATTAAATGTATGCAAGGAAAAACCTGGTCACAATGTTTAACTCTACGAGTGAAGAATGTATTGAGCACCACCTTATAGCGCACACTGCTGTTTGCAGCTCTGGACAAATCTTGTTGGGCAAGGCCGGTGCCCATCTGCTATTATGTCTCCAGTGCCCAGCACACTCCAGTGCCCAGCACAGAACCAGACATGAGGCAGGCATTTAGCAAGTGTTTAATGATGGAGAAATGGTCAGCAAAACTTTGGTTAAAAAAATGTACCTTTCTGTGGAATAAAGAAAGCAGGGAAGAGGCAATTCCCTGCATCCATTCATAGTGTCGGGCACAGTGATTTAAACACATGTAACATCAGAATCAACTACTTCATAGTGGCTTCCCTGCCTTAGCTGTGTGGGATATGATGAGGTTTCTCTTCAAAGAGCCTAATCAATCCTTTATTCTTTAATTCATAGTACCCCCCACCACCCATTTTTTCTTTTTCTCTTTTTTCCTTCCTGCCTTTGCTACATGCCCAGACATGTCACAGTACCAGGCTTATCAGTACCAGCTCACATTCCTTTCCTTATTTGGAAAGAAGACTAGCTCTCTAGCTCATTGCAGACACCCCTTCCCCTTTTCCCCTCTCTCCCTTACGTGCCCACCCTATCTAAAGAAAGTTCAAATGTTTAGGCAACCGGGATTAGTTCAGATTGTGGGACCTGACCCTGGCCAATGGGGAAAGGGTACAGGGGCAGGACTTGCATCAGGAATAAAGGCTCTCCTGCCCCTTTGTTCAGGTGTGCTCTCATGGCGACTGGCCAAGGAGAAGCACCCCTCTGCACAGAAGTAAAATTGCTTTGCTGAGGATCCTTTGTTTGAGTGTTCAATTTCCTTAGGATTTTGAGTGTTATTCCCAACAGCTGCCAGCCTGTAGTGGCAGAAGCTGACAATGAGTTCTTCATCCTTAATTTTTTCCCCCAGCTTACCCCTTGCAATTCCTTCCTGCCTAAAGGGAAATGACTGAGAACAGGTACAAGAATTCAAACTGCCAAACTGTGTTTGGCATCCGGATCCAGAGTCTGGGATGTCCTCTCTCTCAGTCACTGCCCCAGTAGACTTCCAGATCATAGACAGGCCCTCCAGGCTCTCTGATATCTATAACAGGCCATAAGGCCTTTCTAGCATTCCTGTCCCAGCTCCCAGACCTAGAGAGGAACCTCCTCTCCTCCTCCCAGCCTACTGATTCACTTCATGCCTCCACTTGGACAACCCTCAACTCTTACTCACTCATCTTGGGGCCTATTCTCTCTTATATCCCTGGTCAGGGCTGCAGCCTCTTAACTGGAAGTTCACCTTTCTCCAGGTAAGAACTGACCACAACTGGTCTGAGTTGTATATCTCTTGTCCTGCCCCTTCTCCCAGCTGTGTAGAGCAAACTGGAACGAACTATGTTTTACTGGCTTGCTTGTTACTTGCAGATGATGCAGACTGCCCCTTACTGTGAGTGGGCATCAAATGCCTTGGGGGAAAGGTTTGGCTTTTCATGGAGCCAGTATGGGGTGAATCCTGCACTTTGTAAATGGACAAGGAACATAGAGAGGGGAGAACATTCAGGGGACCAGTGAACAATATGAGGAGAGCAGTTTGGCTTGCACAGAAGGCTGTGACTGGAGAGATGTGGAAAGCAAGATTGGAGGGGCCTGTGGTAGGGGAGGGTGGGTGGTTGAGGTTTTGAGGTCAGGGTGAGGAGCTGCAATGAGCCTCAACCCCCTCAGATCCAGCTGAGAGGGAGCTGTGTGCATTTGCCAGACGTAATTCCACTTAATTCTCTGGGAGAACAGAGGCCTCTCCCAAACTGACTCCTCACAAGCAACTGGAGTAACCAAGCAAATGCACTTTGGCAGTTTGAATTCTGGTACCTGTTCTAAGCCATTTCCTTTTAAGCAGGAGGGGATTGCAGCACAGTGAATCCAATCCATTACACGCAAGAGCTCCCACCTCCCCCAAGCACTCCCAATCAGCATGTCACCCAGTCCTTACTGTGGCCAGCTTCTTCCAGGGAGCTTTCTCAGAGCACGGAACCCTGCCCCACAGCTGGAGCCTTTCCTTCCTTCGCAGGGCCCATGAGGACTTGCTCTCAGACTCCAGTGATGCCCCAGGGCAGTGGCCCTCATTGTTTATCACAATTGCCCCTTCCATGGGCAGGACCAGAAGAGGCTTTCTCTGAATGCTGCTGGCCTTACCCAGCTATGCACAGAAGGACATCTCAGACCCCGGCTCTTCCGCTGCCTGCCTTTCAGACCTTGGCCAAAGTATTATCTACCAAGGCTATGGTTTTCTTATTCCTGCCTTTTCTCTGTGGGTTGGTCTTATCTTCTCCCTTAGGGCGGAACCACACTTCTTGCAGCCCATGGCACTGAACTTTCCATCCATCACCTAAGCATGAACTAAAAGTGTGTTTGCTAGCATCACTCACCAATGGGCAGGGTGGGGCTTATCAAGGGTTTAGCTTACAGCGAGGGGAGGAAGGAAGACTTTGCATTCAGAAAACAAGCCCAGGGTGCCAGGCACATACATTTTGCTCTTATGTGAGCTTTGTCTTCTCTGCTGTATTCTGAGGTTTTAACTCTGAATAGGTGATAATGGTCAGCTCACTCTGCAGTGAGGTGGAACTTTGCTGAAGGGAACACTCCCATTCTCAGTTGGCCAGGGAAGAGGATGGCTCAAAGCATAAGCCAGACCTGTGTGAGTGGAAGGGAGAACTACTTCTCTTTGTTTTGTTCTGAGCTTTGAGAACTCACAGTGTGCTTAGAGGTACCTCTAGTTTTCAGGGATGAAAAATTATATTAGGAACTAGGAAAGTGATGCACCTGCAGCAGGTCGCATGCTAATGACAGGCTTGCATCCTGCCTCTCATGCCAGGTTTTTGAATTTGCAATCTTTCTTTTTAAAGTTTAATTTAATTTTAAGTTCTGGGATACATGTGCAGGACATGCAGGTTTGTTACATAGGTAAATGTGTGCCGTGGTGGTTTGATGTCCCTATCAACCCATCACCTAGATATTAAGCGCCACATGCAGTAGCTATTTATACTAATGCTCTCCCTCCTCCCTGCCACCTGACAGGCCCCAGTGTGTGATGTTCCCCTCCCTGTGTCCATGTGTTCTCATTGTTCAGCTCCCACTTATAAATGAAAACATACAGTGTTTGGTTTTCTGTTCCTGCATTAGTTTGCTGAGGATAATGGTTTCCAGCTCCATCCATGTCCCTGCAAAGGACATGATCTTGTTCCTTTTTATGGCCACATAGTATTCCGTGGTGTATATATATGAACTACATTTTCTTTAAGGGATTAGGTTTTAACATATGAATTTGGAGAGGACACAAACGTTTAGTCTATAGCACTGACTGTCTTAAGGGAGAAAGAAGGAGATGACGTACAAAAGCTATCTTTGAAGTCTTTAAGGGCAGGGTCTTAGTAGAGTAGTTAGGATGGGAAGGAGAGGTTTTGAATGTTGTCCTCCTAGTAAGGACCTATGGTTACCTGATGTTATATGGGGCCCAGCAAGAAAGAATGAGTAAGGAGTCATCTGTGGAACCAGATAGACTGTTTGAGTTCTAAGAGTACTGTTTTCACTTTTACTGTTTATTTTCTTATATGGTATTTTCCACCTTTAGCAGATGAGCTATTTCTACAAAGCATCACTTAAAGAGAGAATGGGGCTGGGCGCAGTGGCTCACACCTGTAATCCTAGCACTTTGGGAGGCCGAGGCGGGTGGATCACTTGAGGCCAGGAGTTTGAAACCGGCCTGGCCAACATGGCGAATCCCTGTCTCTACTGAAAACACAAAATATTAGCCAGGCATGGTGGTGCATGCCTGCAATCCCAGCTACTTGGGAGGCTGATGCAGGAGAATCACTTGAACCTGGGAAGTGGAGGTTGCAGTTAGCCAGTAGTGCGCCACTGCACTCCTGCCTGGGCGACAGAGTGAGACTGTCTCAAAAAAAAAAAATATATATATATATATATATGTGTATATATATATATATATGTGTGTATATATATATATATACATATATATATACATAAATTAAAAAATAAAGAGAGAACAGGTTTGAGAAATAGTAGATAGACTCAGTGGACCATGGTAGATAAACTGGATAAGGAAGAGAAGGATAGGTCTGCCTCTCCCATTTGGCACATGGGCCCCCAGATGGATTATGATGCCAGTCGCTGAGGTGGCAACATGGAAGGAGAAGGAGTTATGTGCAGCAGCTGAAGAGTCCATTTTAGAGAAAAGATCAATGCGAGGTGCCAGAGATGTCTAGTGGGCAGTGGGATTGTCACATCTGATGCTTAGGAGACAGGTATGTGCTAGAGATGGAGATTTGAGTCTCCTGGATATATGTGCTTGATAGTGGAGGGCTTGGGCATGGATCTCATTACACGTAGAGTCAAAAGAAGGCTACAGACACTCCCAGAGATGGATAATCCTCTAAACGGGCTGCTAGATAGCCTGTGGGGATCCCAGTATGCACCTGTCTCAACTTGAGTGTTTCTAAGCTTTCTCTATTTTCTTTTTTTTATTATTTCCTCAGGTTTTTGGGGAATGGGTGGTGTTTGGTTACATGAGTAAGTTCTTGAGTTGCGATTTGTGAGATTTTGGTGGACTCATCACCTGAGCACTATACAGTGAACCCAGTTTGGTCTTCTTAGTGTTTCCCTCTTGTCAACTGAATGAAATTACCCAAGCCTGGGCCTGTGTGGGCTATGATGACCTGGAGAAGGACCTGCATCCCTTTGTGGACCACAGCACTGCAGAGGATGTAGTACCCTTGGAGGCTGTCAGGGTGAGGGTGGCAGTAACAGCAGTGGGCCCAGCCAGAGATTGAGCTTAGCCACATGTGCCTGCTGAGCCCTCCTTACAGGGGCACTGACCTGTCCTTTAGAAGATTGTTTGTAATCCAGTGGCTAGTTTGGGGTTTTTCTGTTTGTTTGTTTAGTTTTTATTTTATCTTATGTTATGCTGTTTGGAGAAATGCATCCCTTGTTTATGCTTTCCTTTATTCTTTTTAATCCCTTGGCCCATCTTTTTTTTTCTATGTTTCAAGCTGAAAAGATTATCTTCCACAACACTTACTTGGTACATTTTCCCTTTTATTGTTGCAAGTCAGATTTTGTATTCATTATTTGTTCTGCTAGAATGAACCCAAAGTTCAGTATTTCACTATCCCTTTATGCAAAATTATTCCCCTTTGAAGAGAGCCACCGGAGACTTTCCTTGTGGGCTTTCACTATTTTTCCCCAGATGTGTTGCTGACTGGACTTCCAGCTTTTCTGTGTCTGAGGCTCCCCAGACTGAAGAATCAGCTCTCCAGCCCCCAAGGAGCCCTTCTTTGTCTGCTCACCTCATCCGTGAGTGTGATCCCATGGCAGCTAATTACACCTTGCTCAGCAGCAATTCACACAACACCACCAGTTGGAAGAGTTTCTCCCACAGGCCAACTGATTTCGGTTCCTTTTACTTTCCCAATAAGATATCCTATTTAAAAGGAAAAGAAAGAGAGATGCAGCCACATAATTGAACCATTTCTTCTCTGTTCTTCGGGTTTTGAATAATTCTCCAAGTGCGTCAAATTGTCTGCACTGTGTCTTCCACCATCCCACAAACAGGTCCTTCATTAGGAAGGAAGGGTGGCAGCTTTTGGAGAAGCGCTTCTCAAACTCAAACATGCACATCAGTCAGTAGGGGGGATCTTGGTAAAATGCAGATCCCGATTTAACAAGTCTGGGGTAGGTCTGGCTGCTTCCATCAACTTCACTTTGACTAAGACCATGCGGAAAATACTTACTAGATGCTGAGTGTGTCTAACACTTTTGTGTTGAAAAGACAGTGGCAGAAAGACAGCATCTAATCAGCATTAGATTAGCAGCAACTAATCTAATGCTGGCTAGATTCGTTGCTTTTAGTTATTGGCATTGTGAGAGACACTGAAATTGAATGCATATTACCTGGTGGGAAATATTTTTTTTTGGAGTGAATTAGTTAACCCTTTAGTGAAGGCCTACTGTGTGCTAAAGGCTGGGGATACGGGTAGGATCTACCAGAACTCCGATTATAGAAGGAGATGATAGAAATGCTGAGGATAAAAGCTGCACTGGAGGGACCGTGGGAAGACAAAGGGGATACTTAACCTTGGACCAGGCAGGAGCCCCAGGGAGATGTTCCTGGAGCAAATCTAGAAAAATACTGGGCTTTAGCACAGAGAGGAGGGGGTATTCCAGACTAGAAAACAGGTGTTAGGTAGGAAGGAGCACAATGTGGCTGGATCAGAGGGAAGAAGACTGGACTGGCCAACTGAGGACCAGGTCATGGAGGGAGGGCCTCCTCATATATCATCCTGAGGACAGGGGACCACAGAGGCTTTCCTGCCTCCATGTGGTTAAGAGTATCTTAGGGACGAAGGACTCCTCGGCAAACCACATAGATGTTGGCTGGAATGCAGAGACTCAGGGGAGGGAGACCAGCAGAAAAGAATGATTATTTCTGAGTGCACTTTCAAGTAGAGCACTCCCCCAAAAGTACTAAAAGTCATGTATTTGTTTATTCCAAACTCAAGTTAAAGTGGGCATCAAGGTTAGATTTGCAGGCAAATCTCATGAGACTCCATAGGCAAAGGGACAAAGGTGGCAGTTGGGCGTGTCTGGGGCTGAAGAGGACCCTGCTACACCTTGTCAAGTGTATGTCCCAGTTCCCTCTGCAGCTGTCACCTGCCACCACCCTACCAAGGAGATAAACACCCAGTCCCCAGGGGTCAGCTGGTCACCTTGCCCCTTCCAAAAGTCAGATGGGTTATTAAATAAACTGAGGATCTGGCTTACATTTTACTACATGAAAGGCATTGATTTCAAATCAGAGGGTGATAAGCCCAAGAAGGTGTCCAGATTTGCTTGGAAAGTGGGCTCAGGGCATTGCCAGAAAGACAGAGTAAAGAAGGATTCTTGCCCTCAGTTCTCTCTTTTACTGTCCTGCCAGGGTGTCTGAGGTTCCACCATTGCAGTACCAACCTTTTATTTTAATAGATAATCCCCCCTGAGAAATGAAAATACCTCCTGCAGGAGTCAGGTGTTAAGCTAGGAGTCAGCAAAGTGTAGCCTATAGGCCAAATCTGGTTGACTACCTGTTTTTGTAAAACTGTGAACTAAGAGATGGTTTTTACATTTTAAATCATTGAAAATAAGAAAAATAATATTTCATAGCACATTAAAATTATATGAAGTTTTATTCTTAGTGCATGTAGATAAAGATTTATTGGAACACGGCCACACTCATTAGTTCACATAGTGCCTATGGTTACCCTACAGCAGCAGAGCCGAGTCGTTTCAATAGATTATGTGGCCCTCAAAGCCTAAATATTTACTATTTGGTTCTTTACAGAAAAAGTTTCGTGACCCCTGTGTGAAGCTCTTGTTGTCCATTGGCGCCTTAGCAGGGAGTGGGTGATTAGATGCGTAGCAAAGCCTTGAAAGAATGGGAGATCAAATGGACATATTTAGACAGAGGCAAAGAAGTGTAACAGTCCAAAGCAAAGTTCACTGCACAAAGGGCAGGAACATCCTGTGAGATAAGCAATTCTAGCCCATTTAATAGATAAGGAAAACTTAGAGAGATTGACTGTCTTGCCCAAAATCTCACAGCGGTAAATGGTAAATATGGAATTCAAATTCGTATCAGCCTATTCCAGAGGGCATCTTACTGTGTCAGAAGAAAGAGGATAGAAAAAGGGGATTGAGAATTTCCAAAGGGGGATGTTATGAGCTTTATAAAAGGGTATATCAGAAAACATTTTAGAAGAGAGACATAGCCTGCATGTCCTTAAGCAATGTATTTAACTTTTCAGTTACCTTATCTATAAGATGGTGATGAGACTTACCTGGAAATGGTAGCTGGAGTTCAATGGGACAATGTCTACATAGCACCTAAGAGGTGCCACAACTTTCATTTCCTTGATTGAACCAGGTATAGGGAACCATTGTCTTGAAGTTATAACGTGTTCAAAAATAAACCCAGGCTTGAAGACTGTCCATCTTTCAGATACTACTTGCCTGAAACTAAAGTTACCTCTGATTATCTCATGGGCCAGAGAAACACAAAGTGGGCCTGAGACTTGGGTGTCAAGCTTCAAACCCAAAGATGCCGGGCCCAGGTGTGGCTCCTTACACCAGGGCAGGAAGACTCTACCTTTTCCTTAAAGAGAATTCAGCATGAAAAATTACCCATATACCCTTCCATTCAATAGGACAGCACTGACTTTTTGAGCTTCATACCAGGTGGCTCAGCTTCTTCCTCTACCCTCACAATCTCTTTCCTATCTTTTTGAATCTCTCCTCTTTATCAATAACCTCTCTTCTCCCTGTCCCCGTTTTTGACTTGCCTCTCCTTCCCCTTCATTTCTTCTACATTCTTCCTCTGGTTCCTTCTGCTCCTCTTCCCTTTCCTAAGCATATGCCCTGAACCCCACACAGGGGTAGGTGATGGGGGAATGGGGTCAGGTGCAAACCAGTGGAGATGGAGCTAGGTATGGAGTGAGAAGGGCTGAACCCAACCCTTAGCTGGGTCATAATCTAGCCACAGGCTTTGCTTAAGCTATTTCTCTGGCTGAGCTTTGGTTCCCTAACTGTAAATTAAGAATCATAATCCTTGGCCAAGCTATTTTGTAAGATTGTTAAGACCAAAAGAGATTCCAGCATAGAAGTACTTCACAAAATTTAAATCCCTATGCAAATGAATGCTATGATTAAATTGGGAAAATAGACACCATCATGCAAAAGAAAACACACACACATGAGTACACACATTTAAATCCATAGAATTGAGTAAGGCTGTGTGGCTTAAGCATCATGTCCTGGATTTTTGTACTTAAGATTGGGATCAAAGGGAGACAGTGGGGTGCGGTAGAAAGTGTACAGTCCTGGGGGTCGGTCCAGGAACTCAGATTTCAGTCTCAGATTTCAGTCTCAGCTATGCCATAGCTCACTCTGCAACCTTGGGAAAGTCACTGCTGTTCAGCTTTGGCTTCCCTAAATGTAAATGCCTTGTTATGAGGACCAGCTGCAAGGCTGCCAGTGGAGAGCCTTGCACAGAACCACACACGATGGGGCTCAGAGAACAGCAGCGCTTTTTAGTTCCCTTTATCTCAATTTAAAAAATCACAATGGAGTACTTTTTCCTCAAATAATTGGAAAAATCATTATTGAGGCCTGAATTCCACTGACTGCAGCAGCGTGACCCCAGGGCAGGTGCTCCGGAGTTTGCAGCTGCTAAGGGGATTGCTCAGATCTTCCTGGCAAGCAGCTGAGCTTCTGGCGGAGGGCCTCGTGGGGGCACTTCTCCGTGAATAACGACCTGTTTTGACATCACTGACATAGCTGATCATTAAGGTGCAGCAAATGGCTCTGTACAGGATGCTGATTTACCTACTCAATGGTATCTTAATGTGCTTAAAGAGCTGCCAGATAAAAGTGCCCATGCTCAAGTCTGCTTTGATCTGACTCTCCTGTGGATAAGCCTGGGTAATGAGACTTGGAGGTTTTCTAGGTCCAATAACATCAGCCCTGAGGGGAAGAGGGTGTGGGCAGACTTCACTCATCCCAAACAGTACTCAATAATAATAACAGTAATAATCATTACCACTCACTGAGCACTTACTATTTGCCAAGCCTTATCTAAGGGCATTCATTGCATGCACGTGGTCATTTATTCTTCACTGAACCCTGAAAACTGTTATTTTCCCATTTTACAGATGAGATCACTGAGGTTAATACACTTGCCACACAGCTAGTAATATTGAGGCCAGCTCCATCTGTCTGCAGACATAGAGATCCTGCCCAATTTCCTACAATGCATCTCAAAGGAAAGAAGAACACTGCCATCTTTTGAGGCCATTGGAGGAAAGCTATTTGGGGGAAAGTTCTGAAATTAGAACTCTTCCCCCATGTTAAAAAGGAAATATGTCATTGGATAGTAAGGCAGACTTGAGAGAGGACCATGGCTTGTGGATGGTGGAGGTGGGAGGGGTATCACTCTTGTCACCCAGGCCCACCACTGGGACCTGTCTTCATTCAGGATAACAAGGTCATTCATCATTCAACCTTAGATGACCTCTCAGGCACCATAAGGGGAAAAGCCTTGCCCAAGGTTATGTAGAGAGGTGGAACCACAGCTAGAATCAGGCCTCCTGACTCAGAGCCCCACATGCTACCTCATCTCCCCATGGACCTGGGTCTGTCCCTGAGCTGCACAGTCTGCCTACTCCCTCTTCCACTGACAGTTCTTTGAAATTTTGCAGCAGGCCAGAATGTCTCCCTGCAGGGAGTCAGCAGAGGATACAGCTTCAGAGTGCAGGCTCCGAAGCCAGAAAGACCCAGGTTCAAATCCAGTTCCATTTGACTCAAGGACATTGGATAAGTCAGTGAACCTCTCAGAACCCTCAGATGTGGCATCTGCAAAATGAGGTTAATAGCAGTACCTATCGCAGAGGGTTGTCACAAGGCAGAACTGTGTCTGAAAGGTAGGAATGCCTAAATTAATTCTAGCAATGAGGAAAGTGAAGGCAGAGGAGAGCAAGTAGAAGTGACTAAAGTGCTTTTGGGAGTCTGGCCAGCCTGTCAGCATTATTTGCTGTCTGTGTGACCTTAGGCAGGTCATTTGATATCTCAGCCTCAATTGTCTCCATGGTAAAATTACCCTGCTAATCCCTTCCTCAGATGGATGCTGTGCAGGTTGATAACATGTGTAAGAGGCCTGGCAAAGTGCCTGTTAAATGGTGGCTTCCTTCCTGCTCTCTGCATGACCCAGTGGAGGGCAGCCCCAGCCAGCCTGGGTACCTATGCTGCCATCTGCCCACAAGCCATACTTGGATTCTCATAATGTGTGTGACCACAGAAAGTCACCCCCTCTCCCTGCCACAGTTGTCCTCATCTCTAAAGTGGGCAGAACAGTGCCCCCTTCTCCCCACATCTACCTCCCAGAGATCCTGGTGGAGGGAGGAACTGGATGGAGAGCCACGAGCTGGCCGAGGTTGGCCCCAGGAGCTCTGTTAAGTGTGGTGTGACCCATGAAGTACCAACTTAGGGGCTTGGAGCATTGACCCCACCCTAACCATGCAGAGGGACAGTGTAGTCCTGGCCTAACTGAGCTTCCACTCAACTCAAGACACTTCCCTCAGGGCCTACTCTGCACCCAACCAGCCCCTGGGAACCATGAGCTGGAGCGGTGGTGAGGTGAGGGCAGACAGGTGAGCACTCCATTCCAATACAGGGCAGTCAGGGCACTGACAAGCAAAGCCTAGGGTCTGTGAGAACAGAGGTAAGGTACAGTGGCCAGGCTTGAGAAAGCTTCCCCAAGAAGGTGGCACCTCGGCTGAAATCTGAAGGATGAATACATTAGCCAGATGCCTAAGGGATTGGGGAAGGGGCCAGTGATGGGAAGGAGCAGGGAACAGCATCTGCAGGAGAGCTTGCTGCTTAACTGCTACGCCTCCAGGGCATTTCCGTCCACTCTTCTGTCAACGTTGTGGCTGTATGACTGACAGGAGACAGGCATTTGTGTTGCAGAGAAGGGTTTTGGAGAAAGGTAAGTGATGGGGTAGATGGACTAGTGTGTTTTGTTTTCCTGTTTGTTTTCTTTTCCTTTTTTTATCTTGAATATATTTTTGTATCTTTTAAAAAAAATTTTTTTAAATTATTTTTACCACTTTTGTGGGTACATAGTAGGTGTATATATTTATGGGGTTCATGAGATGTTTTGATACAGGAATGCAAACTGAAATGAGCATATCATGGAGAATGGAGTATCCATCCCCTCATAAGCATTTATCCTCTGAGTTTCAGTCAATCAAATTGTATTCTTTAAGTTACTTTAAAATATACAGTTAAATTATTGACTATAGTCACCTTCCTCTGCTGTCAGATAGTAGGTCTTACTCATTCTTTGTATTTTTTATATCCATTAACCATCCCCACCTCCCCTTACCAACCCCCTACCACCCTTCTCAGCCTTTAGTAACCATCCTTCTACTCTCTATATTTATGAGTTCAATTGATTTGATTTTTAGATCCCACAAATAAGTGAGAATATGCAATGTTTGTCTTTCTGTGCTTGACTTATTTCACTTAACATAATGATCTCCAGTTCCATCCATGCTGTTGCAAATAACCGGATCTCATTCTCTTTTATGGCTGAATAGTACTCCATTGTGTATATATACCACATTTGCTGTATCCATTTATCTGTTAATGGACACTTAGGTTACTTCCAAATCTTAATTATTGTAGACAGTGCTGCAACAAACATAGGTGTGCAGATATCTCTTCAATACACTTGATTTCTTTTCTTTGGGGTATATACCTAGGAATCGGATTGCTGGATTAAATGGTAGCTACTTTTTTAGTTTTTTGAGGAATCTCAAAACCGTTCTCCATAGTAGTTGTATTAATTTACATTCCCACCAACAGTGTACAAGGGTTCCCTTTTCTCCACATCCTCGCTAGCATTTGTTGTTGCCTGTCTTTTGGATATGGGCCATTTTAACTGGGGTGACATGATATCTCATTGCAGTTATGATTTGCATTTCTCTGATGATCAGTGATGTTGAGCCCCTTTTCATATGCCTGTTTCCCATTTGTAGGTCTTCTTTTAAGAAATGTCTATTCAAATATTTTGCCTATCCTTCGATCGAATTCCTAGAATTTTTTTCCTGTAGAGTTGTTTGAATTCCTCATATGGTCTGGTCATTAATCCCTTGTCAGAGGGGTAGTTGGCATAGATCTTCTTCCATTCTGTGAGTTGTCTCTTCACTTTGTTGATTGTTTCCTTTGCTGTGCAGAAGCTTTTTAACTTGATGTGATCCCATTTGTCCATGTTCACCTTGTGAACATGTTGCCTGTGCTTGTGGGGTGTTGCTCAAGAAATCTTTGCCCAGACTAATCAGTGTCCTAGAGATTTTTCCCAATGTTTTCTGATAGCTGTTTTCATAGTTTGAGGTCTTATATTTAAGTGTTTAATTCATTGTGATTTGATTTTTGTATGTGGTGAGAGATGGGGTCTAGTTTCATTCTTCTGCATATGCATATCCAGTTTTCCCAGCACCACTTAATGAAGAGACTGTCTTTTCCGCAGTGTATGTTTCTGAAACGTTTGTCAAAAATAAGTTCATTGTAAGTGTGTTACTGTTGGTTTTTATTAGAGATGTGGTGAGGTTTCCAATGCAGACCATGAAGTAAGTAGATCGAACTGTCTAGAGAGATTCTGTGAGGCAGTGGACATAATAACCAGAGTTCACCTGGCAAAGGCACAAGGTAGGTCTCCTCGGGGAGAGCCCCTTCTCCCCACCTTCCATGGATCCCAGCCAGTCTGGGCCCCTGTGGCTTGGGTGTTCCCTGGTCAGGTGAAGAGGGCTAGTCCTGGCCACATGAGCAGCAGGCATGGACAGTGGGGCCCCGGCAGGTGTGGAAGCCCAGGGAGACCTGTGTGGGGAATGCGGAGAACCTGTCTGGGGCCTCTAAAAACTAATGCATTCTGAGGAGGACTCATTTCTGATAAGTTCTTGGTTGGTGGAGGTTGGTATTTAGGGCAAAATGTGAACTCACTTTCAGCCACAGTTTAAGACAAGCTTTATTATTTGGTTACTCTTGTTTTAGTAACAAGGCTCTGCTGGTGGACAGTGCTGAGAAAGCTGTGTTCCCTCTCTGTGTTCCCCAGTGCCAGTGTCTGTCTCTGGCCTGAGACTCTGCATCTCTGGTTGTAGCAGCCACCCTCACACAGGCTGAACCAGGCAGGCAAGGAGCAGGGACCTTCTACCTGCTGGGAGGTTTGGTTTTTTTTTTTTTTTTGAGACTGAGTCTTGCTCTGTCGCCCAGGCTGGAGTGCAGTGGTACAATCTCAGCTCACTGCAAGGTCTGCCTCCCAGGTTCACGCCATTCTCCTGCCTCAGCCTCCTGAGTAGCTGGGACTAGAGTTGCCCACCACCATGCCCAGCTAATGTTTTGTATTTTTAGTAGAGACGGGGTTTCATCATGTTAGCCAGGATGGTCTTGATCTCCTGACCTCACAATCCGCCTGCCTCAGCCTCCCAAAGTGCTGGGATTACAGGCGTGAGCCACCAAGCCCAGCCAGGAGGTTCGGTTAATAACAGCCTCACACATGCTGAATCTTCCACCCTTGGTGAGCTTCTAGGGAAATTCAGCCCTTTTCTCAGGCTCTAGATCCAGAAGAAAATATTATAATAACAGTATGTCATCCCTTCTCAAATTCCAAGGCTTTTGCTCCTCAGGCTCTCAGCCTCCTTGGGTTTCTAACAACCTCATCACCAAATGCCAACAAAGCACTCCATGTCTAATGCATGTGTGGGGCTCACACTTGCCAACGGGAGCCCTCTGTGACAACAGAAAGAGGCTGGCTGTCTGGCTGCCCAGGTGGGCACCCCCAGGCAAGGAAGAAGGATGTTTCTCAGGCAAGACTTATGAGCTCTGCATTCTGTTAAGAGAACCTGAGGTAGTAAGTGGCAATTGGACTGCCATGATATTTTTAATGTAATTTTTAAAAATTATAATTTTTTATCCTCATATGAAAATGTTTTTAAAAAGAATAAACTCAGTAAAAATTTCCCATAGTTCAATTAATGCAGTATTGTCAATATTGTTTTCTTCTTTCAATACATAGTCATTTGAACATTATGTTGTTTTTCCACTTAACCTTATGTCGTATTTATTCCCCCACATCATAAAACTTCACTGACCCCCTCAGTGGCTGCATAACGTCCCCTTCTATAGGTGTATCCAAATGTGCTTGACTGTGTCCTTGTAGTTAGATAGGGCCATGTGATTATCATATGTCAGCATGCTTCTGTTGTTCTTTTTAATGCAATGGCAATTAGTACAAAAGTCTTTGAATTTTGGCTACCTTTCTCAGGAGTCTATTTACTGGGCCAAAGTCTATGGTCATTTTGAAAACTGAGATACATTTTGTCAAGCATCTTGCTAACCATTTGTGACAGTGTACACTCCTAACCCTGTCAGAGAGCCACCTCTCCCACCCTCACACATGGGGAATAGAGGGTATCAGTGTATTCAACAGACTCTGGAGATTTAGACTGTATTTCCTGCAGAAGTGAGAATTTGATTTCAGCTTGCGACTCTTGTTCAGCGAAATGGGAAATCCTGCACTCCAGTACCACCTAGGAAAATGGTCCTTTCATTAAAAAAAAAAAAAAAAAAAAAAGCTTTGAAGCTGTGTGCAATTGATAGCTTAAAAAGAGATTTATATAACTAGAATATGAAAAAGTATACATAAGCCATCTTTTCAAAAAGATTGAAAAATATGTGCATGAAAACCTATACCCTTCAATTGTGAATGTTTTTCAAAGCCATGTAAGTAAAGATTCTTAAAGAACCACTGCTCCATCTTTACACTAATAATACATTTGTCAAGAGATTAAAAAAAATTGCCTGGAAGATGCTCATGTTTATTGTACATAAGAGAGAAGCATTTCTATACATCTAAGAGAAAGTACCCTGGTTGGCTGAATTCATTGATCTTAGAAGGATTGTCTTTCAGAAGGGCTGCTTTGAAGTGCGTGGTTTCTGTACCTTTCCAGCATCAGTTCTGCTGGATGTGTTTCTGTTTGGGAGCTGAGAAGGGTGTGAGCTGAGGGTCTTTAGGGTTGAAGGGACTGGGAGAAAGCTGCAGCCGAGCCTTGGGTGGGTCCAGGCTTCTGAACACCACATAGTTCTCTTCAAGTTTGGCTGCTGACCCACGGCCCCCCAGACAGCCAGGGTAAAAGGAAAGGAGGGCTTGGCACAGGCTCTAAAGAGGTGGTGCCCAACACCAGCAAGATCAGAGACTTGGTGGGTAATGGAAGCACTCATGCTGGCATGAGGGAACCACACAGAATAGGATGGTTTCCTCTCACAGCATGGGGAAGGCCAAAGCCTTCCAGGAACGGAATGTGGTGTCTCAGAGGCCTGAGCCAGCCATCTCTCCAATGCAGTCTGCTCAGCAAGCTGTCTTTACACACTGCCCTTAACTAGTGGCACCAGTTCTCCTGGCTGGCAGTGAGAGGCCAGGGAGGAGGGCCTGACATAAGCCTGGGCTTCAGCGAGGGGCTGCCTGCAGTTTCCCAGTTGCTACCAGAATAAGGCCCCAAAGTCTCTGCCAACGTGCATGACTCTGAGGTCTGCCAGATAGATGTGAAGCTTTTCTTAGGTCACAGAGTCAGTCATCACAGTGTTGATTTGGGGCCAAATTATATCTCCTCTGTCATCAGGAAACTGGAAAGAACATCGTGAGCAAGACAAAATTTGAGAACAGATTTCTAGTTCTTTCATTTGACATTTATTGAGAATGTCTAGGGACTAAAAAGGTTAAAAATATACAGAAAAATTGAAGCCAGTTTTAAGTGCAGTTTCAGGATTCACATTTGTCCACGACATTTCAATTCAGGTGGGTGGGGGGTGTGCACACATACACAGCACACACATGTGCACATGCAAACACACACACGTGCACGTGCACACACACGCACACACACACACACAGCAGCCATGTCTCAAATCCTTCCCATTTTAATGCCTAGCAGCCTATCCTTTGGCAGCTGGTTGGGGCTAAGCAGATGATTGATAAGTAATACGTACCATCCTATGTGAGAATTGGAGTGTGCATGTTTATATGTCTGGGTGTGTATCTATGTGTATGTGTGTTCTGATTTTCATACATCTGCTCACTCATTTCATAGATATTTGTTGGGCAACTTTTATGTGCCAGGCATTGAACAGTGATGTACAAGTCATGCTCCTGAGTGGGAACGGGACTTAAAGGAATCAGTAAATTCTCAGGGAGAGTGGAGGCTGGGGTGGAGATTGGGGGAGACTCATCAAGGTGAGGCCAATACCAATAAGGGCTCCTTTACAAAGTCACCTGTGAGGTGGGACCTGGATGAAGAGAAGGACCAGCCCTAGGAAGGGCAGGGACCGAGCGAGTACACAGGCAGAGGAACAGCAGCAGTCACAGCCCTGAGGCTTCACTGAGGATATGGCACAGAGATATGTATCCTTCCCCCACTTTCATTTTGTAGTTAATTATCTCTTCTTCATAGGAATTAAAAGGTAATAAAATACTCTTGTGAAAATAAAATATAGTAAATGGAAAAGGGTCAGTAATAAAGGAAAAGAGGGGATTCCTTATGTTCGTAATTCAGTTCAGAGAATTCGTGTTTTGTTTCTTTTTAAATGGTACCTGTGTGTAATTGTTTTTAATTGGAGAAGAAAAAGCCATGTAATTTAATGCTCAAAAATGTGTGTGCCTATGATGTGTCAGATACAGGGCTAAGTGGTTTGCATTTATTGTCTCACAGAAACCCTATAAACAACTCTGAAATAGGTAATGATATCATTATCATGTTGCATGACTAAACATAGAGGAAAAAAATGGCTTGCTCACAGTACACAATACCAAGTGGCAGAGCTGGAATTCACACCCAGGTCTGACTCCAAAGCCCTGATTCCTAGCAGTTATGCTCTGTGGACTCCTTTGGGGCAATTAATTAATGTCCCCATTCTATAAAGAAGAAACTGCGGCTCAGAAAGATTAAAGAATATGCCCAAGGTTGCTCAGCTGGTAAGGCAGGACCAGCTGCATAATTTGTGGGTCCCAGTATAAAGTGGAAACAAGGGGCTCGTTGTTTAAAAATTATTAAGAAAGTTAAGACAGCCACAGCAGAGCATTAAACCAAGATGGGGCGCTTCTGAGCATGAAACTGGTTGCAGATCCAGGGTTGAAGGTCCAGCGTCTCTGATTCCTCACCACCCCTGCCTCCTTCCAGCTGAATTTCCAACCTGATGGTTGTAGACCCATAATAGCAGTTAATGAAATGTAAAAAGAATATGAATTCCTAAAAGCAAGAAGCAAGACATTCTTTTCTGGTTTTGACTCAGAAGTTGTCCAACCTGGCACAAGTGCTGGCTCTGCACCAACTGGCTGTGGGACCTTCAGTAAGTGACCCACTCTCTCCCCAGTCTGGTTTCCTCTCCCGTAAAGGAGGAAAACATTCTCTCACAGAAGTTTTAGTACCTGCCCCTAGGAGATCCAGGAATAGTCCTTTCCTTGTCTCTCCTGAGAGCAGGATTTGTGACAAGGAACCAAAATTTGGAAGCCTAATAAAATAGCCCATGTTTCTTAACCACTCATTGTATGTCAGGCACTCTGCTAAGCATTTCACATTTATCATCTTACTTAGTCATCAGAACATCCCCATGAGATGTAGTTATGCTGTTTTCCCACTTTGCAGATGAGAAAATTGAGGCACAGAGAGGTTAAGTAACTGCCGAAGGTGCAGCAGCTGGTAAGCAGAGAAGGCAGGGTCTGGAGCCAGGCATCTGACCCCTCACTTTCAGCCTCTGCACTCTACTGTCTAAGTGACACCTTGGCCCTACCCACCGTTGGGTCCTGAGGAACTCATGCCTAGAGGCCACGCAGAGAGAGGAGAGAAGGCGAATCTCAGAAGTCAGCTTCTGTCACTCCCTTCCGCAAAGGCCTTGAAGAGTCTGTTTCTGACGCTCTAAATAACCCACTCCCTGGCCCAGCACCCAAGGTCCTTGTCTTCTGGCTCCAAAGTGCCTCACACTACACCAGGGCCCCATGAAGCCCTCCCGAGCCTCACATATGTCTGCACCTTCTGAGACATGGCAGCTGCTGGGTTGTACACTCAGAAGCGGAAGTACTATTCACATCATTTCCATCTGAATGGCACCACTTGAACCTGGAGCTGTACTGACACGGGGCCCTGATGAAGACATCCTGGAGTTCTCTTCTAGTCCAGCATTCCTCTCATTCTGCAATGCTATATTAACCATGCCTTTTATTTTCTAGTATATATTCTGATGTTTTGACATCTGGGGGCCTTACTGACCCTGGAGGGACTGTCCCTCTCGGGTTTAGCTGATTCTCAGAGATCCTAAACATCTCACCCTCTCACTTTTCATATGCACTCCAACCAATCTGGAGCCCACAACCCTACACACCCCTTTTTGGGGCTTTTACACTCTGGGACACCATTCACCTGCCCTAATCACCCCAGGGTCAGGTACCAGACAACTACGTCCAAGAGCTGACTGGAATTATTCAAACTAGCGAATCTTAAAATGCTTGCCCTGCCTTACCTGTTTCTTCCCATGGAAGCCACAGTAAAGCCTTGTGCCCACAGTTTCTTGCCTTCCTTCTGCCTCCTGGCTGACACTGGTACTCCTCTGCCCCCTCCCCTGCCTGTGGTGTGGTTATCCCTGAATCTGAATCTGTCCAGTTGCAGGGTTAACACTCTTAAATTTAACTCAATAGAATTGAACTAAACTTCAATGAATTGAAGTTAATTCCCTCTGGTATGGCCCTGTCAGTGGTGACACCTGCATGGATTGATCGAGGGGTGGCTATCAGGAGTATCCTGCTGTTCTGGAAATGAACACCAGGACTAACCCAACTGCTGAATGATGGCTCTGAAGCAGTCTGGATAGTTCACACCCTCGCTAAACATCCTATGTATGGCTCCTTACTGGCCCTGGGATTAAATCCAAACCTCTTACCCAGCATTCATCATCTGACCTTCTTTTACCTCTCCAGCCCATCTCTGCTTCCTGACTCACCCCCAATTCAGATGCACTGGATGGTCAGTGGAGATGACAGCACTCACTGCTGAGCAAAGGTACCCTCCTAGCTTCTTCCAGTAGGAGGGGAAGACCCTTGGTGCCCAAATCAAAGCCATTCATCCCTCAGAGAAAGTCCTAAAAGATGGCAGATAGTGAATGCTTGCAGATCTGGCTGCAGTGTCAGCTGCCTGAACAATCCCTGTTCTGGGGTACCCCATTCCCATCCCTCTCACTCCCCGGTATCCCAATATCCAGCCACTCACTTTGTGTAAATCCAGCAATTTCCTAGAAATCCTGATGCTTCTCCAGCCATTGGAAGCTGAGACTAGGAAGAACTGGAGGCTCCTGTGCGTGCACATTTAAGGAAGGAAGCGTGTGTTTGCCACACCTACCTCTTTCCCTTTTATTATTCTGCATCGTTTCTGACCACAGAATTGGAACAATGGACGGAACGTCTTAGATTACAACAGCGCCAAAGCCTATGCTTTCCAGAAGTCTCTTAGATTAGCTTTATTCCCCCTGTAGGCATCTAATATGAAACTTCCAAGTGGTTAATGTTCTCTTGATAAGAAAACATAAGTTACCCAAATGTAGAGGTAGTTATAATAAAATCATCATCTTTCTAAGTTCTTAATCCACAAAGAAGGGGTTTAAATCCCAATAGCTTTTTCAGGAATACTTACAGGGTAATTTAGGCCCAATTATTAAAACAGCAGGCAGGGCAGGCTGCTCCCTTTCTCTTCACTTAAGAAAAAAATTGAACCACAATTCATAAAGTAGTCTCTAGGCCCCTTATAAACTGAAAAGATTTTGTTTCCAAGTAGGACAGTTCAGAGAAGTTTGAGACACTCCTGAACCAATTGGTGGGATATTCCCATACCGAGCCTTCATTGGAAGGTCCCTGTGTTAGGCCCTTAGCCTGGCATATCTCGTGCTACCATAAGCCCACGAGGGGATATAATTTTCCCCAATCTGCAGATGAAGCAATGGAGGCTATAAGATGACAGCAGCTTTGCTAGATTCACATGACTCGCATTTGGCAGAGTTGAGATTCCAGCCTGGATTTCTGCAGTCTTCAGTGTCAAAGCAAACCTCCAGCCCCCATAAGCTGCCCTCAAGGTCAGACACTGATAAAACTGACAATACTTCTTGATCTTTTGCCAACATTGGGATTATCACTCTTTTAATTTTAAATATCAGCATAAATTGAACGTTAAACATGAATCTGTAAAAATTATAGTTGTCTCAGTTCTGGCAAATCCTCAGAATAGTGGAGGAGTTTTGTAAAAAAGCTATGTGGCCTGTAATTCTAGCACTTTGGAAGGCTGATGTGGGTGGCTCACCTAAGGTCAGGAGTTCGAGACCAGCCTGGCCAACATGGTGAAATCCCGTCTCTACTAAAAATACAAAAATTGGCTGGGCGTGGTGGCAGGTGCCTGTAGTCCCAGGTGCTAGGGAGGCTGAGGCAGGAGAATTTCTTGAACCCAAGAGGTGGAGGTTACGGTGGGCTGAGATTGTGCCATTGCACTCCAGCCTGGGTGACAAGAGCAAAACTCCGTCTCAAAAAAAAAAAAATGCTACATGGCCTTGGGCAAGTCACACCAATTCTTAGGCATGGTTTTATCATTTGTGCAATTAAGATACACTCCCCCACTGGGTCCCTGAAAGGATTAAGTGAAAGGATAGGTATAAAAGTGCTTGGCACCTTGTCAGTGCTTAGTCATTGATTTCCTCTTATGTCTTGCAATAAATGTTATTGAATAAACGGTAATTTACCAATAATATATCTATTGGTCATGGTCCTTGTGTTTGGTACTGAAATGACTCTGCATGTAATCCCCCCAAAATCCGGGGTGGTAGATACAAACTCTACAGAAGAGGAAACTGAGGCTCACGGAGCATACATGATTTGCCCAAAGTTACACAGTAAGTGGTAAGCGTGGGATTTAAACTCAGGTATGCTGAATTAAACATCTATATTTTTAAGAACGATGCTATCCTACCCTCCAAGAGATGAGGAGGGACAGACATTTCTTGTGGTAAAGCCTGAACTTGATGACTTGCCTTTTGCTCTCTTAAGCCCATCCCAACTCCTTCTTGGAAAATGGAAGATGTTTGTGTGAGCGTCTCACTCTCTCAAGTACACTGTGCTCAGAAAGCTTCATCAATTTCTTTTACTATATGGTTGCAATTTTGCCTGCTCCTCATAAACCCTCAAAAACAAGCCTCTTGAGGTCACCAAAGCAACTGGCAATTGTGATGTTCCTAAAACTCTTTTATACCTGATTTCTCCCTGGCGGCCAGAGAGGGCCCTGCCCTGCCAGCTAGGGGGTGAGTGAGAGGATGAAGACCCTACAGGATTGTGCTTCCTGGCTTTTCCCTTCACGATTTACTTGCTTGTTTATTTGAACTCCTTTTAAAAAAGATTTGAGGTGGAATTTCTCATCATAGATAACCACCAAAATATCTAGACGAGAAAGGGATGCCTGCAGCCTCTGCTGAATAAAGGGAATCAATGAGGAGGGTGTCTTGGGTTTCTCCAGAGAAAAGGCCTCCAGAGACCATGACCAGAGGGGAGGTATTGTGGGAGGGCTCTCCTACACTAGCAGAAACAGGAGAACCTCAAGACTGGTGCCGCAGGGTGCACACCAAGCTCCCACTCCCAGCACAAAACTGCTTTCTCCATTTTCAATGGACAGAAAGGGAGTTTATGGAGGGTTTGGGGAGAGAGGAGAGATAGATGATTCTATATAGAGAAGGGATAGATGGTCCAGCAGGAGTGAAGATACAGGCCGGTGGGATCAGTACCAGAGAAGCTGCAAACAAGCCATGGATTCTGTCTGCAGCTCAGGAAGTGCTACCAAGGCAGCAATCAAGGTTAGATGTCTGCGGCTGCCCAGATCCACCCAGCAAATATTTCCTATCAAAAGATAGCCTGTAGGATTCTGTCACAGTTTCTACCACTAGTGAGCATCTACTCTGTGCCAGGCACTGACTAGCACGATGAGGCCTCAGAGGCACCATGAAGCTTAGAGTCTAATGCTGCAGCCTCATGTTGAAAATACTGTAGAAGCATGGAGGAGAGAGGGCATCTACCTAGACTGGAGAAATCCCGGAAGGACACATGGAGGAGGTGGCAAGAGGGATAGTGATAGGGAACCCCAAGTAGAAGAAACAACAGAAATACGGAGTGGTACAAAGCATTTTGTACCTAGGACACTACACAGCTGGCCATGTGTGTGGAGGGCTTCCTATGGCACTATGACTTTAGATACACCAGACAAAAAGCCACCTTTTGCTCCAGTGGTTTGTCCTTAAGATTGCACTTGAGGCTTTTAGAGCATGGGCTGCAGCAACTTCATGATCTCATCCTCTGGGAGGGGATGGGCTAATCCAGATACAGCTCCTAAAGACTTTGAGGAAAATAACATAGAAGTAGGGATATTCTCCTTTACAATTAGTCACTCTCATCCAAACATCCTCTTATTATAAGTACCCTAGGGATGAATCTCACATCCGTAATGTGCACCCTCTACTTGTGACACACTCAGAAAACTCCATAAAGGGCAGCTGGTGACCATGGGGGCTCAGAGCTAAACTCAGATTGCAAAGGTACCTGAAATGTATCAAAGTTGTGATGCAGGAGGGCGGATTGTCTCCTTCCTTGACAGGGAACAACATTGATCAGTCCCTACTGCATGCTATGTACACATTTTCACACTCAATCCTTACCTCAATACTATTAGGTCAGTGCTATGGTCCCCATTTCCTTGATGGGATGCCTGAGGCTTGGAGACCTTCAATAACCTGCTCAAGAACTTCCTGACCTTACAAAGCCAAGCCAAGATTGTTGCTGCATCTGCTTCACACATGCTTCCCTGAGGCTTCCCCCAATGCATTTGTCCTTGATATTCAGGCCTCAGCTCAGAGGTTAAGTCTCAAGCTAAAGGAGCCCCTCTCTATCACTGGCTTTTCCTTTCATAGCACTTACTCCTTTCTGTTAGAGCAGCACAGGCTTATTCATCACCTGCCTCTCTCCCTAGGCTCCTGACTTGTTCACTGCTGTACCCTTTGTACTCCAAGCAGAGCCTGGCACATAGAAACAAACCCTGAACAAATGGTTGCTCAGTGAACAAAGCCGTCTGGCTAGCCCCAAAGCCCAGTCTCTTCCAAGATACCGGTATCACCATGGTGGCTCCAGTGGCCCATTGGGAACTGAGTAGCCTTCTGGTAACTGCAGCCTGATACTGAGTCCCACAATGCAGGACTTTCTGAGTTTCTCATGGGTGAGGTCAGGCAACTTTATAGATTTTTATTTCTACTTCAGCAAAGGGATATCATCTAGCAATGTTCTATGTGACAAACATTTGGGATTAGTAAACTAATAGCACCCATAACTCACATTGCTTGATGAGTCAGAATCACTCTTCTGCACATAAGTCTGGCTGAGGATGGCTGCACAGCCGTCTCAGACATGTGTCCTCCCAGAGCGTGGGATGCCCGCTGTGGGAGGCAAACACATGTCGTCAGTCACTGGGAGCCTGCCTTGAGTCCGCTCTGACTTTTCAGGTGCTGCTGTTATTATATCAGTCAATTCCTGTGTACATTCACTTGTAGAGTTTGTATGTGTTGATTGCTGTGTTCTTGCATGGTGCCATTTTAATCGTGATTTTGTTCCTCTCTAATGCTTTATCATTTCCACATTATTTTTTCACTAAAACGCAGTGACAAGACCATGAGACCTACTTCAGTAACTCACAGTTCTGAGTGTCTGAGAATCCTTTCACCCTACCTTGTGACCTCATGAGATCCTTGAACAACCATGCTTCCTTTTGTTTTATAACAAGGCACATGCCTTCCTAAAAATGACCACGTGAGGCAAAGTTAAAAAATGGGGTGAGGGGCACAACACTCAAAAATGTCATCGGTGGCACATTAGAAAAAAAGGAGAAAGAGAAAACATTAGCACAATATTGCACAAGTACTACAATAAGTATGGCACCTTGCCTTGAGGAGATCTGACGTTTGCCTGTGAAATGAATGTAAGAAGGTTGCCTCCCCAGGTACTGAAATAATCTGTACAACAAGCCCCCATGACACAAATTTACCTATATAACAAACCTGCACATGTACACCTAAACCTAAAATAAAAGTTAAAACATAAATTTTGAGATACTAAAAAAAAGGTTTGGGGATGATGGGGGTTGCCTCTGGTGTGTTGTTGTGAAGTCCTTGAAGGAGTATCTGGGAAATGAATGAAAAGTTGTAACTGCAGGCGTGGACGGGTGTGGCTCATAACACATGGTGAACTAAGTGGCTGGTATATGTTTGAGGGTGTGACTGTGTGTGTGTGTGTGTGTGTGTGTGTGTGTGTGCTCATGTGAGTATGCACGTGCCTGCACATGTTTTGTGTATTCCTATGTGGCTCAGTGCAGCTGGGTGCAGTTTTCTGTGTTTGCCTAGTATTTCCCAGGGAGGAAACCCTGCATAAGCAAATGTAAAACTGCCATTATTCTCAAACTGTTCCCTAATATCTAATATATGTGTTGGGGCAAATAATTCGTTGGAACAAATTCACATTTCTAAAAGAAATGTTCCAGCAGAACTGACTGCACCTGATTCACTTTTCATCCTTTCCTTGTTTGTTTAGACTGGACCAAGAGGATTGAGTACCAGCCTGGCTCCGGGAGCATGCCCCTGTTCCCCAGCATCCACCTGGAGACGTGCGATGGAGCCGTGTCTTCCCTCCAGATCGTCACAGAGCTGCAGACTAATTACATTGGGAAGGGTTGTGACCGGGAGACCTACTCTGAGAAATCCCTTCAAAAGTTATGTGGTAGGTTTTTCCCTTTTGGGATTTTAAAAATCAATTGCTTTTAAATGATGTATACCAAAAAAGCATATCTTATTGTCTTAGGCAAGAATCAACCCTCCCTTCCTGCACTGATATGTGTAACTCCTGGATGGATTTTAAGTTTACTTATGGCAGAAGGGTTGGAAGGCCCAGTTTTTGGCAGTAGACTCCTGACTCAGACTCCATTTATTAGTTATGTGGCCTTGGGCAAGTGACATGGAAAAGCAAAGCCTTTGCTCTTCTTTGGTAAAACGGGAATTAAATGGCACGATACTTTCAGGAGTACCTAGGTCAGGGCCCAAAGAAACACGAGTTCCTTTCTGCCCCACTGGTTTAGAAAAAGCAATCAGACCAGACCCAGTATGAAGAGTTAGTAGTGTCAGTCACCTGGAAAGGGATTGGTCTCCTCCCCAAAGCGCCAGCTATATAATTTGTGGGGCCCAGTGCAAATGAAAATTTGGGGCTCTTGTTCAAAAATTAACAAGAGTTTTACAACAGAGACAGCAAAGCATTAAACCAAGTAAACACAACTAAGCCTTGGGCCCTATATGACTACTCAGGTTGTTACTGACAAAGCTGGTCTTACCAAAGATGGAGTCTTTCCTTATTCAGTATCACAAAGCCAATACACAAAACCAAAAGTGAGTGTCAAGCAGTGCAGGCTTTATTCAATGGCCGTGGAATTGAGAAGCAGGAGATGGCTCACAATCAACTTCTCAACAAGTGAGGGTGAGGGGCTTAAGATACAGGATTTCTCTAATGAAGGAGGTGACATTAAAAGAAAAGGGAAGAATATTCATGTCTTTTCCAGAAGTGGGTGGTGAACCTCCTGGAATCAGTAGTACCGCCTCCCTTTTAGTCCTTTTACGGCTTCTTCCAGTCATTGTCATGGCAATTGTCAACTGTCGTGGTGCTGGAGGGAGTATCATTTAGCATGGAAATAAGATTATCATGAAGACTGAGGTCTTTTTGAAGTCCTTTGGTCAGCTGTCTTGGTTCTATGTACCAGTCTCAGCTGGTCTGGCTGCAAAGGGAACTTTTTATCACAGGCATTCTGTTTGTTAAAGATAAGCAAAGTTAGGACAGGGTAGAAATTCAGCTCTGTCACATAGTCACTGCCCCAGGTAACAAGGTCACATGCCCATGAAGCTGAGTCTGGCTGCCCACAGCAGAGAAGAGCTTGGGGTGAGGGTGACGGTAGACAAAGGAAGATACTCACTTGTGAGGGACAGAGAGGGCTTGTTGTCATTTGGCTGTGAGATGGCGCCACAAGAAAGGAGGCAGGCCAGGAGTTAGGAAACAAAGCTGATGGAGGGGTGCTCTGAAAGGTGGATATGGAGGAAAGCCAGCTTCACTGAGCACCTGCTCTGTGTGCCCTGCCAGCCTCTTCACATGCATTACTTTATTTAGTTATCCCATCTTCACCATGAGGAGGTCACCCATCCCATTTTAGAGGTGAAAAATTTGAGGCCCAGAGAGTGAAAATGACCTGTCTAAGGTCACACAGATAGAAAGCAACAGAGCCAGGATTTGAAAGTAAGTCTGTCTAAATGATGGGCATTTTAGCTCAGTATCCACTAAGGCTATCCATCCAGGCCTCCATCCAGGCCTCGGGAGCTAGAATGTAAATCTCTCAGTGAGTCTGTGAAATGAGAAAAAGAGCATCTCATAAGGCGAGAAGTGCCTCATGTGCTTAGTAAGTCAGACTGTTGACATGGTGATGGGCCTCCTTCACTCCTACTCCTGCACATAGTTGATTTCTTCCTTGTTCTCTCCCAAAATACTCAGGAACTCACACTGGACTCTCCAGCCATGTTTGGGAGCTTAGGAAAGGGCTTACTCTTACAGTGGGCTTGTATTTGGAGGTAACTGCATCTCCTCCAAAAGAAAAGGAGGCTGTGAATGCACAGTCTAGCCTGCCTTCCCCCAAGGTGGGCCTCTCCACTATTATCTTTGGGGCAGTTTTTCTCCCTCAACTTTCACACATACGTACACACAAGCACATACACACACATACACACACACAAGCACACACACCCCTTCACCCACACTGTTCTAACCCAAGGAACCAAGTAAAAATATTTAGAACTGAATGTGAAATAAACTCTGCTTGATATTGTCATGTTCCATTTTTCACGTCACCAGGCTGGCAGGGAAGGCCTATGGGGCTGCACACCTCTCCAGAATGATGCAGTAGATCAGAAAAATCACCACAACTTCAATATTCCATACAGCTCTTGCAAAAATGGTTATAAGGGATCTGCACTATTCAGAAAACCACCTCCAGTCCTCTCCTCCATTCTGCAGCAGAGAAGCCATCTAAGATGACATCTTACTTTGAAGGAATACCCTACTTTGCTCCCCATGCACCTGAATTATAAGTCAACGGAACCCCAGGCCACTGTGGGTTAGTTAGCATCGTTTCCTAAACTCCTCCAGGTTAGGAAGAGATGATGGGATCAGCTTGTTAAAGATCAGATGGGCCCAAGGGCATGCACTTGTGATTTGCTTTTGAATGTTGCTGGGGAGAGATGGGGAGATATGGAGTGTAATAAGGATTTCCTGAAGGAAGAAATTTTCGAACAAAATTGCATCTCATATGTTAACACAGCTCATTCCATCTGTACTGCCAACCTTGCCTTGCAGAAGGGCAGGTTAATTCAGCCAGCAAGGCCGTTTCCCCCAAGGTGTGGACTTATTTGGAGTTGGGAGCTGCCCTTTGAAGGAGAGAAGCCTGTGTTTCTCTCCATGGCACTGCCCCCCACACCTATGGTAATCCTGTCCCAATAACCCTGCTGAGCAGGATCAGTCCTGCCTCTACATTAGAAGCCTGGCTTTTGAACTGCACTGGAGGAGAGCTCAGATAAAAAGGGTGAAAGCAAATGAGTGAGGCCCAGATGCAAATCCGATCCTGGGGTCAGCTTCCATGTAGGGACTCAGGTTCTCTCCAACTATAAGGGAAATGTAGGCTGGATCACTTCTAAAATGGAAGCTGGGTTGTAATGCCTGACTCCTGTAGGGTACTTTCAGTTCCAGAGACAAGTTTCTGTGTGTCTTCAGTGGATGGTAGACAAGCTTCTTGCTGGGCTTCCCAACTGGGGAGCTGCCATGACCATTTAAGCCTCAGTATTCATGCATTTTTCATCCTACAAATCTTTATTGACTTTGGATGGAAACAGGGAGACCAATGAGGATATTAGAGCCATGGTCTAAGCAAGAGATAATGAGTTCTGAACCAGGGGAATGGCAGGAAAAATGAATTTAAGACAGGCTTGGAGACAGAAATCAGCAAGACTCAATGATTGATTAGCTGTCAGGAGTAAGAAAGGATTCTAAGAAGGCTCTTGTGTGAGTGTCTAACTGAATGAGGGTGCTGCCAACCAGAGCCAGGTATCCAGGAGCAAGGGCACACCTAAGGGACAACGATGGCAGTTGCCTGTGGTATACCCTGGTGTGGACACCACATTCTAGCCTGATTCTTGACCCTCCCAAAGATCAGCCTCTACCCTGCTGATCCATTACTACAGCACATTTCGCCCTGATGTTCTGCTTCTGCTTGGTCAGGGCACCTGCTTTGGTCCCTCTGCCTGGTTCCTTCTCATCCATAAGCCTTCACTCACATTCTCCTCCCACTAGGATGGTCTCTCTCCCCTTCACCTCTCCAAACCCTTCCCTCCAGTCAGCATTTGCCTGCCCTCTATGCACACCAGGAGTCAGTCTGTGGAGCTACCTTGGTAGTTTGAGTTCTGGAGTCTCCTCTGTGATGCTGTAGTCGTGCAGTAACCTAGCCACGGATATCTCCTCAGAGGGTCATCATGGAAATCTGGACATTGCCCACCTGCTTCCTCCTCCTGCAGTCTAGACCCCATTAGGAGCAATGAGGGAATCTGGTTTACTGGGGAGCTGGACAGTAGCTGGTGTCAAGCCTGCTGTCAGGAGGTACCTGAGTAGATGGAGAAGCACTTGAAATGACTCTTTGGGCCTAGGGAAGCATTGGATGTCAGGCATATTGCTTCATGGGTTTATGCATGGAGACACTGCCATTCTGCTTTGTACAAAAAAAATGGAGGTCCCCTGAACCTCTGTGTCCCCTTTAGCTTGTGGGGCCAGATGTAACTCAAGTGGCCCCCACCTTCCTTTGCTCTACATGAAGCCAGGCTTCCTAGAGAAGCAGGACCAACTGCTTATCACTTCCTCTGAATTCATAGCTCCACATGAAGGACCATGCCATCTAGGCACCAGGCTTTCCAGAGGTGCGTGTCACAGAACTATTTTGAGTATGAGATGAGAGTGCAGCCCTCAGTGAGACCTCTTGGCCAAATTAAATGTGACATTAACAACAGCCCAAGAAAAGGTCCACTTTGATGGCCCTACATCACTACGTATTACAGAAACTAGAAAAGTAGTCGGTGGTGCATATGCCCTTGGTGGTGCGAGGCCAGGAACCTTGGTGGTTCCTCATAGGGACCACAGGGCTCCTGGCTGCTGGCCAGTACCTCCTGCACATGATGTCTGGGTCAGCTGTGTTGTGTGGAGTGAAGAACACTGAGGGCAGGTCCTGTTGAACAAAAGACCACAGAGTAAGAGCATGCTGCAAAAATCATGTGGTTCATGTGTCAGAGCAGTGCGCCTGACCAGACCCTAAGTTGTTCTCAGGATTTATATACATGTGAGCCCAGGAGACTTTGGTAGAGGGCTCATTCATCATTCACTCCTGCACAAATTTATTAATTCAACAAATATCTGTTGAGTACTCAGATGCTGTGCCAACTCTTAAAATAATGTAGAGATTAAAAGATCATGTAGTTCTAGTGTTGTATTACACAGTAGGGCAACTATAGTAATAATACTGTATTGTATATTTCAAAATAGCTAGAAGAAAGCAGTTTGAATGTTCTCACCCCCAAAGAAGAGATAAATATTTGAATGGTAGATTTGCTAATTATCCTGAATTGATTATTACCCAAGGTATACATGTATCTAAATATTGCATTGTATCCCATAAATATGTACAATTGTTATGTGTCAATTTAAATTGTTTAACGTAAAAAAATTCAATCTTCTGGAGAAGACAGACATGTTAAGAAAATTATAATGCAATTTTTTTTAGGAGCTATAAAAGTTCATGGTTTTCTAGTGCACCTTGCAGCTCAACAGAACTTGTTCTCACTAATAACCACCATCAGAGGTTTTCACACCCTCATAACAGCCCAACTACAGGAAACCATGATGGGTTTCTTTAAGACACTGCTAAAGAGCTGGAGCTTCCCAGCATGACAGTGTCAGTCTACTAGTCATAGCCAGTGCCTCCATTCGCAGAGAGATGAAGTGGGCCTTTTACTTTAAGGAAAATAGGTGAACACCTGTTGGAAGTCTGATTAGATCCCCAATCATACAACAGTGAAGGGCTGCACACACTGAGTTATGGATGCTGACAGTGAGCAGTGGGCTTCTTTCTTATGCTTATTTCTTGCAGGTCATTTAAGCAACTACAATACAACATGGCCCACTATGTTGGGGAGGAGGTTTTTGCCTGCAGTGACAAAAACATACCAAGCTGGAAAGCAACTAGGTATCCATGGCTCTCACTCAGGATCCTGGCCAACCACCCAGATGAAGCAAAACCTAGTTTCCTTCACCTGGCAATCCAAGTTTCTGATTCCAGGGCCTTGGAGGAACTCCTCTTTTCTAGGATTCTAGAAGTGAAATGATAGTTTTATTGTGGGATCAATAGTGTGTGAGCTCCTGAAAGGACATCAAAAAGTCCTCTGTGCCTATGCTTAAGGTACACGGATAGAGAAATGGGAATTTTAACTGCTGATGACAATCACTGATATAGATTATCAGTCGGGGTAAGACAGGTTATGCTGTAGTAACAACTGACCGCAAACTTTCACTGTGTTAAAATAACAAAGGTTTATTTATCATTCTTACCACATGTCCTTGGATTGGCTGTGGCTCTGCGCCATGTTAGCTCCCCACTAGGATCCAGGAAAATGGAACAGCTTTGATCTAAAACATTGTTGATTTCCTGGTAGATGGAAAAGATGCATGGTGAACCACAGATGGGCTCTTAAGGCTTCTGCTCTGATATGACATATGTCACATGCACACATATTTCATCTATCAGAGCAAGTCTCATGGCCAAGCTGATATCAGTGGGTCAGAGATTTGTGTTGTGAATAGAATACATTCTACCACCACAAAGTCCCAGCAGTCCATACGGCACTTGTCAAGAGGGCCTCCCTCACTTCCCCTGAGATTCTACATCACTGAACTCCTCCACCCACCAAGCTTCTTCCTTCAGAAAATAAAAGACTTTCATTGCATCCCCCAAGGTAGAGCCACTTCTGTTGGGTTCATTGCTGCATTCTCATGGCAGTGCCTGTCATAACTTAGATATTACATAAATGTCTATTGGCATAATATGGAGTTGATATTGCCAATTGTGAGAATATCTTACAGAGTGAGGCCTGTGTCCTTGATTATACTGGATCCTCTCCCTGAGATTCCCCACTTATCCCTGCCCTTTCTCATGCCCAGAGGTGGACCCTGAGGAGGCACAACTGGTGGCCCCATGTCAGTCACTCTTGCCATAGGCTCCCTGAAGTGCTAAGGAACCTCTGGCCTCACCAAGGCCATCTAGAGAAGAATGCAAATTCATCAATTAAGAAGTTCAGACAGTAACTGCCATCCCTAGGCCCCATTTGGGCTTTTGTATCACAGTGTGCCCTGAAATCTGCCTCATTCATTGTGTCTGTATCTATTTTCTGGCTCAGAGTGGCTTCCCCACCCTGCTAGGGCCCAGGGACGTCAAATCAGATCTCATCCCTGGTTTCAGTCCCCCAGCACTCAAGCTGCAGCTGCTGTATACAAGACCAGAGTGAATCCTCAGCTGCCTGGGGCCCCAGGGACCTTCACGGAGGATTCCAAAGGAGCATCTTAAATACACCCTGATGTGTAGACAGTGCTGTATCATCACTGCAAGTGATGCATTCTGTTTACCCACTGCCTTCCCAAGGGATCCCTGGGGAGAAGAGAGACAGAAAAACCTTGGAGAAAGTAAATCTTCTCAGTTTGTTTAAATATACCAAAAAATGAAATACAATCTGTTAAGTTTGTGGAAGTCTGCACCATCTGGTTAAATGCAGCTTGATGGTTTCTGGCAGGCAACATCTGCGGGTTAGAGAAAGTGGCCTGCCGCTCCCCCTCAGCAGGGAAGACAAAAGAGCCCCACCTTATGGCTTTGCCAGGGCATATGTCCTCAGTGTGCCCCTCTGTCAGAGCAGTGGCCTGTGTAGGGAGGTGGAGTCCCATGTGACTAGGCTGTGCTTGGCAGGTCATATGATTGGCCCCCTGAACACTACTGTGTGGTAGAAAGAACACTAACTGGGTATCTGAGAGCTGGGCCTGCTTCTAGCTAGCTGTGACTGTGTGCTTTTGGTCCAGTCGTTTCCCCTCTCTGGGCCTCAGTTTCTATGTTTGCAAAATGAGCAGAAGGTTACAAGATCTCCCTCCAGGTCCACTGAGGAGGTGCAATGGGGAGCATGGGCTTTGGAGCTGGGAAGTCCTGGTGATGGGTCCACTCACTAGCTGGGTGCCATCCTGGGCTCACTCTGCCTAGGGCTCTTTATCTGTAACCTGGAATCTTAACGATATTCACCGCGCAGATGAGTAACTAAAAAGCATGTGTAAGGCTCTTAATTCAGGCCTGGCACCCATTCTGTGCCCAGTAAGGGTTCATAGGAAAACAATAAAGTTCTGTAACTATAAAAAATAAGGTTATATAGGCCAGGCGTAGTGCTCGTAATCCCAGCACTTTGGGAGGCTGAGGCGGGCAGATCACCTGAGGTCAGGAGTTCAAGACCAGCCTGGCCAACATGGTGAAACCCCATCTCTTCTAAAAATACAAAAATTAGCCAGACATAGTGGCGCATGCCTGTAATCCCAGCTACTCAGGAGGCTGAGGCAGGAGAATCGCTTGAACCCGGGAAGCAGAGGTTGCAGTGAGCCAAGATCGCGCCACTGTACTCTAGCCTGGGCGAGAGCAAGAGTCCGTCTCAAAAATAAAATAAAATAAAATAATAAAAATAAAATAAATAAGGTTACATAAATATTGGATATATCTATAGAATAACCCTGACCAGCACTGGGTTATTTTGTAACCAATTTTGTCTCCCAACCTTCCCTTGATGTCATCCCCCATCACCCCATGCATGGTCCTCTCTGCTGTGTACCTCTCTATATATATCCAAACCTGTTTGGAGGGAAATTCACAATCAATTTCTTCACTAGTCTAAGGTATTAATTGAAGTGTGAATTCTATAGGAACAGCAATGTCCTTAGCCAAAAAAAGGACCCTCTGGTGGTGGAGTTTCAAGCCCTGCTAGACCCCACCCTGCTTCCCCTGTGCAGAGGCCTTGGTGCTCCACATGGTGGCAAAGCTGGCCTCTGCAGCCACCACACACACATCTCTGCACCGGGCCCTGCTAGATCATATTGGTCCCATTGGCTTGAGCTAGAAGTCAGAAGCCCTGAGTGCTCAGCCTGCATCTCTCTGGCCGTCCCAGGTTTCAGGAACCGACATGCTCTGTGTGTACCTCTGTCACCATCTGTCTTCACACTGGACAAGTTTTGGTATCAGACCCAACTTAATAGGTCAAAGAAACTATTGCCATGTTGTGTTATTCCAGGGGTACTAGGAAAATGCACTTTCCCCAAAAAACCATGTATCTCCTACTTCCAAACCACTCACAAATCTCTCTCTGCTACCACCTTGATAGATGTCTTTCTTAGAAATATCTGTGGAGGGTGGTATTAAAGGACAGCAAAGATTTTATTGGCAATTAAAACATTTGTATAAATTAGTTTATCACATAAGTAACATGGATATCAATTAAGGAGTTAGCAGCAGGGGGTGAGAACAGGTAAGTGTGATGAGAGGCGTGGAGCGTGGACAAGGGGCTGGATGGACCCACCTAAGCATTGGGTGAATTTCCAGGAGCATCTCGTGAGAGCACTGAGTGGCAATTATAAATATTAACTGAGTGCCTACTATGTGTCAGGTGCAGTAACAGACAAAATCTCTAGGAAATACTCATGTAAATGATGCCGTCAACTCTGCCCACACTTCCCTTTGATACATACAAACTACAGCATGAGCATGAATTGGGAGATTTTAATCTCTACCTTCACAGACACCACAATTCCAGAAGCCTCTCCCAGAGTGAACCTGTCATGGTGAGAAGCAGAGCATCTGGGTTCTAAGGATACATGCTCTTCACATAGCATAACCTTCTATTGCTACCCAATGGATATAGACCTGATGATCTCCTCCACAGATGGAGGGAAAACTGGCTGAGTTGAACATTTTCAAACAAGTAAACTGATTTCCAGCATGGCATCTTCCTTGAGGAATCTTCAAAGGGTCATTTTAATGGTAGGAGATTTTTTTTTTTTTTGTAGTGGCTGACTTTGGAACCCAAACCCTAGGTGAGATGAGGCTCTGATATACAAAAGTCAAAAATCCAAAACCTGGGCAAATGGCAGGTAATACACACAACCACTGTCCATTAAACCCATCAGAGTTTATGACTGACTGGTCAGTGCCATATGAGGAAACAGCCCCCATACCCCTGCCCACCCAACTCAGGTCACACTTTAGACTCCCATTATTTGAAAATGACTGCAAGTTCCTGGCCCTCCTTCCCGTAGTGCTTGAGCCCTGTCTGTGTATAGAACAGAAGGATGGAAAGAATTCTGTATTTGAGCCTCTGTGGAGAGTCAGCGGAGGCCCCAGACCTACCCAGCAGGACAATCCAGTCTTCTCTGGCAGGACAGTTGTCGCCTCTCACCTCAGCACCCCCCTCCACAAAGTTGGTGATTCTTCTAAAATAAACCTGCCCCCACTCCTGCTGCCTCAGATGAAGTCTTCGTGCCTTAGCCTGAGTACTATTATAGTAGCAGCAGAAATAATAATAATGACAATGATAACATGATAGCTAACACTGAGTGAACCTTCGCCATGCAGCGAGCATGCTACTGCAAGCTCTAATGCATTATCTCATTCAGCCCTCACAACTCGCTGGAAAGAGGAAACAGAGTCAAAAAGGTCAACTTATTTGCTCATAGTCACAAAGCTAGCAAATTTTGCTGCCAGGTGTCAAATTCAATTTCTGCTGACTTCAAAACCTGTGTTCTCAACCACTGCATCATTTGGCCTCAACAAATATTTGTAAAAAAGTGTAATGAGTGGCTCATGCTCCTTCTTATGGGATCAGGATCTAGAACTTTCCCCAATCACAGCCCTGATCACATTTTGTCAACTTGCTGGCTCTGAACTGTGTCTGACTCACCTTCATAGAGCCAGCACCTAGAAGGGGTCTTGGCACATGGTTAGTGCTCAGTAGATGGCTGGCAGGTTAACAGATGGATAGGTGTGTGAGTGAATCCATCCATCCAAATCAAATCCTGGCTTTCTCCAGGAACCCTCCCTGCTAGTAAGAGCCCCCAGGGTTTTTCCAACTTTCTAAATTCCTCCGACACTTTTTTCTTGCATCCTATCTTGCCACATGCAGCACTTTTGTCTGTAAGTTACTGATGCCTCCCCAAGAAAACCATAAATAACTCAGGGGCTGGAACAGCATTTAGCACTTCTTTTCCTAAGTCACATAGCTCATGGTTAGGCACAGACGTCTCTGAGTAAGTACACTGAGTAGTTCACCTTGACCCAGGAGCAGAAAACAGATGAGGACACCGCATCATGACCTGTTATCCTTTCTTTCCTGACCCTCTGCAGGAGCCTCCTCTGGCATCATTGACCTCTTGCCATCCCCTAGCGCTGCCACCAACTGGACTGCAGGACTGCTGGTGGACAGCAGTGAGATGATCTTCAAGTTTGACGGCAGGCAGGGTGCCAAAGTCCCCGATGGGATTGTGCCCAAGAACCTGACCGATCAGTTCACCATCACCATGTGGATGAAACACGGCCCCAGCCCTGGTGTGAGAGCCGAGAAGGAAACCATCCTCTGCAACTCAGACAAAACCGGTGAGTCTCTAGCCCAGCCCTTCCACCCCTCCTACCCCAGCAGCTGCCCATTTTGTCACAGGTGGCTGGACATGGACACAGCCAAGGAGGATGTGGAAGAAAAGCAGGAGCCTGAGAGGAACCCTGCCAATATATATTCTGGTCTCTGGTTTTCTGGCTGCTGATTTTCCAGGCTTGGCTTGACGTAGAGCAGGAGCAGAAAAGTGGGGAAAGTAGGGGTACAGACACAAAGGATGTAACAGCTGGAATCAGTGCTTTTCAAACTAGATTCCTCAGAATGCTAGCATTCCCAGAAGTGTTTTGGGGCTGCTATAAGTGAGATGGGGGTGAGAGAGGAATCTTTATTCCTACTTCAAACAAAGAAGCTCCACCTTTACTGTATTAGATACAGTAAGATTTCCAAAAGCTATCTTTTGAATAAAGTACTGCTAATTTAGAATAGTAGTTTGAAAACCTCTGACATATATAGTAATGATAGCTACCATTCGATAGGCTTTTCAGCATGCTGAGCCTGTGCAAGAAGTTCACGGCTTGGTGGTTAAAAGTCCCCTAACACTGATTAGCTAGGTAACTTTGGCAAGTTGTTTAGCCTTTCTGTGTCTCACTTTACCTGTCTGTGAATGGGACGTTATAGTAGTATCTACCTCACAGGGTTCTTATGAGGATTGAATGACTTCATAATCATGAAGTGCTCAGAACAGTGCCTGGCACAAAGGAAATATGATAATCTGTGTTAGCTATTACTATTCTAAACACAAGTCTCTATAATTATTTTATAAAAGCCTTATTGTTTTTGCCATTTTAAGGATAAAACATTCCTTAGAGGTTGACTAACTTGTCACAAGTAGTTATACAGACAGTATCAGAACTAGAATGTCAGCTTAGATCCAACTAAATCCAAACCTATGCTCTTGTCACTACACCCACCCATCTGCACACACACATACACAAACATCCCAAGATCTTATGCAAATTGTACAACTCTGCATTTAATTATAATTCTACAATTTCCCATTTCAAATACAACTTTTGCTAAAACACCCCAAATAAATAACAATCACAGCAGATGTAACAGTAAAAAGACAATATAGAAGAAGGGCTGAAGCTCGGCCTCTGCTATTGGACAGCCAAAGTTTCCATCTCAGCTTGACCACTTCTTAAGGCATGATCTTTGAGGAGTTGCTAATCTCTCTGAGCCTCATTTTCCCCGTAGGTAAAATGGGGAAAATAAACATGAAATAAAGTATGAAATTACTTAGTAGCATCACATGCATAAATCAGTGTTCCAGTAATTTATTTGATGTTGTTATTATTATTACTTCCAGTTTTATTCCTCATTACACACTGCTACAAGAACGCCACATTCTCTGTTTCAATTGATCTTTATAATAAATGTTAATATATTTTCTGGATGCAGAAACTGAGAGGTGCCTGGCTTTCCCTATTTATATAGCAAGTCTATGTAGAAGTCAGTGCCAAGGACAGGTTTTTCTTTGGGACCTTCACGCAGGAAGGTGGAGGTTTGGGACGCAGTTCAGTAGCCTGTGCAGTGCCCTGTGAGGTATTCCCATCATAATCCAGGAGCCAGCATCCCAATGAGACAACAGCCTAAGAATGTGCAGACAAATACAAAGCAGTGTGAGCTGGGGTCAGTGGCCATGCACATATAGTCCTTTCTGAGCTATATCGAGTCCCCAGGGAGGTAAGTCAGACAGATATAAATGTTTCTGCTTACAAAGGAGGAAATTGGAATATGGAAGGCTGAGTGATTGGCCCAGGATAACACAGATGATTACCAAGAAAGACAGGATTGGACCTAGATCCTCTGACCCTGTGTCCCAGGCCCAAGCTATTGCACCAGTGGTCCTCATTAGAATATATTAGTGCACTTGTAAAAATGTGTAGATGCTAGAGCCCCACCCAGCTCAATAAGAATCTTGGAGGAGCCTAATGGGAAGCCATGGCTGAACTTGGCCTCAACTGTCATCCCAGCAGTCCCCTGAGAAGGCATTCAGCACCCCCAAATTAGCAGCACCCCAAGCAGCACCCAGTGTTCAGCTTGGGCCCTTATGTGAAACAACACTCAAGATTGGCACAGAGAAAGTGGGAAGATATTTCTCTAACTTTTCTGACAGCAAGAAAAAAATCTATAAATACCCCATCCTAAATTAAAAAAAAAAATCCAGAATAAATGAAAGCTTGATTATGGCTTTTTTACATCAAAATTTTTTTCAAGTCATAAAGCAATGTATGTCTATAGTGGAAACATGAAAAACACAGAAAAGCATAAAAGAGAACACAGAAATTAACTAAAATCCTAACCACTAGGGAAATATTTTCTGATAACATTTAGTACATTTCATTACAATGTTATTTTTGCTTCTGTGTATATGTAGAATGCCTTTAAACTTTTATAATATCTGTGATATTATTATGTCATCAGTTACCTTTATATAACATTATCTCCACATCATTTCTCCATGTGATAAAATATTTTTAAAAATATGGATTATTTGGGAGTTTAAAACTCTGCCATGTAGATTTATCATACTTCATGTCACTGGCCCCCTTTCATTAGATATTTAGATTGTCTCCTTTTAAATGCAAACACAGCAATGCTGTAAAGAGTATTCTGGTATATACCTTTTGGACATTTCTTATTATTTCAGCCAGAAGTTGAATTACTGATTCAAATAATAGAAATGTTAGGAAAGGAAGCTTTTGCTGTAAATTGTCAAATTGCTCTTCATGAAGATTGCACTAAGTTTGTCTGGTGTACTAAGTAAAACTTACTAATGCTGTTCCATTATAAATTATTTTATAAATAGCTGGATAACAGAATTGACTAGTCAGCAAAGGCTAACTGCAAAAAAGAGAGAGAGTACCACTAACACCACTACTTCCACCAAGAAAAACATCTCAGTAGGTAACATTCTTTCCCCATGGTTTTACCTCCTGTCATTGTCCAGCAGCCCCACATGGGTCTGGAGGGTAGGCAAGCTCTACTTTGCCCAGAACACTCAGTAGCCAAGGATTCTTGCATCATCTGCTGCTGCCATTTTCAACCATAGAACAGAAAGTAAGGCTAGAGCTGAACACAGAAGGATTTTATTGGCCAGAATAGAAAGTAGCATGTTTGACTTCTAATACACATTCCATTTGCCACAACTTGGTCACATTGCCCCACCTACCCATGGGGGAGGCTGCGAAATGAGTTTAAATGTGAACCTAGGAGCATAGGAAATAGGGTTAGGTGAACACATAGCCATGTGTCTACCTTGAGGTCATTGTGTGGGGCCCTGTGCCCCTCTAAGCCCACCTGTGTTGGGGTTTACCTCTCCATTCCTCCCATGAACAGTGCACTTTCCAGTCACCTTCCATGATTCCTCCTCAGCCCCTGCCTTGTCGCAGTAATCAATCCCCTCCTACACACATATCAGCTCCTCTTGCTGGAATCTTCTTCCCCTGGCATGCAGCCCTTTTCTGTCTCTGAGTTTGAACTGAGAACAATGAATGATCAGTGGCTACGTACAGTGCTAGCCACTTCCCTACAGGGCTTTCTAAGAGAGAGGGGCCAACCTTGTTCAGCAATCACCAGGTGAGAGAGATGGAGATGTCAGCCTGGTAGAGAGTGCTAGGATGGTCCCCCTGCCTGCTAGGAAAGGGATGGGGGTATTTTCACACTTACAGAGGTACCCAGAAAACCACTCAGAAGGATTGAGGTTGTTGTCTGTAGAAAGGAAGTGAGAACCTTACTTTTGCTGCCAGTTGGCTGAGCTGCAAACACTCTTAAGTCTGCTCCAGGCTGGTGTCAGAGCAGAGCCCAGGCGAGTCCTGGAAAGGCCTGACTCATGTCAAGTTTAGGGTACATGAAAGCTTGGCCCTGATTCTTGCCCAGGGTGTCTGAATGCAAGTGAATGACGGGGCTGCCACAATTATAGGGTGAGGAGAGAGGGGCCAGAGGGAGAGCAGGTTCCCTGGTACAATTTGGCAGAACACAGGTGTTTTTGTTATTGTGGGCCAAAGGGACATCCAGAAATGTGCAAGGCTAGCAACCAGAGGGCTGCCTGCCAGGAAGAGGGGTCCCAGTAGCAGGAGCTGATGCTGGAGGGGATTCCTGAGAGAAGGGAGAAGCTGAGGAGGAATTATGGAAGATCAACTGGAAAGAGCATCTTTCGCATGAGGAATTTGCCGCAAGCACAAATGTCCCAGCCACCCAGAAAAGGAGTGTGTCACTTACCATATCAATTCCTATGTAAAGATTTATAGCAGGGCCATCCTTACAGAGGGTGGGGAGGTGAAGATGGCAATTTGGAGACCTCTGCAGAGCCGTTGGAAAATGAAAAACTCTACTGGCTTTTTAAAGAGACTTTATACTTCTTTTCCTCTCATCCATATTCCCCTACCTCTGACCATGTTTAGAGCTAGGAGGAGGTTGGGGGATGAAGACGTAGAACAAGAAGAATGAAAGATCTTACCCCGTCCTTTCCCTATTGTGGGCCACCAAGCCACGGGTAAAGACTGAGTGGAGAAGAGGAACATCTATTTTAACTGGATGAGAGACTGATGTTTGATTTGGATTAAACCCTTCAAGACTATTCTAATTCAAGAAAGTGAGCAGAAGGCTTTAGGATCTACCTGAGACGTGGACAGAGAGAAGGGAAGAAAGATTCAATGAAGAATTCCTAAGGACAGGAAAAGGAATAAAATGGATTCCTGAGCAAATCACATCACCAACACAGTGAATAAATCAGGTACCCTGGCATATGAGTTGACTCTTCGAATTCAGAGAAAGGGAGTAGAAGGAGGAAGAAACTTCCCAGGCTAGAAGCTGCTGTAGTAGAGTGAGGTTTGCCCATCCATTCTTCTTGTTCCACCTCCTTAGCCCCAACCTCTCCTAACTCCAAATAAAACTAAAGGCAAAAATTCTTCCTTTCTATATTTCCTAAGAGTTATCAACAGAAGCCACAGAAAAGTCAGGTATACAGTGATGAGGGGGACAAGAAATCTTTAGTAAAATCCCCAGAAGCAGTCCCGGGTGTTTTGCCAATCCAGACGCTAAAAATGGTCCCCCAGATGTTGGCCGAGGCCAGCCCTGCCACAGTAAGACCCTGACCATTCTCCTTCCTGCCATCCTTTGGTTATGTTCTCAAGAATGGTGATGCTTTCCTGAAAGCACTACTTCGTTGTGTTGCCCTGGTCATGAGGCAGTGTGATAGTCCTTCTAATAAGTAACAGTTATGGAGCATTTGTTCTGGGCAGATGCATTCCACACATTTCCTCATTGTATCAATTAAGAGGCTTTCAGCTGCAAGGAGTGGAAAGTCCAGACCAAACTGATATCAGATAACCAAAAAATCAAACTAATACAGAGAATGTGGGTATCTTGTAACTGAAAACATCCAGAGCTATGAAGGCTCATGAAGTCATCATCAAGGTAAAGTGTATCTAAGGCCTGGCTCCTTTTCTCTGCAATTATTCAGATCTGTGCCTGTAAGTGTATCCATTTTACATTAGCAAATATGGCCGCACAGCTCCAAGCCTCCCAGTGGTATAATAAAACTTCCAGCGGGAAGGAAAGTATCTCTTCTGTTTGCTTTCTGCTAAAAGAGCAGTTCTCTCCCAGAACTGCTGAGAAAAGTGCTCATATCACTGGCTTGAACTGAGCCACTTGCCAACCCCTGACAGAAGTTTTGAAGCCAGGAGAATGGCCTGCACTAGGAACATGGTCATGGATCCTGAACAAGTCATGTGCTGGGCGATTCTCATGAGCCTGTTTGGCCAGGAGCAATCAGAGCCCATCCTAGAAATGTAATTGGTATTGATTCCTCCCACCTAAACTGTATAGGCATGGTATATACAGGATGTACAGGAATTGGTAGCAGTATTCCATTCTTGGGATACATTATGATAATCCAGCTTCAATGTCATGATATAGTTAAGGAAACTGAAGCTCTGAGAGGTGAAATGATTCTCTCAACATCACCCAAGTTACAACTCCACCCAAAGTCTATCTGAATCCAGGGCCCATGCTCTTTCCACTACACATGGGCACCTGCTCATCCAACCAACATTATGGAACACGCGCCTCCTGGTAGATGTCTGGTGTGTTCGATAATGTAATAAGGTTCAAGTTCTCTAAGAATTGGTCAAAGAACATTTCCTCTTCTGCCAGGATCCATGACACGAAATTTTCTAAGCAGGAAAGGAAGTTTCTACATTAGAGGAAAACTTCCCATTAATTGCCTGTGTATGGGGAGGGGATGTTGGAGTCACAAAACTATCTCTAATGCTGGAAAATCAACCTCTCCCCTCCTCCCAGCAGCTAAAAGTGAGGCAGCTCTGCTTCATATAGATTAGGTAGACAGAGAAGATGTGGTCACTGTTGTCACTGCTATCTGATGAAATAAAATAAAAACCCAGAACTCTAGAAGAAACCAGTATGTTAAAGGAGCACAGAGTGACTGATGTGATTGGCATATAGCTCCCTAAACCCTCCAGAAGCATCTGTAACCAACAAACAGGGAGCTTGTTAACCTAAGTAATTTGTACCCTGGGACTGATGCAGTATCTGAGTACAAGTTAGGTGGGTATTTAAAGTCCAGATGTCTTCTCAGCAAGAGTTTGGCTGTGGGTTTTCCTGAGTCTTCCTCTTCCACTTTGGAAGAGCTCTATCATGTGCGTTATAGAACTATCATCAGAGCCTGTTGTAAATGAGAAGACTGGAGTGCCCATGCCTTTGTCCTCTGTGCTGTGCTAAGTGAGTGAGCAGGAAGACTCCTCTGGTGGAGGCTGACACAGGGGTTCTCTCACTCTTCAAACCTTCTTTCTGCTTTTCAGAAATGAACCGGCATCACTATGCCCTGTATGTGCACAACTGCCGCCTCGTCTTTCTCTTGCGGAAGGACTTCGACCAGGCTGACACCTTTCGCCCCGCGGAGTTCCACTGGAAGCTGGATCAGGTATGGTGCTCACCTCACACCTGCTGCTACTCATGCCTCTGCGGGGGTGGCCAGTCCAATCCAATGGTGATGGCAGTGGGGAGGCACTGCAAGGTCCTGACCACTTGCTGAATTTTGGAAAAATCAGCTTAGGGAGACACACAGCATCTTAAAGTCAGGAAGGAAACTGCCTCCTTATAGCCAGGTGAAGGTGGAAAGGGATACGCTTCCCAGCTGGGATGCTGCTGGGTCACTGGACCTGTCATGTGCCGTTTGTCCATTTGCTCCACATCGAGCTTGTGGAAGCCAGTTCTCCTGATCCCCAGGCCCAGTTACGATCTCTGTTAGCACATCTTTAAATCACAAATGCTCCATGTCTTCCCTTGGTGCTCTACTACCTCCTTTGGGTGACACAAGGTTGAGGACAGGGACTTGAGGGCTTTGAAGTAAGCAGTGACACAGAGCACCTTAGGCAGTGCATGCTCTTTTCTGAAGTGGAAAAATCTGTGACTCACTCCAGAGCCTCGTGACTTTTGATCACAAGAGCCACTGCATCATACTTTCAATGACAAAGCAAGTGTCTGGTGTGACTCCAAAGCTTTGAAGTATGTTTCTGAGGACTGTGGAGCATTAACGGTGGAAGTAGTACTCACTTTTCTGGGTGGCTGTGCCATCAGGAAGCGTCTGTGTAGCAAGACTAGAGTTGGCCTTTGCTTAAATTTGAAAGGGACCAGGCGCTAATTGTTCAAAAGTGTTTTAAATTATCAAGAGAAAGAATGCCAGCAGTCAGAAAATGGGATTAAGGAATAGATGCTGCTTAATGAGGCAGAGGAAATGATGCCCTTTCTCTGACCCTTCCTCCCTGGGGCCCCAGGACCTCATTTTGTTTTTATTCTGCCCCTTCCATATGCTGGGCTAAGCACTTCTGGGACCCCCAGTCTTCTTTACTTCGTCCAAAGCCCACTGTGTGTACTACACTACCTGCCTCACCTTGCTGAGGGCTGACTGATTCATAATCCTTTCCCTTCTCCATCCTTGTTACTATATCTCCACCCCCACCCTCTCTCTGTTCCATCCAAGTCTCCAGTCCTCCAGTAAGCTGATCTTAGAGTGTTACTAGGAAGTATTCCAGGAGGAATTCATTCACACTGAGATGGAAATGATTGCTGCCACCTTTCATCCTCATAGAAGTACACATGTATGTTCTCTAAAACAAAGATTCATTAACTCTAAGGAATCTCTCAATGGTGGAACTCCAGGCAATGTGACAAGATTAAGGATGCCAAGCTGATGGAAAAGTTGCTAGGGGAGCCCAGTGGCAACTGCCTAATCCACTCCCAGTAAATCCCATCCTGCTGTATGCTAATTCTAAAAATATGGCATCTTGATTAGTCTATGTTCCTCTGAGTTAGGAATTCTGAATCTGGCAGGAATTGTGAAATCTTGACATTGTTTATTTTATTTCTCAGCAACCTCTCAGCTATGTCCTAAAGTGCCATATGGCTTTTATGGGATGTTTTAAAATATATAATACAAATTGAAGTGAATTAAAATAAATTCCATATTGTGAGGGTTTTTAAAATAGGAACACTGCTATACTGGTTGAGATAATTATAGATATCCTGAGGCATTTTCTAAGATGGGATTGAGAGGCATTGATGCAGGCAAATGAAGCCATGGGCTTGGAAATTAAAAATAGGTGAGGAAGGAATTCTGGTTCTGAAGATAAAGATATAGTGAATCTAGCAGGTTCTAACATCTGTTCCCAAAGTGGTGAATTTAAGGAGGGGCTGAGATTCACCAAACACATTCCAAACTACCCTGATCTCATTGACTACCGTTTATCAATGCCTGCTCTGTGCTAGGCAGGATGCACGTGGGAAATTATTCTCGTCTCTGCTACAGCCCTTCCTGGTGGCTAATGTGTGGCAAGAGACTGAGGTCCAGTAGCTTGCGCAAGGTCACACAGCAAACCGTGGGTAGGACCTGCCCTTTCCATTATGCCCGGCTGCTGCTTTGGTGTGCCAGCTAATTCGAAATTTTAAAAATTTGCATTTCTAAATTTACAAAAATTTTAGAGATCAGAATTATCACTGAAGTACAAAATGTTCATAGTCTTGATGAAATCCTCTAAAATGGTCACTTCTTCATTTTGCTCAAGCTGTCCTATTCTTTGTCAGCTCAGGCTGCCATAACAAAGTATCACAGGCTGAGTGGCTTAAATAATAGGAATTTATTTTCTCACAGTTAAAGGTGGTAGGAAGTACAAGATCAAGGTGCCAATTTGGTTCCTGTTAAGAGATCTCTTCCTAGCTTTTAGAGGGCCTCCTTCTCACCATGTCCTCACATGGCAGAGAGGGAGCACTCTTGTGTGTTTTCTTCTTATGAGGAACCAGCCCTATCGAAATAGTGGTCCACCCTTTTGACCTCATTTAACCTTAATTACCTACTCAAGGTCCTAGCTCCAAATATATTGGGGGTTAGGTTTTCAAAATATGAATTTGGGAGAGGCACAATTCAGTCCATAGCATTCCTCTACTAAAGAAATTAACATTTAAAAAGTTTAAAGACTGCCTGTTGATGATCAGAGCCCCAGCTCACCTGCACAGCTGCCCTCCCTCTGAAGGGAACCACAGTGAGTAGGGTGTAGGAAACCTCAACAGTTCCCATGCTAGCAATCCAGTGGTATATACTGAGCAACCCAGAGACCCCTCTTTCTCCTTACTCAGCTCCCTGTGTAGACAGAACCTTGCCAGAAGTTTCTTGGGTGTAAATCACTTGATGCCCAGAATGTGCATACCTAGTAAGGTCACCTCCCCCAGGAAGCCATCCTGGGTCACCCCCATGGGTGGTTTGCCTCTCTTCTCTGCTCCCCAGTCTCCAGGCAGAACTCCATCCCCATTCCTACTGTTCTGTAGTTACCCATTTATCCTGCCTGTCTGCTCACTTTGCACTGAACTCCTGGAGGGCACGGTCGTGTCTTACTCATCTCCAGCTCTTCTGTGCATGTTATAGGCATGAGCACATGGTTGGCGCCTAGTAAATGTTTGCATAACAGTGAATGGATGTCAAGATTAAAAGAAGGGAGAGATGAAGTGAGGCAGGGGAAGAGGGAGGGAGAGAGGAAAGAGGAAAAATCCAGAGATCTTTGAAAACCTCCGGGTGATTAATTGATCTTTAGACTCATTTTATTGAGCATTTTAAAATGCTTAAATGTTGCCATTTTTTACTCTCTGGATTTCAAACATTGTTCATCTTTGATCTTGATGTCTTATTTCAGGATCTTACTAGATTTACCACCAGTGGATTTGTAACTGTTACAGAACTTTCTGGCCTTGGCCAGAAAGGACTCAAGCCAGTCTAATGTATTGTCTATATTTTAACTCCTGGCCTACCTTGGGAATTTCAGCATTTTATCTGTTCTAATGCCTGATGGGGACTCGCTTATTTCTTTATTCAGCAGTTTATTCTGAGCACAAACTGTGCTCTAGGCTCTGTGTGGGGTACCTGGGATTAGTAGCTAAAATAAGAGTCTCTGTTCTTTAGAAGTTTCCATGATAATGGGTCAAACAAACACATCAACAGACAGTTTACAGTTCCATGTGATAGGCACGGTGGGCTGGGGCCGGATCAGGGGAGTCTGTGGAAGCCCATGCAGGGGCACCTGGGGCTGAAAGCCTGGGAAGGCCTCTGGGAGGGAACATCTGCAAGGAATGTGGAGTTCTCTGTGGTGCAGGGCAGGGCAGCCTAGTGGCAGAGCAGTGAGCAGGAGGGCTGGGGTCAGGGCGTGTGAGCTCTCAGTGTGGTGGGGCATAGGCATAGGCATGGGGCGGAAGGAGAAAGCTTTGACAGGTATTGGGACACCTTGTGGAGGAGCAGGTGGACATTAAACCCCAAGTGGCTTTTTATATCATATTATTGAGTTGGCGCTTTATCCCCAAAGGAATGGGCCATAATTGAAACATCTACTATTCAAGAGAAGACTGATAATTTTAGAGATGGGCAAATATAGGGAATTCTAGTATGACATTCATCAGATTTATCAAGTTTAAGCAAATATAACTCATGCGGGGCCATTGAATGGAGCCGGTGGCAGGGGCTATGTTAGAAGCCCCCCAGGAACCCCAGCCCTGGACAGACATGTTTGAACAGTGGCTCTTCATGGCACTGAAACCAGGCACAGTGGTTTTCACATAGCCCTTCAGGAGTGCTGCTGAGAGAGGCAGTTCCACAGAGGCACTGTGTGCTTTAGTCAGCCCAGCCCCTCTGCCCCGCACCGCAGCAGGCTCTGGCCAAGGTGGATGGACAGCCAGGTAAATCTATTACCAGGCAGCTCCAGGAGATGCCTGTGACAATCCAGGGCATCTCACTAAAGCCATCATAATGATGAGGAGAATGTCATTTTAATGGGATTTTCACTTATGATCCACTAATGCAAATCCCTGGAGCCTGCAGTGAGTCATGTGCAAACCCAGACAAAAGCAGAGGAGAGTGCCCAGCTGCCAGCACACACAGGATAGGTTGACTAACTTGCAGCCCCTCCTGGCTTTAATATCATTTGGATATGGTTGACTCAGTGTCACAATCTAATAATCTTCCCTTTGGACCTGGTATGGTGACTGCAGGGAAATCTGCTGATGTTTTACAGTATGTTCCACTTATGGGAAGACACAGCTTGAGTGACAGCCTCAATTGACCAGCAAGCGCACAGGTACCCCCAGCTCACATAAGGAAAAAAGTGCATCTCTGAAAAATTGCAACAAGCACAGGATGCAAATGTCGGATTCATTCAGTTGGCTGTTGCCCTCTCTGTGCCAGAAATTGTACTAGGCATCAGGGATCAAGAGAAGAACAACACAACTCCACCCTGGGGAAACTCAGCCCTGCTCAGTTTATACCCAGTTTACATATCCTTGGGAGCATCTTTTGCAAGAATCCCAAACTCTAATAATTGTGGGTGGGAAGAAGCATCAAGATGAGTGACAATACCTGGCTGGGTGAATGTAAGATTCAGTGGAAAGTAAAATAAAGTAATAAAGGTTTAGCCACTACACATCTATAAACTATACAAGAATCTGGGCCTCGTGCTGCACTTCCAGTTGCTCAGAAGTTAGAAATCAGATTTCTATGTAAAATTTCTCAACTTTAATATGTGCTCATTTACAAAAACAGATCATCTGGCCAAACAAAATATTCTGCAGTCCACCTTTACTCTCTGGTCTCTGGTTTGAGATTACTGATTTAAAAAGCTACTATGTTGATACAAGAAAGCCACACAATAATGTGTCTGAGAAGTTTGGATCCTCTTAAGAGGATTCACCTTTGTGAATGTTTCCAATTCTCTCTGCCCCTGCCCTACCTCCCACAGAGAATGCTAAACTCCCCGTATGAGGGGAGCTTCTCAGGTCCCCAGCAGCCCTTCACCATACCCAGAGGGTCCCTTCAACCCAGGTCCATGGTTTGGTGGTGGTATTCCTCCTTCTCATATAAATGAGCATAAGTCACAGCCCGAGTTCCCCAGAGCCAGGATTTGAGCACATTTGTCTTGGGCCAGAGCCTTTGCTTATCAAGTCCATTCTACTTGCATAGAATTCTAAAGCTCCTGGAAGGATCTAAAAGTGAATACATCCTTTATTCTTGGTGAGGAAAGTGTGTTAGAATGATGCAGAGTCAGTTTACTTGCATCTGCTCATTCGGTTTCACAGGGAGTCAAATAGGTTAGTTCAATCATTATTATAACCAAGTGCCAAGGAGTTAATTGGAGAATGGTCAGTGCAGTTCAGACCAGTCATCTTAATGAGCAAAATAATTGGGCATTGTCAGCACTCTAATCCTGCTGTTAAAGACTAGCTCTTGGCTTCATTGGGCATGTTTCTTCCAATGCAGCAGGCCACTCTGCTCGGCATCCCTGCCTGTGCCCTGCCCTCATTAAGACCATCTGTCCTTTAGGAACCAGTGTCCTAAACAGAGGGGGAAGGATGTCCAGAATGTCTTTTTTTTCTCTCTCTCTTTCAGGCAGAATTCCGAATGACTTTTTCTATGACATCAAATTGCAGGGTTGTTCTGGGTGAATAATATATGTATGTGTGTTTTGGGGGTAGGGAGACAGTCACAAATAGTGACTCACTTTGGATATGCAAAGTGAACCTAGTCTCTCTTTATTTCCCCATGATATATATGGCTTCCTGACAAGCCCCAGTCATATTCTAGTCCCTCTCCCTGACTGTTTCCATTTCAAAGAGAGCCTCAAGACATTTGGAGAGAGTTGGCTTCTGTAGCTTCATGGTGTTGGCAGAGAAGGGTCCTCAGACCCACATGGGACATCCTGGGCTTCTCAGGTCAGAGTTGTGCAATGGTTGGATTGTCCACTCTCTGGAAAGGTAGCTGCTGGCATGCATATCCCATTTGTTCTGCTTTCTTTTTGAGAGAGTGCCAGTGTGCTGGCACCCAGCACTGCACCCACTGCCTGAGCCATGCTCGTTCCATCTTAAAGCCCCTTTCCTGCAGCTTTTCATCATGCCTCAGATTCCTGCTGCATGGCTTCTCCTCATTACTCTCATGCCATGTCACCTTACCTGGCACCTCTGGGCTCTGTTAGGTGCCTGTGGCAGACGAAATAATGGTCCCCAAAGATGTCTACCTCTGAACCCCAGAAAGCTGTGAATATGTGGCATTACATGGCAAGACGGTGTTCGCATATGTGACTAAGTTAAGGGTCTTGAGATGGAGAGATGATTTTGGATTATTCTTATGGGCGCAATATAATAGTAAGTGTTCTTATAAGAGGGGAGGCAAGAGGGTAAGAGCCAGAAACAGAGATGTGAAGATGGAAGCAGAGGTCAGAATGATGTGAGACCATGATTCAAGGAATGCAGCAGCCTCTAGAAACTGGATAGGGAAGGAAACGGATCCTCCAGTACAGCCTTCAGAAGGGATGTGGCCCTGCTGACACCTCCATTTTAGTCCAGTGACATTCATTTCAGACTTCTGACCTCCAAAACTATAAGATAATAAATCTATGGGGGTTTTTTGTGTTTTTTTTTTGTTGTTGTTGTTTGTTTTTTTGAGACAGAGTCTTGCTTTGTTGCCCAGGCTGGAGTGCAGTGGTGCGATCTTGGCTCACTGTAAGCTCCGCCTCCCGGGCTCACGCAATTCTCCTGCCTCAGCCTCCTGAGTAGCTGGGACTACAGGCACCCGCTACCACGCCAGGCTAATTTTTTGTTTTTTGTTTGTTTGGTTTTTTTTAGTAGAGACAAGGTTTCACCGTGTTGGCCAGGATGGTCTCGATCTCCTGACCTTATGATCCACCTGCTTCGGCCTCCCAAAGTGCTGGGATTACAGGCATAAGCCACCACGCCTGGCCAAATCTGTGTTGTTTTAAGCCACAAAGTTTGTGGTAATTTGTTACAGCAGCAATAGGAAACTAATACCTCACTTGTGAGCCTTTGGGAGCCCTGGAGCTGCCTCAGGCTCATAAATCAATCCACCTCCCATCTCCCTACACCTTGCTGAGGTGACCCTGGGCCATCATTTCTGAAGAGGTGTGTAGGCTCTTCTGTACACCAGTGTATGATGTCTCTACCACAGGTCTCCACAGCCCTCCCCTTCCAGCTTGGGTACTAGGGAGGAAGGAGGAAGAGGCACTGCTTTTTAAAACCCCCATTCACTGCTTGCTCCTGGCTTTTCACCAGGCCTGCTTCCTTATAAGCCTCAGGACTAGGATCCCCATGGAGCAGATTTGGAGCTTTTCTTTTTCTCTAGTCACATTTTTCTAATAGATGAAGGTGCCAAATCGCCTTACCTGCTACAAGAAGTGGAAAAGAAACCTTTTGTCTGAGTCCTCTGTGCTTGGTTCTGTAAGTAGTAAAGCAAATTCATGAAATCCTCTTTCTCTTGACAGTGCTTCACTTGGAAGCTTAAAGTTAACAAAGTTGATATGAGAATTAGATTCTCTAGACCATACCTGCCTTTCCCCTAAAGCAGCACAGAAACCCACTTTACCCAGCCAATCTGCTCTGCAGTGCACACCCTGCACTACTGGACCGTTCTGTTTTTCTCCTCAGGGCCTTTTCCAAGGCTGCAGGAGTCTGCTGGGCTCCGGCGAGCCCAGTCCTGAACCACAGCAGTGTTATCACCCCTAGGAGCACCCCTCACCCAAAGGGGTGCAGAAGCAGTCAGTCCTGGAAGTTAGGAGCAATTCTGGGCAGCACCCTGCACTTTCTCAGGGGCCTCAGTGGAAAGAAGCCCCCACTACACGCAATGATAACCTTAACACCCTCTTGGATTGGCTTTTCCTCCTTCCTTAACTCATTCTCCTCACTTAATCTGTCCTCCTAACCTAGAATCACCTTCTAAATAAACTCTCTGCTCTAGCTCACCCTTGTAGTGCAGGTAGTTTCAGATCTATAGCAGGCAATGAACAAGTAGTGACTGCTATGATTATCAGCAAGTGAGAGACGTCTGCTGTGTTGCAGAGGCTGTACCATGACTAAAAGGAGGGAGTCACCAAGAGACCACAGTGAAGTGAATAAAGGGAAGGAAGGGAAGTTTAACAAAGTGCAGATCAGTGTTGCCCAATGTTGATGGAGCATATTGCATACCTAACTAATAGAAAAATCTGATAAGCAGATAATTCCATATGTGCCCTATTGTAGACATAGTCTCCACAAACACACTGATGGTTTCCATAGCTTATTTAACATTACATCCTGAGCCATTTCCTTGAAGAGCTGATTTCTCAAAGTTTTCTTGGGTTTTCATTATTACTTGGATTTTCTTTATTTTTCTTCTGAAGAGCCTATTCTAAAGAAGAATCCACACTCTCAGTGAAGAGAGCTACAGGGATGCCATTCTTTCCCTGCTGCCGTCTTACCCACTTCCCCTGCTTTCTCATCCTGACTTGGAGTCTAAGGTTATATCACTGTTAAATCTCAACAAATCAAAGATGCTAATGATTCTACATTTCTCCCCTTTTTCTGGCAAGCTTGGATCCTGTCTGGTCTCTTTTTTCCTGAGGAGCACCTGCTCAGCAATTCCGTTTGCTTCTGTAAAATCATTATTTGTGTTTCAGGCTGTACATCTGCCCAGAGGCAATGAATGCATGTTTTCAGTAGACATCCCCTAATACATATTTAAAATCAGCGTTAAAAAGAAGGGAATAATATAAACATTAAAAAGAATATTGTTTTACAGTTAAAAAGAATGAAGTAACGTCAACACAATTATAAATGCTTAGTAAATCAAATAATCTACTCAATAATAAATGAAGATACTCAAGCCATGGAGTAGTCCTGATGGAAGCAGCAGGAGCTCAGTCACTGCACCGATTGTGTCATGCTTCTACCTTTCTCGTTTCCTTTGGGGATTGGTGCCAGTGGGAGGGAGGGAGGCGTCTCCTTGGCTTGGAACCCAAATGTTTGCTTTCATAATATGAACGATATTTTCTGTCACTTCCACGATATGAAAGGGCAAAAAATTGGTAAAATTGAATCCTAATATGTAATGGCCAATTCGTTGCTAATCCTGCTTACTTGGGAGACATGATGCAAAGGCACTGGCCACTGTGAAGTCCACGTGCAGTGAGAAGGGAACTTGGAACCAGCATTTTTTCAGTTCTTATTTATATCAAGCACTTTCTTTTAGTTTTAACAAAAATCATGCCATTTAGGCAAAATGCCCAGATTATGGATGAAGAGTGGAAGACATAGCAAGGTGCTTTCCACATCTCTCATCTGAGAAGTGGAAAAACCTTGCATATGACCTCAAAACATACGTACTCCAAGAGGGTAAAAGGCACCAGTCTTAACTTGGGTGAATGTACAATCTTAGTGAATATGCACGAGGACAAGAATATACTCATATCCCTAAATGTTTAGAACCAGGCATGGATGTCCATCCAGAAACAGATTTCAAGTTCAGCTCATCAGGAATCATGTTTTAGCATCTTTTTTTTTTTTTTTTTTTTCCTGATATGGAGTCTCGCCTGTGGTCCAGACTGGAGTGCAGTGGCGTGATCTAGGCTCACTGCAAGCTCCGCCTCCTGGGTTCACACCATTCTCCTGCCTTAGCCTCCCGAGTAGCTGGGACTACAGGTGCCTGCCACCATGCCCAGCTAATTTTTTTGTATTTTTAGTACAGATGGGATTTCACTGTGTTAGCCAGGATGGTCTCGATCTCCTGACCTCGTGATCCACCCGCCTTGGCCTCCCAAAGTGCTGGGATTACAGGTGTGAGCCACCGTGCCCAGCCTGTTTTAGCATCTTTTGAAGCAAAGATCACCTCGCTCCTGAGGCAAGGTAATGAGAAGGCTGTTCATTCCATAAGACAAAAGAAGGCTGGAGCCAACTTCCCAGGGAAGACTACTCCTTTGAGGAAGTCTTAAAAAGCAATAACCCTGGAGGCCCAGCAGCGAGATTAATTTGCTCTACCATCCCTGCTTACTCCCAATCTCCTATGAGTCATTTGTTTCCATCCTTAATGTCTAAACATGCAAATATTGCTGCACTTACTACTCATTAGTTTAGCTAAAGGAAGTGCCCTTTAATTATACCTCTAAATAATGAACCTCCTTCATCACCTTGACAATCAGTGCACACTTAGAAGGAAGCAAGGTCTCATTATGAAGCAGCTACTGCATCCCTTGGTTACTTAGAAGACAGTAGCTTTGAAGCAATAGAAGTGGCAGTCCAAAGACAAACAAGCCTTGTAATTGCACTAACTCTTTGTGGTTTTAGGTGCAAGAATAGGAAACGTTAACCAGAAACATATTACATGTGAGGGAAAAAAGGGAAACTAGCATTTTTGAGAGGCTATAGTGTTCCAATCCCTAAACTCTTGATTTACATACATTAGGTCTAAACTACACAGTTACTTTTGAGGTTAAAACTTAACTCCATGTTATAAATACTGAAATTGAGGCTCTGAAAAATTAAGTCATTTACCAAAGGTGTTGGACCAAGCACCATGCTCCAAAGCTCCAAGTTGTTTTCCATTATGTTCTTGTCTTGTTGAGAAGATTTAGATAGTTTGGCAGAACTGGGTATCCACCAAGTCTTCACTATATTTCTTCATTTGTCGATCTCAGCAGAAACTCACAGAAATAGTTTGCTACAGTGCAATCCCCAATGGCACTGGCAGACTGGAAAATACTATCTGTGAACATGTCTACATGGTTCAGAAGAATAAAACACACTGTGTCATAGGCAGGGAAGTCATTCCCACTATCTGACTAGCCAATTACCTTTCATCTTTCAAGACCATACTCAGGGGTCACATCCTTCAGGAATACTTTCCTGTAACTTCCTCCCCAATAGAGAGTTGACCTTACCTTCATGGTGAAAAGGTAAGAAAAGACTGTTACCACAGCATTTTTACACCTTATGATACTTATTTATTCACTGGTTTATTTCTTTCACTGCATTGGACTATCACGTCTTGTTCACCTTTTTAATTTTTAGGAGTTTCTAACACAAATATGTGTTTAATGAATGCTTCTTAATTTTTTAAAAAAATTATCTAAATGGCATATGCTGATGTTCTACACTGTGGTTCCCAAACAGTGGTCCCTATGTCTACAAGCACTATTTCAGCTATACAGGTACCATCTGAGGATGAAAACATCCAGAAAAAAAAAAAAAAAAAAGCTGTCCTTTAACAGGTAAATAGTCTGTACGTGTCCATGTATGAAATGCTATTCAACAATAAGATGAACTATTGACTCATACAACATGAACGAATCTCAAAAACATTATGCTAAGTGAGAGAACCTAGATAACAAAGACTACATATTATATTACTTAATTTACATTAAATTTCCATAAAAGGTGATTTGTAGAGACAGAAAGCAGATTAGTGGTGCCTAGGGCATGGGGTTGAAGTGGAAATCAACTGCAAATGAGCACAGACTTTTTTTGGATAATGGAAATGTTCTAAAACTGGATTGCAGTGATGGTTGCACAACTATATAAATTTACTTAACACCACTGAATTATACACTTACAACGAGTGAATCTTATGATGCATACATCATACTTCAATAAAGATTAAAAACAAGAACTGAAAAAAGAGGGAGGAAGGGAAGGGAAGGGAAGAAGGGAGGAAGGGAGGAGGGAGGGAGGGATGGAAGAGGGAGAGAGGAAGAAAGGAAGGAAGGAAGGGGGAAGGAGGAAGGAAGGAAGGAAGGAAGGAAGGAAGGAAGGGAGGCAGGCATATTCTCTGAGCCTAAGGTGTTAGAGGATGAAATTCATCAATGCCAGAGTTGCCAGAAATTGAGTTAATACCAATAAGAATGGAGATGCAGGAAAGGAGGTCAAAATCTGATCATAAACTCCCCTCAAATCCCTGAGTATTCACAGAACTGTGTATATACAGAGGAGATTTCAGGAACCCAGGGAAAGCAATGTCAGGAAAAGAAAATGAAAAGATCTGAGCAGGTATTTTAGCTACTGTTCACTGCAAAGGAGACAAATTTTGGAATTCCTCCAAGAAGGGCTAGGTAAACATCTAGAGTTTTCCAGTGAAATGCAGAAGAAATACACCTTAAAAGCACAGACTATGTGCCAGGATTTAAGGACTGGCCCAGGACTAAGGGTAAATCTAAACAAACACACCTCTATAAAGGATAAAACCAAAACTTCTACAAGTGCAAGGTAATCATCCAGTAATTTAACAAAAATCAACAATAACAGAATCCAGAGTTTCTACTATGTATTATCCATAATATCCAGTGTGCAATAAAAATCACTGGACATGTGAGGAAACAGGAAAATGTGACCTAAGGTCCAGAGTAAAATCATTCAAGAGAAACAGACCCTGATAGAACACAAATGTTGGAATTAGAAGAAAATAACTTTAAAACAGTATTCTACATGTTTACAAACTTAAAAGTAAGGATTGTCATAATGAATGAACTGATAGGGAATCTCAGCAGATAAATGAAACTATACAGAAATGTAAAATGTAGAGTGGAAAAATACAATATCTAAAGTGAAAATATGGATTTCGCACATAAGAGAATAGAAATGGAAGAAAGAGAGCCTCAAAAGTACCAAAGGACAGGAAAAAGTGAACAAGGCATTAAATAATTAATTGAAGAAGTGGTGGAAAACTTACTATGTTTGATTCAAAACACCATCGTAAAGATTGAATAAGATCAGCAAGCCCCAAGCCGAATAAATACAAAGAAAGCAATACCTAATCACACTATCCTCAACCTGTTGATGACCGAAAATAAAGATAAACTCTTTTTTTTTTATTATTATACTTTAAGTTTTAGGGTACACGTGCACAACGTGCAGGTTTGTTACATATGTATACATGTGCCATGTTGGTGTGCTGCACCCGTTAACTCGTCATTTAGCATTAGGTATATCTCCTAATGCTATCCCTCCCCCAACCCCACAACAGGCCCCAGTGTGTGATGTTCCCCTTCCTGTGTCCATGTGTTCTCACTGTTCAGTTCCCACCTATGGGTGAGAACATGCAGTGTTTGGTTTTTTCTCCTTGCGATAGTTTGCTGAGAATGATGATTTCCAGCTTCATCCATGTCCCTACAAAGGACATGAACTCATCATTTTTTATGGCTGCATAGTATTCCATGGTGTATATGTGCCACATTTTCTTAATCCAGTCTATCATTGTTGGACCTTTGGGTTGGTTCCAAGTCTTTGCTATTGTGAATAGTGCCGCAATAAACATACATGTGCATGTGTCTTTATAGCAGCATGATTTATAATCCTTTGGGTATATACCCAGTAATGGGATGGCTGGGTCAAATGGTAATTTCTAGTTCTAGATCCCTGAGGAATCGCCAACTGACTTCCACAATGGTTGAACTAGTTTACAGTCCCGCCAACAGTGTAAAAGTGTCCCTATTTCTCCACATCCTCTCTAGCACCTGTTGTTTCCTGACTTTTTAATGATCACCATTCTCACTGGTGTGAGATGGTATCTCACTGAGGTTTTGATTTGCATTTCTCTGATGGCCAGTGATGATGAGCATTTTTTCATCTGTCTTTTGCCTGCATAAATGTCTTCTTTTGAGAAGTGTCTGTTCATATCCTTCACCCACTTGTTGATGGGGTTGTTTGTTTTTTTCTCGTAAATTTGTTGGAGTTCATTGTAGATTGTGGATATTAGCCCTTTGTCCAATGAGTAGATTGCAAAAATTTTCTCCCATTCTGTAGGTTGCCTGTTCACTCTGATGATAGTTTCTTTTGCTGTGCAGAAGCTCTTTAGTTTAATTAGATCCCATTTGTCAATTTTGGCTTTTGTTGCCATTGCTTTTGGTGTTTTAGACATGAAGTCCTTGCCCATGCCTATGTCCTGAATGGTATTGCCTATGTTTTGTTCGAGGGTTTTTATGGTTTTAGGTCTAACATTTAAGTCTTCAATCCATCTTGAATTAATTTTTGTATAAGGTGTAAGGAAGGGATCCAGTTTCAGCTTTCTACATATGGCTAGCCAGTTTTCCCAGCACCATTTATTAAATAGGGAATCCTTTCCCCATTTCTTGTTTTTGTCAGGTTTGTCAAAGATCAGATAGTTGTAGATACGTGGCATTATTTCTGAGGGCTCTGTTCTGCTCCATTGGTCTATATCTCTGTTTTGGTACCAGTACCATGCTATTTTGGTTACTGTAGCCTTGTAGTATAGTTTGAAGTCAGGTAGCATGATGCCTCCAGCTTTATTCTTTTGGCTTAGGATTTACTTGACAATGTGGGCTCCTTTTTGGTTCCATATGAACTTTAAAGTAGTTTTTTTCCAATTCTGTGAAGAAAGTCATTGGTAGCTTGATGGGGATGGCATTGAATCTATAAATTACCTTGGGCAGTATGGCCATTTTCACGATATTGATTCTTCCTACCCATGAGCATGGAATGTTCTTCCATTTCTTTGTATCCTCTTTTATTTCTTTGAGCTGTGGTTTGTAGTTCTCCTTGAAGAGGTCCTTCACATCCCTTGTAAGTTGGATTCCTAGGTATTTTATTCTCTTTGAAGCAATTGTGAATGGGAGTTCACTCATTATTTGGCTCTCTGTTTGTCTGTTATTGGTGTATAAGAATGCTTGTGATTTTTGCACATTGATTTTGTATCCTGAGACTTTGCTGAAGTTGCCTATCGGCTTAAGGAGATTTTGGGCTGAGACGATGGGGTTTTCTAAATAAACAATCATGTCGTCTGCAAACAGGGACAATTTGACTTCCTCTTTTCCTAATTGAATACCCTTTATTTCTTTCTCCTGCCTGATTGCCCTGGCCAGAACTTCCAACACTATGTTGAATAGGAGTGGTGAGAGAGGGCATCCCTGTCCTGTGCCAGTTTTCAAAGGGAATGCTTCCAGTTTTTGCCCATTCAGTATGATATTGGCTGTGGGTTTGTCATAGATAGCTCTTATTATTTTGAGATACATCCCATCAATACCTAATTTATTGAGAGTTTTCAGCATGAAGCGTTGTTGAATTTTGTCAAAGGCCTTTTCTGCATCTATTGAGATAATCATGTGGTTTTTGTTGTTGGTTTTGTTTATATGCTGGATTACGTTTATGATTTTCGTATGTTGATCCAGCCTTGCATCCCAGGGATGAAGCCAACTTGATTGTGGTGGATAAGCTTTTTGATGTGCTGCTGGATTCAGTTTGCCAGTATTTTATTGAGGATTTTTGCATCAATATTAATCAGGGATACTGGTCTAAAATTCTGTTTGTTGTGTCTCTGCCAGGCTTTGGTATCAGGATGATGCTGGCCTCATAAAATGAGTTAGGGAGGATTCCCTCTTTTTCTATTGATTGGAAGTTTCAGAAGGAATGGTACCAGCTCCTCCTTGTACCTCTGGTAGAATTCAGCTGTGAATCGATCTGGTCCTGGACTTTTTTTGGTTGGTAGGTTATTAATAATTGCCTCAATTTCAGAGCCTGTTATTGGTCTATTCAGAGATTCAAATTCTTCCTGGTTTAGTCTTGGGAGGGTGCATATGTCAAGGAATTTATCCATTTCTTCTAGATTTTCTAGTTTATTTGCATAGAGGTGTTTATAGTATTCTCTGATGGTAGTTTGTATTTCTGTGGGATCTGTGGTGATATCCCCTTTATCATTTTTCATTGCGTCTATTTGATTCTTCTCTCTTTTCTTCCTCATTGGTCTTGCTAGCGGTGTATCAATTTTGTTGATCTTTTCAAAAGACCAGCTCCTGGATTCATTGATTTTTTGAAGAGTCTTTTTTGTCTCTATTTCCTTCAGTTCTGCTCTGATCTTAGTTATTTCTTGCCTTCTGCTAGCTTTTGAATGTGTTTACTCTTGCTTCTCCAGTTCTTTTAATTGTGATGTTAGGGCGTCAATTTTAGATCTTTCTTGCTTTCTCTTGTGGGCATTTAGTGCTATAAATTTCCCTCTACACACTGCTTTGAATATGTCCCAGACATTCTGGTATGTTGTGTCTTTGTTCTCGTTGGTTTCAAAGAACATCTTTATTTCTGCCTTCATTTCGTTATTTACCCAGTAGTCATTCAGGAGCAGGTTGCTTGGTTTCCATGTAGTTGAGCGGTTTTGAGTGCGTTTCTTAATCCTGAGTTCTAGTTTGATTGCACTGTGGTCTGAGAGACAGTTTGTTATAATTTCTGTTCTTTTATATTTGCTGAGGAGTGCTTTACTTCCAACTATATGGTCAATTTTGGAATAGGTGTGGTGTGGTGCTGAAAAAAATGTATATTCTGTTGATTTGGGGTGGAGAGTTCTGTAGATGTCTATTAGGTCTGCTTGGTGCAGAGCTGAGTTCAATTCCTGCATATCCTTGTTAACTTTCTGTCGCATTGATCTGTCTAATGTTGACAGTGGGGTGTTAAACTCTCCCATTATTATTGTGTGGGAGTCTAAGTCTCTTTGTAGGTCTCTAAGGACTTGCTTTATGAATCTGGGTGCTCCTGTATTGGGTGCATATATATTTAGGATAGTTAGCTCTTCTTGTTGAATTGATCCCTTTACCATTATGTAATGGCCTTCTTTGTCTCTTTTGATCTTTGTTGGTTTAAAGTCTGTTTTATCAGAGACTAGGATTGCAACCCCTGCTCTGATTTTATTTATTTATTTATTTATTGCTTTCCGTTTGCTTGGTAGATCTTCCTCCATCCCTTTATTTTGAGCCTATGTCTGTCCTGCACATGAGATGGGTTTCCTGAATACAGCACACTGATGGGTCTTGACTCTTTATCCAATTTGCCAGTCTGTGTCTTTTAATTGGAGCATTTAGCCCATTTACATTTAAGGTTAGTATTGTTATGTGTGAATTTGATCCTGTCATTATGATGTTAGCTGGTTATTTTGCTCGTTAGTTGATGCATTTTCTTCCTAGCCTTGATGGTCTTTACAATTTGGCATGTTTTTGCAGTGGCTGGTACCAGTTGTTCCTTTCCATGTTTAGTGCTTCCTTCAGGAGCTCTTTTACGGCAGGCCTGGTGGTGACAAAAATCTCTCAGCATTTGCTTGTCTGCAAAGGATTTTATTTCTCCTTCACTGATGAAGCTTAGTTTGGCTGGATATGAAATTCTGGGTTGAAAATTCTTTTCTTTAAGAATGTCGAATATTGGCCCCCACTCTCTTCTGGCTTGTAGAGTTTCTGCCAAGAGATCAGCTGTTAGTCTGATGGGCTTCCCTTTGTGGGTAACCCGACCTTTCTCTCTGGCTGCCCTTAACATTTTTTCCTTCATTTCAACTTTGGTGAATATGACAATTATGTGTCTTGGAGTCGCTCTTCTCAAGGAGTATCTTTGTGGCATTCTCTGTATTTCCTGAATTTGAATGTTGGCCTGCCTTGCTAGGTTGGGGAAGTTCTCCTGGATAATATCCTGCAGAGTGTTTTCCAACTTAGTTCCATTCTCCCCATCACTTTCAGGTACACCAATCAGATGTAGATTTGGTCTTTTCACATAGTCCCATATTTCTTGGAGGCTTTGTTCATTTCCTTTTATTCTTTTTTCTCTAAAGTTCTCTTCTCCATTTCATTCATTTGATCTTCCATCACTGATACCCTTTCTTCCAGTTGATCGAATCGGCTACTGAGGCTTGTGCATTCATCACGTAGCTCTCGTGCTGTGGTTTTCAGCTCCATCAGGTCATTTAAGGACTTCTCTGCATTGGCTATTCTAGTTAGCCATTCGTCTTATTTTTTTTCAAGGTTTTTAACTTCTTTGCCATGGGTTCGAACTTCCTCCTTTAGCTCAGAGTAGTTTGATCGTCTGAAGCCTTCTCCTCTGAACTCATCAAAATCATTCTCCGTCCAGCTTTGTTCCATTGCTGGTGAGGAGCTGTGTTCCTTTGGAGGAGGAGAGGCACTCTGATTTTTAGAGTTTCCAGTTTTTGTGCTCTGTTTTTCCCCCATCTTTGTGGTTTTATCTACCTTTGGTCTTTGATGGTGGTGACGTACAGATGGGATTTTGGTGCGGATGTCCTATCTGTTAGTTTTCCTTCTAACAGTGAGGACCCTCAGCCACAGGTCTGTTGGAGTTTGCTAGAGGTCCACTCCAGACCCTGTTTTCCTGGGTATCAGCAGCAGAGGCTGCAGAACAGCGGATATTGGTGAACAGCAAATGTTGCTGCCTGATTGTTCCTCTGGAAGTTTTGTCTCAGAGGGGTACCCAGCCGTGTGAGGTGTCAGTCGGCCCCTACTAGGGGGTGCCTCCCAGATAGGCTACTTGGGGCTCAGGGACCCACTTGAGGAGGCAGTCTGTCTGTTCTCAGATCTCAAGCTGTGTGCTGGGAGAACCACTACTCTCTTCAAAGCTGTCAGACAGGGACATTTAAGTCTGCAGAGGTTTCTGCTGCCTTTTGTTTGGCTATGCCCTGCCCCCAGAGGTGGAGTCTACAGTGGCAGGCAGGCCTCCTTGAGCTGCAGTGGGCTCCACCCAGTTCGAGCTTCCCGGCTGCTTTGTTTACCTACTCAAGCCTCGGCAATGGCAGGCACCCCTCCCCCAGCCTCACTGCTGCCTTGCAGTTTGATCTCAGACTGCTGTGCTAGCAATGAGTGAGGCTCCATGGGCATAGGACCCTCCGAGCCATGCGCAGGATATAATATCCTGGTGTGCCGTTTGCTAAGACCATTGGAAAAGCACAGTAGTATTAGGGTGTGAGTGACCCGATTTTCCAGGTGCCGTCTGTCACCCCTTTCTTTGATTAGGAAAGGGAATTCCCTGACCCCTTGCGCTTCCCAGGTGAGGCGATGCCTCACCCTGCTTCGGCTCACACTTGGTGCGCTGCACCCACTGTCCGACAACCCCCCAGTGAGATGAACTCGGTACCTCAGTTGGAAATGCAGAAATCACCCATCTTCTGCATTGCTCACACCGAGAGCTGTAGAATGGAGCTGTTCCTATTTGGCCGTCTTGGCTCCACCCCACAAAGATAAACTCTTAAGAGCACCCAGAGAAAAAGACACATTACATATGGGAAAAGACCAATGTGTATGACAAACAACATTTTACTGAAAACTTTGGAAACCAAAAGACAATGGAATGACAAAGGAAGTCCTTCAAGTAGAAAGGAAGGGATATCAGAATGAAAAACAGATTCATAGGAAAGAAAGAGCATTGGAAATGGTAATTATGTAAATAAATATAAAAGACTGTCCTTCCTTCTTTCATTTCTTTAAATGACCATGACTGTTAAATCCAATGATTATAACTGTGTATTGTGGGGCATATAATGTATTTAAGGGCAAAGGAACAATAGAACAACAACAAAAAAAGGATGGAGGTGTTAAATGAGTTCTACTGATGCAAAGTTCTTAAACTTTATGTGAAGTGTTACAATGTTAACTCTAAGAATACTGTGATAAGACAAAGATGCATATTAAGGAAGGCCCACTTTAGTTCAGAGTCTATGAGTACTCAGGCAGAGGGAGGAGTACTCCCAGGCAAAAAACTTCAAGCTCCAGATGTCATAGGTTTCTTGAAATAGACAGACAAAAGGGCAAAGGTAGTATCATTGGCAAGAAGTGTTCATTATATATGGGCCACAGGTAGGAAAGGAGAAATTGGACCAGGAATATCTAGAGAATGCTGAAGGAAAATGCTGTAGAGGTGCGTGAATAATGAAGGAGGGCCCAGTCTCACCTTCAAACCCTGAATTGGAAGTTGGGCACATGTCCAGAGTTGCTTATTTGGCATGAAACAGGATTCTCGAAAGCCTAGAGAGAAAATTCTGAGTTTTGGACCTGGGAAAGTAAGAGAGCACCAACAGATGTAAGTTTAAGGCATTTGGAGAATGACTTAGGAGTGTGGGATTTGCTGATTCCAGGATGCACACAATAGTGTCAGCCTTGCCTCAGTATGGACCTGTGCTAAGGCCCCAAGGAGTCGAGAGGAATACCTGAAAGAGCAGGTGCCTTCTTTCCCTTTATAAACAGAAAAATCACTCTCTATTCAAACTGTTGATGATAGTCATGGAAGTGATTAGGGTGAAAGAGTCTGAAAAAGTAATGGTTTTAGCCATAAATTAGATGTTTGAAGGGGAAAATTATAGGTAGTATTCATGAGTTGGGTGGGTATCCACAAAGATCTCAGAAATTATTGCTTATATGCACCAAGAGTCTCCCATATTTATTTGGAAAATACTTTGAATCCTCATTGCTTATCTCCAGGCCTCTCAGCCATTTTTCCCTCAAGAGGTAAACCAGCTTCTGAGAACAGCCCAATAGAGGCTTTCCTGCCAGTTTCCTTATAATCTTCTAAGCTAATTAAAGGTAAAACCATAGTTTGACCTCCCCTTCTCTGTATCAGTGAGAATGAGTTGGTGTTTGTTTCAACACTGTTCTGATTCCAGTGTCCAAAGTAGAAAACAGAGAACAGTGCTAGAACTATTCCTATGCTAGACCCCATGGCTCCACATGCCTGTCTTCTCTTCAGCAAGCAGTAATTTCTTATGTGTTCATGGGAAAGACAGAACTCTCCCTCTCCCAACAGAAAAGCCTAACGTCTGCCTCCTCAGCATCACATGAAATGTTAGATACTGAAGACCCCTTGTCCCTCTGTTTAGGCTGCCCTGGAAGTGGAGAGCTTAGTAATAGCCCTGTCACATGGTCTGCTTCTGTTTCCATCAAACACAACTATGTCAAATGTTTCATTAGTCACAAATACAGGGAACAATAAGGCTATAGCTATTTGGACACAAAGCAAAGACAGAGTCTTATATCTATTATCTAGACTCAAATAAAAAGTGAGCCCACAATAGGGTTATAAATATGAACTGGAACTTGAAGAATTATTTGATATCAGCCACTTATTTTTCTGCCTGTAAACATAGACATAAAATGAGTCTTATAAGCCAAGAGCAAAGATGCACATTCGGGTTTATTACAAAACACTAAAAATATCCCTCTGCCACATCTAGCAACAGTATGTCACATTAGGAACCCAGAGAAGAAGAAAAAAAAGCATTCCTTAGGGAGTTTGAGTGTAGAACAAGGCTGTGTCTACACTGTGCCCCATGAAGTACATATTCATTCACTTATCCATTCATCAAGAAGTTTTGGTCAAGATCAAATTTAAAAATGAACAAACATATTTCAGGGACAAATGTTCATTATGGAGCAGTCAAAGGAATGTAGGCTTTGGAGTTTCTCAGATCTGTTTGCCACTCAGCTCTGTCTCTTATTATCTGTGTGACCTTAGGTGAGTCACTTCACTTCTCTGAGCCTTAGTATCCTCATTTGTAAAATGAGGATAAATATGAACACCTCAGGAGTGGTTATGAAGATTCAATGATGGTAATGAATGTAAAGCAAAATTAACATAGTGACAGCAGAACACTTGACCCATGGAAATGTTTTGTTGGCCATCACGGTCTCACACTCACATGCAGAGATAGACAGATGACTGACTGAGATTTAGAAACTGTAGATGAAGTAACCACAGTTCTGCTGTGGAATGCATTTAATACGTGCTTTTTTTTTTTTTTTTTTTTTTTTTTAGCAGCAGCTACTTCATACCAGTCACTGGAGCAGGGAGTATACTGGCGAACTGGCAAACAGAAGTATGGCAAACAGAACTGACAAACAGAAAATCACATTCAGATTGTGGTCTTAAAACACCATTTGCACTAAAAGATTCCAGAGTCTCTTAAAGAAACAGCTGATTCTGAGTTGGGGCAAAAATGAACAAAATAAGCCTAGATCTGATTGGCTATGTGCAGGAAATACTGGGACAGAGGAACACATGAGTGTGCAAATAACAAAATCCAGACTGGGAAAATCTATTATCCTGTGTTCTTCAACAGATAAATTGCAAGGAAAAGAAAACAATGAATGTATAAGCTACAGATTAAAAAGTTTTGAAAAACATAAATTAGTTTTTTCATGGACAAAACTCAACTACAGTGTCTAGGGATACAGATTTAAGTGATAAAATGGGAGAGAGGTGAAGACTGTAAAAGTCAAGACAATGGATACTTTTGGGAAGAGAGTAGTAGTTGAGAGGAGAGTGGTGGTTGGGAGGAGAATCGTGGTTGACATTGGGATGGGGTGCAGGGAAGGGGCTTCTGCACAGCTGGTAAGGTTTCAATTATTGGCCTGGGTGTGGCTATAAGGATGCTCACTCCATAATAGTTCATTAAGTTCTGCACTTGTTTTGTGTAGCTTTATGCATCTTGCTTTAGGATAAAAAGCAACTTAAGTGGAAGAAACAGCATGTGTTGAGGGCTGCTGTGTGCTAGAGAGTTTTCTGGGCCCTATGGCAGTGAGTGAGGCTCAATCCTGGCCCTGAAGCTTAGAGTTTAGTGGGAGAGAAAGGTAATTACAGTACCATGATCAGGGATAGACAGGAGCCACATACAGAAGACTGTCTGGGAGGGATCACCTAACTGGGCCTGGGGGTAGTGGAAGGCTTGCATGGAGCAGCAGGGAGAGGACCTGACAATGTTTAAACACCCACCACACCCCGGCCCATTCTAAAGATACTGGGATGAAATCAACCCTGTGTTGGCTCTAAAAGGGAACCAGAATGGGCTTTTTGGGAGGATGTAGGCAGATAAATTGTTCACAGGCCCTTGCTATGCATTTTACACATCTTCACCTCAGTGTCTCATTACCCATTACTCAGATGTGAGGTAACTGTGGCTTGGAAAGATTAGAAAACAACTGGCTCTGTATCAACTGGCCAGGAAATAGAAACGCTGAGTTTTGAATCAAGTGTGCATTCTTTTGCCAGAGAAATAGTGCGTCTAGGGTCCCGGACAGGTACAGGTCGTTAGTCTATAGGAGTGAGCAGCCCAGATCATGAGATGAGGAGGATGGCAACAGACAAGAAAAAAAAGAAGTACATGTGTGTGTGTGTGTGTGTGTGTGTGTGTGTGTGTGTGTGTGTGTGTGTGTGTGTGTGTGTGTGTGTGTGTGTGTGTATATATATATATATATATATATATATATACACACACACACACACACACACACACACACACACACACACACACATATATACAGCCTCTGCCTCTAACCAGATCCTCTGGGTCTCTGCTCTGTGGGCCATATGGAATCCACACCGGTCATTTCTCTGTGTATTCTCTCACCTCCAAGGATATGGGTGGAGGGCCTTTAAATCTCCTTATGAAGGAAGGATCCCTTCCTATTGGAGTCAGGGCTGTACATGAAGGCCCCCAGTTCCTCCATGCTAGACACATCCCCAGAAGCAGCACCTAATGGGCAACACTGCGGAATCATTTTCCACCCAGATCAGGGGCATCCCACGGACACTTATTCCAGAAAACTGAAGCTGGGCCACAAAGAAGGCTCTCATCCTTGCTGCTATTTGCCCTGGACCACTTCAAAATGTGACACATCGGGCTGCAGTGAGCTGAGATTGTGCCACTGTACTCCATCCTGGGTGACAGAGCGAGACCTTGTCTCAGAAAAAAAAAAAAAAAAAAAACATGGCACATCCACTGGGACTATGTTCTGGAGAGGCCCTTGGCTTCAAGAGTGAAATTCTGTGACTTCTCACTTAACAGTTATAGGAAGTCTTTCACCAAGCAGTGTCATAGGCTGAACATTGATACTACGATCTGCTCAGTAACGAGGAGCAGACCCCACACCTCACAAAGGTCTCGCAGCCTAGCCTGCCCAGCTGTGATGTCTAGTACCTGCCCACATGTAGCCAGGAAGCATTCATGTGAATGGCTGATAAGAGCGGCCAAGCCAGTGAGACTTTCTCACTGCACTTGATCACTAAGGGCTGTCCCATTTCTGCATTTCTTCTAATAGCAGTTTATCCAGAGAGACAGAGAGAGGCAGAACATTGGAAACCTGTTCATTAAGAAGATTTTAGCACGGTGTCAACCCCCGTAAGTCATACGTCCCTAATAAACTTAAAGCTTTTTATCTGTGGAGTAAAACACAAATGGTCACTTAAAATCTTGAAAAGCATACTTTATATGACAACCAAATCAAGTGTTAATTTGTCTTTCTCTGTCTCCTGGCCAGTCTGGTGCCCCTCCGGCCTTCTCTTTACTCCCTTCTACTTTGCCTTCATGATCTTTCTAAAAACCACCACTGCCTTGCTAAGACACATTTTCCAAATCCTCATTTCATCCTTGCCCTGGATTTGCTGGTGGTAAGGTAATCTAATCATAGCTAACATGTAATGAGCACTTAAATGTTTCAGTGGTATCAATTCATTTAATTTGAGGGATATTGATATACCAGCAATGACATTAGAGAGAGATATTAGAAATACTTGAATGAACTTTTAAAAATTTTAGTAGTTACCCATTTATTTTAATGCATAGGAGAAAAGGTGTAACTTACACATTAAAACATGACTTCACAGTTGTAAAATGAAATAAAATTATTTTAGACTGGGTGTGGTAGCTCACGCCTGTAATCCCAACACTTTGGGAGGCCAAGGCGGGCAGATTGCTTGAGTCCAGAAGTTGGAGATCAGCCTGGGCAACGTGGCAAAACCGCTCTCTAATAAGAATCCAAAAAATTAGCCAGACATGGTGCTACACATCTATAGTCCCAGCTACTCAGGAGGCTGAGGTGGGAGAATCACCTGAGCCCAGGAGGTTGAGGCTGCAGTGAGCCGAAATTGCACCACTGCACTCCAGCCTGGGCAACTGGAGTGAGACGCTGTCTCAAATACTTAAGTAAAAGTAAGCTAGTTTAAATAAAAATATTAAGAAAGTGACAGAAGAGGTATGTGAATTTGTTCATTTACTTAACAAATACTTCCTTTGGGAGACTCCTACCTGGCAGGCATTTCTGTGGAGCCTGCAAATACAACATTGAACAAAGAAGACAAAGACCCTGGACCTTCAAAAGACCCAAAAAAGCCCTTTAAGAAACAAGTTATCCAAATGGCCAATAAACACACGTAAAGGTGCTCAACTTCATTATATGTTGGGGAAATGCAAAATTTAAATCCACAGTGAGCTATACCAAGCACCCACCATAATGGCTTAAAAAAAAATAAATTTCAAAAGAGATGATACCAGGATTTGGCAAGAATGCAGAGCAACTGGGAGTTTTGTATATTGCTTGTGGGAGTATAAATTGGTACAGCCTCTTTAGAAAACTATTTGGCAATATCTGCTAAAGCGGGCCCAGTAGTTCCATTCCTAGTCACCTACCCAGCCGAAAAATACATGTGTTTATTAAAAGACATGTATAATCTTTGAGCAATAAACAGGTCTCAGAAAATGCTAATTGAAAGAACTAAAACCTATTCTGGAGCAAAGAAGTAGCAGCGGCAATAAGACATTATCCATGTCCATGAGGATAGTAGATTACTGTCATTGAACACACTTTCTCTGAGTGTATACTGTGTTCTGGATTTTATGCTGGACGCTTGAAATACAGGACTAAATCCAAGGTGTCCCTTAACCTCTCAGGAACACACAGTCACTCACCTTACAACCAGAAAAGCTAAGCCTTTTGAACTTTGCTCAAAGAAATTTGGATGAATGAACATCAAGATGGGTAACCTTGGTTTACATTCTATATAAATATGTTTATGTAAATAGTATCTCTCCATAAGAGTAGGAACTTTGTATTATTTCCTACTATATCCCCCAGAACTAGAGCTGTGTCTGACTCATAGTAGGGGCTCTGTAAGTATATGCTGTCTGCCTGGTTGGATGGATGGATGGATGGAAATGAACAGGGATGAGAAGAGCTCCAGAATCTGCAGACAAACTGCCCCCGCAGGAGACAGGGGACTCCCACCATATAAAGGAATATTCCACAGAAGAGTCTGACAAACCCTACTTATCAGGGTTGTCTGCCAAGGACACTCACCAGCAGTTGGAATTGTTACAATCAACCATGGAGGTTTTTATTTTTTTCACTTCAGACATAGATTAATATTTCAGGAGAACAAGGTTCTAATTTACAACCAAGACCTTTGGTTTAATCAGCAAAGGAAAAAACGTCTGGGAACATTATTGCCTCACTCATGTTTTCCCATTGCCTTCCTGGCTGGGTTTACCTTTTTGGCCTTTAATTATTCCATTCTCTCACATGGCTTTATCTCAGACACTTCGGGATGAAAATGTGATTTGCCATTTAGAGGTTTCAGCAAAAATCACACTCAAGTCAGCAAATTGAGAGCCTGATAAAGCAACAGAGGGTTGGGGCAAGGCTTTGAAAGGATGTCTTTAAAGTGTTTTTAATTAAATCTGTGTTATTATTTAGGATAGTCAAGAATCATTTACAGGCAATATAGGGTCTCTTTGGAATCTCAGTCATGCTGTTCTTATAACTGTAGCATTAGTCATGCAACCTAAGGGCAATGTGACAAGTTTGCTTCTTCAGCCAAATATTTGTGAGTAGCACCTACTGTGTATACCTACCTTATACTAGGCATGAACCAGGTTCTGTGGGCCGTCACCAAGAAATACTTGGCAAAGCTGTCCTATCATGTCAGGGGCTGGACAACATAACCAGGTCATAATATAACAGAAGGGGGAAGGAGAGGGTCAAAGGCACAAACATCACCTAAGCCTCTCTGTGCTAGGATCTGCTCTACGAGCTTTGCCTACATTTACTCTTTTATTCGTCACAGCAGTCTGTGAAGAGGAATCATTATTCCATGTCATAGATGGGAGACCTATGAGAATTGAAATGGCTTATCTTAGCCATACAGCTCATTAACCGGTCTCTCTAAAAACCTACTCTTACTAGGGCATATCTTGATGCCAACCTTTTAGACCACGTTGAAGGGTGTTATTAGAACCAATTCCCCAAATTCATTATTAGATTAATAAAGGGTGATGTTGAGGACAGAGCTGTCCACATCACAGAATGTCTTTTTTTGAAAACCCACAGAAGGATTTCTATCTGGACTCCATACAAGAAAAAAATCTGTTTTTCTTTAACAACAGATAACTTTTAATTTTATGGACATAATAAGACAATATTACATCAAGTTTCCTTTTGTATTGGCTGCTACAAAGCTTAGAACCAATTGTGTGACCCTCTGCTAAAGAATATAAACTCTGTCATCATACATTCAGGGTGCAAAGCATATACACCTCCTTCAAGGGTTCATCTTAACATTCCCTCTTAGTCTGCATTCCCAAAAAGCAAAGCCCAGTGCAAAAGTTTATGACGTTCTCCTTCACAATAAAGATCACAAGCCCAGGGAGAGGACTGTGAGAGGTAAGAGAATGAGGGAGGTAAACAAAAGGGTAGGTTATCAAGCCGGATACCTCTTCTGATCAAGTTCAGCTGATTGCTCTTCCAAAGCAATTATTTTTTGTTTGTTTTCATTTTGACCTTCAACTTTTAACTTCTGGGGTACATGTGCAGGATATGCAGGCTTGTTACATAGGTAAATGTGTGCCATGGTGCTTTGCTGCACAGATCATCCCATCACCTAGGTATTAAGCCCAGCATCCATTAGATATTCTTCCTGATGCTCTCTCTTCCCCTACCTCACCCCCAACAGGTCCCAGTGTGTGTTGTGCCCCCTAATGTGTTGATGTGTTCTCGTCATTCAGCTCTGACTTATAAGTGAGAACATGCATGTTTTGTTTCCAGTTCCTATGTGAGTTTGCTAAGGATAATGGCTTTTAGCTCCATTCATATCCCTGCAAAGGACATGCTCTCATTCCTTTTTATGGCTACAGAGTATTCCATGGTGTATATGTACCACATTTTGTTTATCCAGTCTATCATTGATGGACATTTGGATTGATTCTATGTCTTTGCTATTGTGAATAGTGCTGCAATGAACATATATGTGCATATATCTTTATAATAGAATGATTTATATTCCTTCGGATATATACCCAGTAATGAGATTGCTGGGTCAAATTGTATTTCTGCCTCTAGATTTTTGCAGAACCGCCACACTGTCTTCCACAATGGTTGAACTAAATTACACTCCCACCAACTGTATAAAAGTGCTTCGTTTTCTCTGTAAACTCATCAGCATCTGGTGTTTCTGGACTTCTTATTTTTAGCCATTCTGACTGGCATGAGATGGTATCTCATTGTGGTTTTGACTTGCATTTCTCTAATGACCAATCAGTGATGTTGAGCTTTCTGTAAATATGTTTGTTGGCTGCAAGAATGTCTTCTTTTCAGAAGTATCTGTTGATGTCCTTTGCCTACTTTTTAATGTTTTTTTTTCCTTGTACATTTGTTTAAGTTTCTTGTAGGCTCTGGGTATTAGACCCTTGTCAGATGGATAGATTGCAAAAATGTTCTCCCATTCTATAGGTTGTCTGTTCACTCTGATGATAGCTTCTTTTACTGTGCAGAAGCTCTTTAGTTTAATTAGATCCCATTTGTCAATTTTTGCTTTTGTTGCAATTGTTTTTGGTGTTTTTGTCATGAAATCTTTGCCCATGACTATGTCCTGAATGTTATTGCCTAGGTTTTCTTCTAGAGTTTTCATAGTTTTGGGTTTTACATTTGAGTATTTAATCTATCTTGAGTTAATTTTTGTATAAAGGTGTAAGGAAGGGGTCCAGTTTCAATTTTTTGCATATGACTAGCCAGTTCTTCCAGCACCATTTATTAAATAGGGAATCCTTTCCCCATTGCTTATTTCTGCAAGGTTTGTCAAAGATCAGATGGTTGTAGGTGTATGGTCTTATTTCTAAGTTATTTATTCTGTTCCATTGGTCTATGTGTCTGTTTTTGTACCAGTACCATGCTGTTTTGGTTACTGTACCCTTGTAGTATAGTTTGAAGTCAGGTAGCATGATGCCTCCAGCTTTATTCTTTTTTCTTAGGATCGTCTTGGCTATTCAGGCTCTTTTTTGGCTCCATATGAATTTTAAAATACTTTCTTCAAATTCCATGAAGAATGTCAATAGTAGTTTCATGGGAATAGCATTGAATCTATAAATTACTTTGGGCAGTGTGACCATTTTCACAACATTGATTCTTCCTATTCATGATCATGGAGTGCTTCTCCATTTGCTTGTGTCCTCTCTGACTTTCTTGAGCAGTGGTTTGTAGTTCTCCTTGAAGAGGTCTTTCACTTCCCTTGTTAGCTGTATTCTTAGGTATTTTATTCTCTTTGTAGCAATTGTGAATGGGAGTTCCTTAATGATTTGGCTCTCTGCTTGTCTGTTCTTGGTGTATAGGAATGCTAGTGATTTTTGCACATTGATTTTGTATCCTGAGACTTTGCTGAAGTTGCTTATCAGCTTAAGAAGCTTTTGGGCTAAGGTGATGGGATTTTCTAGATATAGGATCATGTCATCTGCAAGCAAAGATAACTTGACTTCCTCTCTTTCTATTTGAATACGTTTCATTTCTTTCTCTTGCCTGATTTCCTGGGCCAAACTTCCAATACAATGTTGAATAGAAGTGATGAGAGAGGGCATCCTTGTCTTGTGGCAGTTTTCAAGGGGAATGCGTCCAGCTTTTACCCATTCAGTATGATATTGGCTGTGTGTTTGTCATAGATGGCTCTTAGTATTTTTAGTATGTTCCTTCAATATCTAGTTTATTGAGAGTTTTTAACATGAAGGGATGTTGAATTTTATCAAAGGCGCAGGGTGGGTACTGACCTGTTGTTGGCCTGGATGCTCCTGTAGGGGGTGTCTGGAGACCCCTGTTGGGAGGTCTCACCCAGTCAGGAAGGACAGGATCACGGACCTACTTAAACAAGCAGTCTAGCCGGGCGCGGTGGCTCACACCTGTAATCCCAGCACTTTGGGAGGCCGAGGCAGGTGGATCACCAGGTCAGGAGTTCGAGACTAGCCTGGCAAACATGGTGAAACCCTGTCTCTACTAAAAATACAAAAATTAGCCGGACGTGGTGGCATGCACGTGTAATCCCAGCTACTCGGGAGGCTGAGGCAGCAGAATCACTTGAACCTGGGAGGCAGAGATTGCAGTAAGCCGAGATTGCGCTATTAACCTCTAGCTTGGGTGACACAGCGAGACTCCGTCTCAAAAAAAAAAAAAAAAAAGCAGCAGTTTGGGTGCTTTTTGGTAGAGCAGGTGTGCAGTGTTGGGGGTAAGCCTTCCTCGTGCAGATAGCTTGGACTCTCCAGAGCCAGCAGGCTGGAAAAGCTGAGTTGACTGAACTGCAGAGATGTTGGCCACCCTTCCCATCAGGGGCTCCATCCCAGGGAGGGATCAGAGTTTTATTCATATAACCGTGGCTGGAGTAGCTGATATTCTTGCAGGGAGGCCCCGCCCAGTCAGGAGGGATGGATTGGGGGTCCCATTTGAAAAAGCTATCTGGCCACGATCTGGCACAGCCTCTGTGCTGTGCTATGGGGGATTGCTTCTTGACCGAACCACCTGGACTCCCCGAAGCCAGCAGGCTAGAATGGCTGAGTCAACCTCACCGCAGAAATGGCGGCCGCCCCCACCTCAGGAGCTCCTTCGTCTCAGGCATTCTCCAGCCTGCTGCCCCTGCTGGCTGGAATTCCAAGCCAGTGGGTCCTAACTTGTGAGGTGCCATGGAAGTGGGGTCCACAGAACGACACTTCTCAGCTCCCTGGATTCAGCGTGCTTTCTAGGGGAGTGTACGGATGGATCTCCTGCCTTGCTAGGATTCCTGGGGCCAGAGTCTATAAAACTCCTGTGTCTCTGAGTGAGCCTGAGTGACTGCTCTGCCAAGACTCCACACAGTTCTGTGTATCAGACCCAAGACCCTGATGGCATGGACTCATGAGGGAATCTCCTGATCTGCAGGTTGCAAACATCTATGGAAGAAGCCTGTTTTTCCGGGAGGGGTCATACAATCACTCACAGCTTCCCTTGGCTGGCGTTGGGGGTTCCTTTGGCTCTGCACCACTCCAGGGTGGGCTGTCGCCCCACCCTGCTTTTCTTCCTTCTCCATTGGTCGAGTCTTCCACATATTCAGTCCCAATGCGAGAACCTAGATATTTCGGTTGAAGGTGCTGAATTCACTTGCTGTTTTCATTCTCTATGCGACATGGACTGCAGCTGTTTCTAATTGGTCATCTTGGACTCTCCCCCAAGACATTTTCTAATAATCTAAAGCAATTACTAACTAAAAATAATTAACTATTGTGTCTTGTGTGAGAAGAGAAAGAGAGAAGAGTTTATCCACTGGCGCCGGTCTCCAATCAGCCCAAGATTTTTTCCAGGAGCATTCATTCCCCTGCATACCTGAGTGGCAGGGGCATGAATTCTGCCACTCTTCAGGGACAATCAGGGAGCCCCCCTAATGGAGTGAGGTGCTGTTGGGTTGCACCTTTGGGAAGGCCATCCCTGGGCAGCAGCTGGGTGAACCACACAGAGTATTTGCCATGAAGGCAGCCAGTGCCAAGTGGCTATGCCCTCACCTTTCCTGCCCCAGATGGTGCCGAGCTCAGAGGGGAGCCCAGAGACATGTATGATACATCCAGTTTCCCTTCCATGACTACTATTTCTTTTTAAAAGAAATCTTGTATTGATTTTATTTTCACACGCCATATGCAGTTTTGGTGGGTCAAGGTACAAATAAAATTAAACAATTATTTGTTTTGTGCTAATTCACTCTCTTTAATGAAAGTTGTATCCTCAAGGCATCCCTTCTCTTTTATCCCCTGGAGTGACCCAGAGTGGCTAAAGTGGGTACCTGAGGATGTCTTGTCACAACCACTAGCTGTTGTCACCACCTCTTTACCACACTTGAATGGAATGTCTCAGGCCAAGTGTAAAGATTTTGTCTCCTGAAGGATTTCCTCTCAGCCTTGGTTACTATTGTCATTGGAAATCCAAGATTGTACAAAGACAGCATGCCTTTGGAATCCCCAGCACTGAGCACTCTGTCTGGCATTGTGAGCACTTGAATGTTTTTTTTTTTTTTCACTAAACCAAATAATTAACAATCATTATATCAAAATAATAACCACTTATTGAGCATTTACTATATGCCCAACAGTGCACTGGCTGGTTTGCCTTGTTTAATCTTCACACGACTCAACTATTACCAGCTGTGGCTCAGTAATATAATCTGATGAGAAAACCTACTTTCTATGGTTATAAATTTTGCTAGAAATAATTCATATACCTGACTCTGAAAAGCAGGGAGCTTCCACTAACCCACTATGGAGCCCTTACAGAGTTTGTCATCTGAAGACGCTTCTCTTTCTCTTGACTCCCTTGGTCTCAAGGTTTGCCTTTTCAACTGCATGAGCCACAGCCCCATCTACTGACTGTAATAAAAATAATCTACCTTTCTGGAATTCAGCAGCAAAGCAGACTTGAATTACTTACTGTCTTCAAGGACCCCAATGTGTAATTAGTTTGATTGGACCTTATAATTAAATGGTCAGCCAAGGACATGGGAGGATGCCTTTGGCTTGGGCATTCTTTTCTTTTTCTGGGCTGAGAATTGTAACCTAAGAAACAAAGGCCCACCTGGGTGCTGAGCTGCCCAATGGCCTGGGATACAGAGGGAGCATTTGGAGATAGTGAGGCTGCTCTTTATGCAGGACAGCTCTGCTCACTGACAGAATTGCCTATGGTGTAGGCAGGGGGTGGTAAAAATCACCCCATCCTCAAATACTTCTCACTGAGCTTCTCTGATTGCCCTGCCCTGATACCTGAAGTTCTGCCTCTTGTTATGCATGGGATACAGGTACCTAATAACCCTATAAAAATGCAAAGGTTCTGGCTGGGCGCGGTGGCTCACACCTGTAATCCCAGCACCTTGGGAGGCCAAGGCAGGCGGATCACGATGTCAGGAGATCGAGACCATCCTGGCTAACACGGTGAAACCCCGTCTCTACTAAAAAATACAAAAAAAATTAGCCGGGCATGGTGGCGGGAGCCCGTAGTCCCAGCTACTCAGAAGGCTGAGGCGGGAGAATGGTGTGAACCTGGGAGGTGGAGATTGCAGTGAGCCGAGATCATGCCACTGCACTCCAGTCTGGGTGACAGAGCGCGACTCCGTCTCAAAAAAAAAAAAAAGTTCTCATTGAGAAGTAGGAAAGATTGGAAATTAGGGAACTTCATGGGGAGCTCAGGGCTCCCAAGTGGGGTTTCAGAAATTCAGAGTCAGCTTGTAAGCCTTGAGGACTTTGGAAACAAGTATCTTTTCTTTTGTCCACTCGGTATAACACTCAGGCATTTCTTCTACTTGACTGTCAGAGGCTGGTCCAAAAAGCAGCCTTATTGGCAATTGTTTAAAGATCCAGAAAATATCTGGGTAATATATAGGACCCAGAAAGAAAGACTTACTTCAAAATTAGGAATGCACTCAGAATATCTGTGAGGGAAGGACAAACTTTCTGATATGAGCAATCCCATCATGGAACCAAAGTAAACCATTCAAGCAGGATTCTACAGTCATGAATGTAAAACAAGGATTATACTAAAGGACAAGAAATTGGGATGTTTCTGAATCAGAGGAGTGTTGGACCTGTCTATTCTTTGCCTGTGTTTGATTAGTGTTGTGTTTTTATTGTTGGTTTGGTTTTCGTGTTTGCTCAGTTGGCTGGAAAAGCCAGCCAAGGAAGAAGTACCTCCTAGAGTTAGGAAAGCTGGGCTCTGGTCCCAGTCCCCCAACCTCATAAGCTGCCTCTGATAAAATCATTGTACTTCTTCTGGCCTTACTTTTTTCATTTGTAGAACGCATATTATACCCACTCATCCTCCCAGGGAGACTGAGGAGAAAATGGAATATTGTGGGGGTACTTTGAAAATAATAAAGTATTATTTTATTAATGGAAAATGATTAGTGCTGTTGCCATTAACCATGGCTATTAAGAATCTATTAATACAAATTAACCCTAAATCTGAGAAATGGAGTATAAATAAATAAATAATACCTCAATTAACAGGTTTAAATAATTTAAATCATTATGATTGAGTACCAGTCTTGTTCCTCTCACTTCTAGTTGAGTGTTCGGGTGAAGGGAAGGAACCCCTGACACTGTTTAATGGAGCGAATCTTGCTGTTGAGAGAGCCAGCCCTTCACTTAACACACATGGTGCCCAAGTTACCTCATTCCCAAATCAGTCACTCTCGCTCCCTCCACCCACCTTGCTCTTGTTCTCTTTCTCTCTCTCCTGCATACTTTCTAGCTTGCCAATAATTAAGTTCCTGAAATTCCATCGCTTCCTCATTAAGCTAAGGGATAAAAAAGATTCAGTTCAGATGTTTGCAAAAGCAGCCCTGGTCACTCTAATGCTCTTTGGAGGCTGTTGGCTTCAATGGCCACCACACAAGGATAACTTCCTCATACCAGTCCTCCTGCAAACTAGCTTTCTCCTGCCTAGCCTGAAGGCTAGATGCAGGAAGGAGGGGCACCCTTGCGTCCTTAGGGATTAAATGAAATCCTTCAGGAGGCCTCGGCTCCTCTCCCAGACAAACTCTGTAAGAGCTCCACAGTGGGTTAATGGGAGCTCCATGCTTTTCAGAGTCAGTTGTATGAATTTTTTCTAGCAAAATTTATAACCATAGAAAGCAGATTTTCTCATCAGATTATGTAACTGAGCCACAGCTGGTAAGAGTTGAGTTGTGTTTCCCAAGGCCCTCCCCCATCCCACAGTGTCTAGTTCCATTTGACCTACAAGAATCCTTACACAGACACTCTATCTAAATTCTCATCCAATAAATGATTGTTTTTCTTTTTCTTTCTTGAGTGATAGTACTGCTTAGTGGTTTAGAGCAGAACTTCTCAAACTTTAATGTGCATGTTAATTGCCTGGAGAACTTGTTAAGATTCAGATTCAGAAGGCCTGGGGTGGAGTCTATGATTCTACATTTCTAACCAGCTCCCAAGGGATGCCTGTGCTGCTGGTTCATGGCCCACAGTTCAAACAGCAAGGCTGTAGACACAAACTCATTGTGTGACCTTGGACATGTTATTCCACCTCTCTGAGCTTCAGTCTATTTGTAAAATGGAGAAAATAATAGTAATACCTCCAAGAATTATTGGGAGAATAGGCAATGCAAAGATCTTAGCCCAGGGTATGGCACAAAATGTATGAAAGCAGGCTGTGCTTATGGTGGTGGTGGGTGAAGGGTAAAATAAAAAAAAGGGAACCTTCTCCCAAGTGGGCCTTTCCCCAGGGAGATGTCTCAGAGACTCAGAAGGGCACATCTTTCAGGCTCAGCACTGTCTGACCTGAAAGTCAACTAATTCTACACCTCTAAATGGAGCAAATTGTAGCAAATGAACACAGGCTTGTGGGGCTGAGCAGTGAAGGATGCAGGCCTGTTTGCATACAGGGTGGACAGAGGGCAGCTACTGACCCCTGTACCCCACAGTTCACTGTGAAGGCAATCAGGAATTGAGCCCTTATTAAACAGCTTGGGGAGTCTTAGGCATGCAGAAGCCACCAAGCAGAGGTGGTCTTTGGTTATCCTGTGTGTGGTCAGCCCAGCACTTTTAAACACCTTTTGGAAGATGAGCTTTTTGTTTGTTTGTCTAAAGTAATCGTGAATTACACATATTGATAAACACTCTTCAAAATACTGAGAGAATCAGAAATCAGAGCACATTGTGCCTGGCATCTATGAAGAATTTCAGGGCAGGGGATGGGGTGCAGTGGAGTGTGGAGCTGGCCTTGGAAAGCTGATTGGTCGGGAGAAGTGGAAGAAGGAGATGAGACAGCAGAGCAGAAGTGGCGTACACAAAGTCTAGTATAAAAGGGGAACATTGAGGAAATCAGTTTGTGTAGAGAAGCAAGGATTGTGTGTTGAGCAAGATGAGTGTGTTGGTTTCCTATTGCAACCATATAATATACCACATATGTAGTGACTTCAACATAAGTTTATTATCTTACAATCTTGGAGGTCAGATGTCTGAAATGGGTCTCCGGGGCTAAAATCAATCAAAGTATTGGGAAGGCTGTGCTCCTTCTGGAGGCCCTAGAAGAGCTTCTGTTTCCTTCTACTTTACAGTTTACAACACGCCATGGCTTATAGCCCCTTTCATCTTTAAGGTCAGCCACTGCATTATTCAACCTCTTCTTCATTCATCACATCATGTCTGGCTCTCCTGCCTCCCTCTTTAATTGTGAGGACCTTTGTGTAGCATTGGACCCACCTAAATGGTCCAGGATACTCTCCCCATCTCAAGATTCTTCATTTAATCACTTCTGAAAAGTCCTTTTTGCTGTTTAAGTACAGTCATGTGCCACATAATCACATTTCAGTCAATGATAGACTGCATATAGGAAGGTAGTCCCATGAGATTATAATACTGCATCACCATTTTACATTTTTTATATTTACTTGTGTCTAAATAAACACATACTTACCATCATGTTACATCTGCCTACAGTATTTGGTACAGTAACATCCTGTACAGGTCCATAGCCTAGGAGCAATAGGCTGTACCATAGAGCCTAGGTGTGTAGTGGGCTATGCCGTCTAGGTTTGTGTGAGTGCACTCTATGATGTTCGACAATGAAGAAATAACCGAAGGACGCATTTCTTAGAATGTGTCCTTGTTGCTAAGCGATGCATGACTGTAACATATTCACAGGTTTCAGAGATTAGGACATGAACCTATAAGGGGGCCATTATCCTGACAACACAATAGGAATGCTCTTAATGAGCCAGCTCTCCAGGATGTTGTTAGAAATTCAACTTTTTAAGAAAATTTCTTAAAAGGAACAAAATTATTATCCAACAGTTAAAGACAGCAGAAAAAAGAATTTTTCTTGATTCGGCTATAGCCCCTGGTTTATAAGTAGAAGTTTACCCTCACATGAGGACCTAGGACCCACAGTATGTGGCATAGTGGTGGGGTCTCCTTCCAAGGGGGCTCCTTAGGAAGAACTGCAGGAAAGACAGTTACAGGTGATGAGGACCTTTGAGAGCCTGCCATCTTCAGCCTCCCCTTTCTCTTCTCAAAACTGCCCTCCCCTTAGCAGATAAAGCCACAAAATCCCTTAGAATCTCAGGCATAAGAATCAATGCCCTCTAAAATAGTCTTCAGTCTGAGCACCTCATCCACTTCTGCCAGATCACTAGAGAGGGAGCCTACAAGGCTTTGCCAGGCAGTTCTGAGGCTCCAGCTCTTAGCTTTCTCTGTGTGGAGCAGGGCGCCTGATACATGGCAGGCTCCATGCATATTTAGTTAACAGATGAATGAATGAATGAGGTTTATGGACCTTTTCATGAGAGCCTTTATTGTCATTAACAAGGGGTCCTTCTTGAAAAATAGCACTTTCTGAACACATAGAACATCTTACAAATTACTAATATTATATACGATTCAAGGAATATTTTTCTCATGCCAAAAAAAAAAAGGTGGTGCTCCACTATTCTGGCCACTGCTTTTTCTGTCATAGTGAGTAATGGTATCAAATGCAGTGAACACTCTGCATTTTTATGCCCCTAGCCCTGTATTTGAGAGCCATAGTGGGGAACAAGAGAAGACCAAAACAGAGTCCTGGACTCTGAGGCCTTCCCAGTCTTGTTCTAAGACTGTATAATCTGGTTCCTGAACAGTGCAGGTTGGATGGAAGTCATCAGGAAGAATGAGCCACACTGATCTCAGTAAACAAGGGAGGCCATTTATATTCACATTTTCTTACATCCACAGTCACACCAAAGCTTGGAACCAGCACATGCTTTGCCTGTAATTGGCACTCACAAAGTCTATCCTAGGTGATTAATCAGAACCTAGCATGAAAGTATAAGGACTATTCCACCTTCTCTCCAGAGCCAGAGAAAGGTGGTAGGAGGAACGCTTTTGTGTTTGTGGCATTTGTTTTGTTTTGATTTTTTGGGGGAGGGGAAAGAGTATTACTGGATTTCAATCAGTTTCCAGAGCTTTATATGAGACCAAAACTCAAGTGAAAATTCCGCTTGGCAAATATCCGTAACAGCCTGTGCTTAAGATCTTAGATATCCTAATGGATTTAAAACTGCAACTGTTCTTCAAATATTTCTACAAATTCCCCCAAACTTAACAGACTGACTCGTAGTTCAAAGAAAGTATCTTTTTTTTTTGCTGTGGAATTCCAAGCTGAGACAACCTGTTGACAAGCCTTCTCTCGAGGTCCCTGTGAAATGCAAATTGGCCCTTCTGCAGAAATCATTCTACAAGGGGAGCAGGTGGTCCAGATGTGGCTGGAATGGGTTTGTCTTTTCTAGAGCAATGATGTGATGTTCATGGCATGACCCCACTGATGGCCTTTAATTTCATTCAGTGGCTCTGAATTCCACCAGAACAAGATTGGTCTGGGAAGTCCCTGTGGTGAAAGGTCTGTACTGGGGCTCCATTATAAATGCACATTGTTCTTCTCTGCCACTCCCCCACAGAGCAATCAGATACACACACAGGCAGCCATGTGGTTGAAGGAGAGTCCCGTTACCATAGAGCTGCTGGTTTACAGAGCCAGTAGCTGAGGCAGTCCCCAGTGAGCTCTGAGATGTGGGACATGCTTTCTCGCCAGCACGTGCTGTTTTTTTGTATGTGGAAACACTTACCCAATTCCATTCAAGACCAGTTCAGTTCACTTCTCCAAAGGAGCAACATTTATAATTGAATTATTTAGGGAAGGTTTATTTACCATCACTGAGATATGAGATATGTCAACTAAATTATAATTATGTTTCTCTTAAGACATCCACTGAGATTACTCTGTTATTTTTTTAAACTTGCAAGGAGGATTCCACCTCTGTTCTCCTAGAGACAGGCTGTGTTTACAGATGGCCAGCCTCGATATTCTGAGTGGCAGAATGAAAAATTAATTTTCTTCAACTACATTACTGAGTAGTTAACTGCATCTCAGCAACCTATTTGTTTAATACACTGGAGTCCTCTTCAAAGAGCCTATGATTTATTCTCACCTTTGCCAAGAACTTCTTTCGAACACACACTCCTGAGGACAGGAAACAGGATTTCTGGGCTCCATCCCTGCCACTAACAAGCTGTTTTATCTTGAGCGAGTCACTGGCAGTCTCTGAGCCACAGAAAAACTGGCCTCATAATCTGGGAGATCCTCCCACCTACTCTTCTGCAGCTGCCCACAAATGCCGGAATCCGTGGTGAGAAGAGTTTTGTGTAATCACTCTCTGCTATTTATCTGCCTAGGAAAGAATGAAAGGAGAAATTAAGCATGGAAAGAAACATTTTGCATGAAGTATTCTCTCTCTCATTCCTCCCATTAATCTTTGCTTCCCCTGGCAAGTCCTTAAGAAGCAGGGAAAGCCATGTCAGGAGATGCCTCCCTCCTTCTGCCCATTCTTCTCTTTGCCTGAGTCCTCTGGGATCATTTCTTTTTCTCCTTTACACAGCATGAATATTCCCCTGCCTCTCTTTCGTCACACTCCCCTCCTTATGATGCTGCCCTGGAACCCCAGGGTCCTTCAAGCCCTCCCCTCACCTTCTCTTTGGGATGGTAATTTAGCACTAGGTACCCAGGATTTGATCCCGTTGTGGCTAAAAGGCTCGGTGCCCAGTAACAGAGTAAGAGCCTGGGAGGACAGGTGGGGCTCTGCAGAACATGACCACCATTCATCGATCCACTTCCCCTCCACGCTCTCATTTGTGACCAACATTTGTTGTGCACCTACCTCATACCTGGAGATGTGGAAGTGGATGTGGTTCTTATCCTTGTGGATCAAAGAGTCAAGAGCTGGGCTATAACCCATAGGAGAGCCATTAGTCACCTGTGACTGTCAAGCACTTGAAATGTGGCTAGTCCAAATTGAAGTGTGCTGCTAGGGTAAAATCATGATGGATTGGAAAGAGTACAAAAACAGAATGTAAAATGTAATAATTTTTAATATTAATTACATGTTGAAATGATAAATGGCTATATTGGACTAAAGTACAGTATTAAATTCACCTGTTTCTTTTTACTTTTCTAATATGGCTACTGGAAAATGTAAAATTACATGTGTGTCTTGAATATGTGAGGGACCGGGATGGACAGAGAATGCTACAGGCTGGTGCAGTCACACTGGTCCAGATGGGGTGATGAGGAACATCGGGGGTTGAGCCTCTTCCTGGACTGGGCAGAGGGAGGGAAGAGGGCTCATGCCGAGAACCATGTAAGTATTATAACTGAGGGCCATGAGTTAAGGAAGGAATGTCAGGAGTAACACCTACTCCTTTTAGCACTTATGAGGTAAGCCAGTGTTCTAAGCGTTTTACATGTATTAACTCAATCATCACAACCCCTCAAGGTAGTTACTAGTGTTATCATTTCTGTTTGAGGCACAGACAGGAAATGTAACTAACTCTCCTGAGATCACGCAGTCAGGACGTGATCAAATCAGAATTTGAACCTGAGGGGTCGGGTTCCACAGCCTCAACATGGAACTGTGCTATGTATAGCCTTCCTCCAAGGTTGGAATGGGCATCCCCATGGTTTGGGGTGAGGTAGACCCACCGGTGTGCTGACAGGAGCAGGGGTAGGAGAAGGCACCTGCCCTCTACCCCTATATCACAAACCCACCCCTCGCTTCTGTGCCACAGGGTGCTGCCTTTGCTTGTTCTGTCTGCCTTGAATGCTGTGACATTCATCCTCGTCCTTTCCTTCACCATCACTTTCTGATCTCCAAAACTAGGTAAAATTCCTCTATTATGGGCTTGTATGACACCTTGTACCTCTACTCATAGGATGTCTTATAGACATAATGTTACATTTATTTACGTGAGTGTTTAATTTTCTGTCTGTCACCTAAGGGAAAGAGCTATGTCTATTTTTACTTTCTATATTCAGCACCTAACATAATGTGTGACCTCATACCAATAAATACCTATTTAATAAATAATCGATTCTTCCTGCAAGATAGATTTTCTACCCATCTTATAGATGAAGAAACTACACTCAGCAAGTTTAAGAAACTTGCCCCAAGTTCCAATCCCAAGTAAGTGGATAGAGCTGAAATTTCCCCTGAGCCAACTCACTTCAAAGCCACTACCTTTCAGTGGAAATCCAAATAGGTGCTGCTATCCCCAGAATGTGCATGGAAGCCACAGACTGGTGAGGAGACCTGTGCAACATGCATTGGCCCCTCCCTAGCTAGAGTCTTATGGGGACTCACTCATATCTGATGACTTGTACCCTCCTTCCTTCTCCCCATGGGGCCCTCATCTTCTAACCAAAACCCTCTGTGTCTGCCAGGGACTTCTCAACTCTTTTTCTTGGACAGACGGCACTGCTGAGTTTGCTAGAATTCCAAGGATTTGGCACAGACATGGCCTTATCCCCAGGAACGCCCTCCCAGTTTCCAAGCTGGACCCTCATATTCTCCTTTTCTACAGGAATCATTTCCAGGGTCGCTAGCTCTTAATGCAATCATTTGTTCATTCATTCAGTCAGTCAGTTGATCTGCCAATACATACTAATTGTTGAATGGCTATCATATCCCTTATACTTACCTTGAGAAGCTCAGAGGCTTTTGCAGGAGGTGTTAGAACCCATAGGATGGGACCTCACCCCCATCCTAAAATGACTCTCTTTGAAGACAATTCCTATTTGGAGGCAAGCGATCTGCTTAGTCTTTGTGCAGTTTATTGTGTTCAGAGAGGGAACACATGAGGAGAAATATTCCCTTTCCTAATTGCCAAATTTAAGACAGGTGCTTCCTGGCCTGCTCAAATATTAAACTCACTCTGTACATGGGCACTTACAACCGACAACAGGCAGGCTGTGCCTCTGCAGCTCTGAATCTGTGCCCAGGGCCCTGACAGACAGCAGCTGGTTCAGGAAATTCATGAGGAAAATATCCCTAGATGAATTCTGTGGCATGTCCTGCAAGCAAAAACCTGGGAGGAGGAAGAAAGCCTGGCGGGCCTAAGAGAGGGTTTTGCTTTTTTGCCCCCCTTTTTTTTTTGAGTGGGGGCTCACAGGTAAGAGGAGTCCTCATGCTCAAAATAAGAAGCAGGAAGAAATATGTCAGCAGAGGGAGGGAAGCTTTGAAATGGGGGTAGGAAGAATGGTGGGGCAAGAGGGAGACTGGCATTTGCTGGAAAGTGGGAAGGGGCTGGCTACAGTCTGTTTTGTTCACTGTCACATCCCCAATGCTTGGGAAGTACCTGGAACATATGTGTGAATGAATTGAGTGAATTTCACAGCATGTGTCATCTAGGATTTTTTGGTCCCTGAGATAGCCATAGGTACATAGCAGGAGGACAAATGTGGTCCAAAAATTTGGTAAACGGTCTACTCTGTTCCCCACCTTAGCATATTATAGTCTCTGAGACAGAGGTTCTCAAACTTAACCACACCAAAACCACCTGGAGGGCTTATTGAAACACAAATGGCCAAGCCCTGCTCCTGGAGTTTCTGATTCCATGGGTCTGAGGTGAGGCTGGAGAGTGAATTTATAGCAAGTTCCCAGCTGATACTGATGCTGTGGTTCAGAGACCACACTTTGAGAACCACTGTTCTGAGGCATCCTGCTGAAAGAAGCCTGATGGACTGTTAAATGAGGCTTTTCCAAAGCATTTTTTACTCTGGGCCCCTTTGTTCATGGTATATCTGGCAAGACAATCAGCACCTCAGTGGGGAAAGGAAGTCTGAAAGGGTCTGAGGTGAACATTTCCCTGAGTAATAGTGAATGGGGGGGCCTCATCTCCTCCTGGCATGTCCCATTCCTCCAGGCTCCTGCAGGAGACAGCACAGGGAATGCACAACCCCCACTTCGTTGAGACTGGATTTCCTGCCCTAACCTCTGGTTCTCACATCAACACCGTCAGCTCTACCTCTGTGGGGCTTTGTGGAATTTGCAAATCAGCCCCAGGCTGGGTAAGGGGAGAAGCTTTGAATTAGATAAGAGACTAATTGAAGTGGACTTTTTAATATAGATGCTCCTCAACTTATAATGGGGTTGTTTTCCAATAAGCCCATCGTAAGTTGAAAATACCATAAATTAAAAATGTATTTAATACACTTAAGCTACTGAACATCAAAGCTTAGCCTAGTCTACCTTCCATGTGCTCAGAACACTTACATTAGCCTACAATTGGGCAAATCATCTAACACAAAGCTTCCATTTTATAATAAAGTGTTAAGTATCTCATGTAGTTTATTGAAAACTATATTGAAAGTCAAAAACAATGGTTATATTAGTACTCAAAGTACAGTCTCTACTGAATACGTATTGTTTTTGCTCCATTGTAAAGTTGAACAATTATAAGTCAGGGATCATCTGTACATGAAAACAGTGACTTGAGACACTAACAGATCTGCCAAGGTGTCATCTAGGTGTGGAAAGGGAGATCTGATTGACACTGCTTAAGGGCAGTGGTGAGAAAGAAAGAAAAAAACCCCTGCTGATTATGTATGCAAAAGTCGCAGCACGGTGCTAGAGTGCTAGGCACATCATCAGTGCATAATAAAGGTGTGCTTACTCTCCCCGGGGATGAGATTAAATCCTGGGTGCAAAGCAAGTCTTGATTTCCATGCTCGAAGCACAAATTACAAGGATGGTTTTTCAGGATTGTTTTGGGGATTTGCCCAAATGTTGCTCAACCAAATTTCAAACGAGGGTGGTCTCTTTGACACAGGCTACTTTTCAGATTTCCTGCTCCCCTGCACTCCAGCACCCTGAGTCAGCAGTCACTTTTTGACAGGAGGCCCAGCAGGTGCTTTCTGAGCTGTCATGATTACCTTCCAGTGAAAACACACTACGCTTCTTGCTGCCAGTTTGGAAGTGCAGGCAACCTCCTGGGAAGATCTTGAATAGATTTGCAAATGAGAGTAACATCTTTGCCCTGGCATAAAGTTGATCTGGGTGCTAACCAAAGTCTCTTTTTTTTCCTTCAACTTTTATTTTAAACTCAGGGGTACATGTGTAGGATGTGCAGGTTTGCTACACAGGTAAATGCGTGCCATGGTGGTTTGCTGCACAGATCATCCCATCACCTAGGTATTAAGCTCAGTGTCCGTTAGCTATTCTTTCTGATGCTCTCCCTCCCCTTACTCTACCCCGTTCGACAGGCCCCACTGTGTGCTGTTCCCCCCACCATGTGTGTCTATGTGTTCTCATCATTCAGCTCCCACTTATAAGTGAGAACATGTGGTGTTTGGTTTTTTGTTCCTGTGTTAGTTTCCTAAGGATAATTAATGGCTTCCAACTCCATCCATGTCGCTGCAAAGGACATGATCTCACTCCTTTTATGGCTACATAGTATTCCATGGTGTATACGTAGCACATTTTCTTTATCCAGTCTATCATTGATGGGCATTTAGATTGATTTCATGTCTTTGCTATTGTGAATAGTGCTACAGTGAACGTACACGTGCTTGTATCTTTATAATAAAATGATTAATATTCGTTTGAGTACATATGCAGTAATGAAATTGCTGGGTCAAATGGTATTTCTGCCTCTAGATCTTTGAGGAATCACCACACTGTCTTCCACAATGGTTGAACTAATTTATGCTCCCACCAACAGTGTAAAAGCATTCTCTTACTCTGCAACTGTGCCAGTATCTGCTGTTTCTGGACTTTTTTTTTTTTTTTTTTTTTTTTTTGAGACAGAGCCTCACTCTGTCACCCAGCGTGGAGTGCAGTGGTGCAATCTCAGCTCACTGCAAGCTCTGCCTCCCGGGTTCACGCAATTCTCCTGCCTCAGCCTCCCGTGTAGCTGGGACTACAGATGCCAGCCACCACACCTGGCTAATTTTTTTTTTTTTTGTATTTTTAGTAGAGATGGGGTTTCACAATGTTAGCCAGAATGGTCTCAATCTCCTGACCTCGTGATCCGCCTGCCTCTGGACTTTTTAATATTAGCCATTCTGACTGGTGTGAGGTGGTATCTCATTGTGGTTTTGATTTGCATTTCTCTAATGATCAATGATGTTGAGCTTTTTTTTCATATGTTTGTTGGCCACAAGTATGTCTTCTTTTGTGAAGTGTCTGTTCATGTCCTTTGCCCATTTTTTAATGTGATTTTTTTTTTCTTGTACGTTTGCTTAAGTTCCTTGTAGGCTCTGGATATTACACCTTTGTCAGATGGCTAGAATACAAAAATGTTCTCCCATTCTGTAGGTTTTCTGTTCACTATGATGATAGTTTCTTTTGCTGTGCAGCTCTTCAGTTTAATTAGATCTCATTTGTCAATTTTTGCTTTTGTTTCAAAATTTTGCATTTGGTGTTTTCGTCATGAAGTCTTTGCCCATGCCTATGTCCTGAATGGTATTGCCTGGGTTTTCTTCTAGGGTTTTTATAGTTTTGAGTTTTATATTTAAGTCTTTAATTCATGTTGAGTTAATTTTTGCATCTATAGTTTTCTGCATATGGCTAGCCAGTTCTCCCAGCACGATTTATTAAATAGGGAATGCTTTCCCCATTGCTTGTTTTTCTCAGGTTTGTCAAAGATCAGACGGTTGTAGGTGTGTGGTCTTATTTCTGACTTTTCTATTCTGTTCCATTGGTCTATGTGTGTTTTGGTTACCAGCATCATTCTGTTTTGATTACTATAGTCTTGTAGTGTAGTTTGAAGTCAGATAGTGTGATGCCTCCAGCTTTATTCTTTTTCTTAGGATTACCTTGGCTATTTGGGCTCTTTTTGCTTCCATATAAATTTTAAAATAGCTTTTCTAATTTCGTGAAGAATGTCAATGGTAGTTTCATGGGAATAGCATTGAATCTATAAATTACTTTGAGCAGTATGCCCATTTTTAAGATATTGATTCTTCCTATTCATGATCATAGAATGTCTTTCCATTTGTTTATGTCATCTCTAAATTCCTTGAGTAGTGGTTTGTAATTCTCCTTGAAGAGGTCCTTCAGTTCCCTTGTTAGCTGTATTCCCAGGTATTTTATTCTTATTGTGGCAGCTGTAAATGGGAGTTCATTCATGATTTGGTTCTCTGCTTGCATGTTGTTGGTGTATAGGAATGCTAGTGATTTTTGCACATTGATTTTGTATCCTGAGACTTTGCTGAAGTTGCTTATCAGCTTAAGATGCTTTTCAACTAAGACGATGGGATTTTCTAGATATAGGGTCATGTCATCTGCAAGCAAAGATAACTTGACTTCCTTTCTATTTAAATACTTTTATTTCTTTCTCTTGCTTGATTTCCTGGGCCAAACTTCCAATACAATGTTGAATAGGAGTGGTGAGAGAGGGCATCCTTGTCTTGTGCCAGTTTTCAAGGGGAATGCGTCCAGCTTTTACCCATTCAGTATGATATTGGCTGTGTGTTTGTCATAGATGGCTCTTAGTATTTTTAGGTATGTCCCTTCAATACCTAGTTTATTGAGAGTTTTTAACATGAAGCGATGTTAAATTTTATCAAAGGCCTTTTCTGCATCTATTGAGATAATCATGTGGTTTTTGTCTTTGGTTCTGTTTATGTGATGAATCACATTTATTAATTTGCATAGGTTGAACCAAACTTGCATCCTGGAGATGAAGCCAAGTTTATCATGGTGGATAAGCTTTTAGATGTGCTGCTGTATTCAGTCTGCCAGTATTTCGTTGATAATTTTTGCATCAATGTTCATCAAGGATACTGACCTGAAGCTTTCTTTTTTTTTCTTTCTTTTTTTTTTTTTTTTTGGGTGTGTGTCTCTGCCAGATTTTGATATCAGGATGAAGCCAGCCTCATAAAATGAGTTAGGTAGGAATCCCTTCTTTTCAATTGTTTGGAATAGTTTCAGTAGGAATGGTACCAGCTCTTCTTTGTACCTCTGGTAGAATTTAGATGTAAATCTGTCTGGGCCTGGGCTTTTTTTGGTTGGTAGGCTATTTATTACCACCTTAATTTCAAAACTTGTTATTGGTCTATTCAGGGATTCAATTTCTTCCTGGTTCAGTCTTGGGATCTAGTGTATGTGCATACTGGAAATTTATAGTATTCTCTGATGGTTGTTTGCATTTCTGTGGGGTCAGTGATGATATTCCACTTATCATTTCTGATTGTGTCTATTTGATTCTTCTCTCTTTTATTCTTATTAGTCAAGATAGCAGTCTATTTTATTAATTTTTTCAAAAGGCAGCTCCTGGATTCATTTATTTTTTTGAAGTGTTTTTCATGTCACTATCTCCTTCAGTTTCACTCTGATCTTGGTTCTTTCTTATTTTGAATTTTGTATAGTTTTCTATATTTTTTCAATAGGTTTTTGGAGAACAGGTGGCGTTTGGCTACATGAATAAGTTCTTTAGTGGTGATTTTTGTGATTTTGGTGCACACATCATCCAAGCAGTATACACTGTGCCCAATATGTACTCTTTTATCCCTCACACCCCAAAGTCCATTGTGTCATTCTTATGCCTTTGCATCCTCATAGCTTAGCTCCCACTCATGAGTGAGAACATATGATGTTTGATTTTCCATTCCTGAGTTACTTCACTTAGAATTATGGTCTCCAATTCCACCCAGGTTGCTGTGAATGCCATTATTTTGTTCCTTTTTATAGCTGAGAGGTATTCATACATATACATATACTACATATACATATACTACAATTTCTTTATCCACTTGTTGATTGATGGGCATTTGGTCTGGTTCCATATTTTTGCCATTGCAAATTGTGCTGCCATTAACATGCGTGTCAAGTATCTTTTTCATATAATGACTTCTTTTCCTCTGGGTAGATTCCCAGGAGTGGGATTGCTGGAACAAATGGTAGTTCTACTTTTAGTTCTTTGAGGGATCTCTACACTGTTTTCCATAGTGGTTGTACTACTTAATATTCCCACCAGCAGTATAAAAGTGTTCTCTTTTCACCACATCCATGCCACCATGCCAACATCTATTTATTTTTATGTTCTTAGTGTTGCCATTCTTGCAGAAGTAAGGTGGAATTGCATGGTGGTTTAGATATTAGGGTGACACTAGCTTCATAGAATGATTTAGGGAGGACTCTCTCTTTCTCTATCTTTTGGAATAGTTTCAGGATGATTAGTATTAATTCTTCTTTGAAAGTCTGATAAAATTCAGCTATGAATCTATTTGGTCCTGGACTTTTTTTGTTGGCTATTATTTTTATGACCATTTCAATCTTGCTGCTTGTTATTGGTCTGTTCAGAGTTTCTGTTTCTTCCTGGTTTAATCTAGGAATGTTGTATACCTTCAGGAATTTATTCCTCTCCTCTAGGTTTCCTAGTTTATGCACATAAAGGTGTTCAGTAGCCTTGAATGATCTTTTGTATTTCTGTGGCATTGGTTGTAATACCTTCTGTTTCATTTCTAATGGAGCTTCTCTCTTCTTTTCTTGGTTAATCTTACTAATTGTCTATCAGTTTTATTTTTTCCCCAAAGAACCAGCTTTTGGTTTAATTAGTCTTTTTATTGTTTTTCTGCTTTGTTTGTTTCAGTTTCATTTAGTCAGCTCTGATCTTTGTTATTTCTTTTCTTCTGCTGTGTCTGGGCTTGGTTTGTTCTTGTTTCCCTAGTTCCTTGAGGTGTGGCCTTAGATTGTCCATTTGTGCTCTTTCAGACTTACTGATGTAGGGATTTAATGCTATGAAGTTTCCTTTAGCACTGCCTTTGCTGTATCCAAGAGGTTTCGATGGGTTGTATCACTATTATAATTCAATTCAAAATTTTTTTTAATTTTCATCTTGATTTCGTTGTTTACCCAACAAGCATTCAGGAGCAGGTTATTTAATTTCTATGTATTAGAATGGTTTTGAGGGTTCTTTTTGGAGTTGATTTCCAATTTCATTGTGGTCTGAGAGAGTGTTTGATATAATTTCAATTTTTTTAAAATGTATTGAGACTTGTTTTGTGGCCTATCATATGGTCTATCTTGGAGAATGTTCCATGTGCCGATGAGTAGAATGTTCTGTAAATATCTGTTAAGTCCATTCATTCTAAGTTATAGTTTAAGTAAGTTGTTTCTTTGTTGACTTTCTGCCTTGAGGACATGTCTACTGCTGTCAGTAGAATATTAAAGCCCCCACTATTATTGTATTGCTGTCTATCTCATTTCTTAGCTCTAGTAGTAATTGTATAAATTTCGAAGCTGCAGTGTTAGGTGCATATATATTTATGATAGTGATATTTTCCTATTGGACAAGTACTTTTATCATTATGTAATGTTCCTCTTTGTCTTTTTTTAACTCTGTTGCTTTAAAGTTTGTTTTTTCTGATATAAGAATAGCTACTCCTGCTCTGTTTGTGACCATTTGCATGGAATATATTTTTCCACCCCTTTACCTTAAGTTATGCTAAGTCCTTATGTGTTATGTGAGTTCCTTAAAGACAGCAGCTACTTGGTTGGTGAATTTTTATCCATTCTGCCATTCTGTATTTTTTGAGTGGAGCATTTAGGCCATTTACATTCAATATCAATATTGATATGTGAGATACTATTCTATTCATTCTGCTATTTGTTGCCTGAATACCTTGCTTTTTTTCATAGTTTTTTGTTTTATAGATTCTGTGAGATTTATGCTTTAAGGATGTTCTATTTTGGTTTATTTGGAGGATATGTTTCAAGATTTAGAGGTGCTTTTAGCAGTTCATATAGTGCTGGATTGGTAGTAGTGAATTCTTTTGGCATTTTTTTTTTTCTTTTTGTCTGAAAAAGACTGTATCTTTCCTTCATTTATGAAGCTTAGTTTTGCTGGATACAATATTCTTGGCTCATAATTATTTTGTTTAAGAAGGCTACAGATAGGGCCCCAATCCCTTCCAGCTTGTAGGGTTTCTGGTGAGAAATCTGCTGTTAATTTGACAGGTTACCTGATGCTTTTGCCTCGCAGCTCTTAAGATTCTTTTCTTAGTCATCAAGTTATCTAAAGTCAAGACAATGTGCTTAGGCAATGATCTTTTTGTGATAAATTTCCAAGGTGTTCTTTGAGCTTTTTGTATTTGGATGTCTAGATCTCTAGCAAAGCCATGGAAGTTTCCCTCAATTATTCCTTCAAATACGTTTTCCAAACTTTTAGATTTCTCTTCCTCCTCAAGAACATCAACTAATCTTAGGTTTTGTCATTTAACATAACTTCTTGGAGACTTAGCTCATTTTTTAAAAAATTCTTTCTTCTTTGACTTTGTTGCAGTGAGTTAATTCAAAAGCCTTGTCTTCAATCCCTGAAGTTCTTTCTTCTACTTGTTCCATTCTACTGTTGAGACTTTCCAGTGTATTTTGCATTTCTCTAAGTGTGTCCCTCCTCTCCAAAAGTTGTGATTGTTTTTCACTTATGCTATCTATTTTACTGAAGATTTTTCCCTTCATATGTTGTATTCATTAAATTGGACTTCACTTTTCTCTGGTGCCTCCTTGATTAGCTTAATAATTGACCTTCTGAATTATTTTTTCTGGTAATTCAGATATTTCTTCTTGGTTTGGGTCCATTGGTGGTGAGCTGGTGTGATACTTTGGGGGTGTTAAAGAACCTTGTTTTGTTATGTTACCAGAATTGTTTTTCTGGTTTCTTCTCATTTGGATAGACTATGTCAGAGGGAGGATTTGGGACTCAAGGGCTGCTGTTCAGATTTTTTTGTCCCAAGGGGTACTTCCTTGATGTGGAACTTTCCCCCTTCCCCTAGGGATGTGGCTTCTTGAGAACCAAATTGCAGTGATTATTATTTTTCTCCTGGATCTAGCCACCCAGCAGAACTACTGGGCTCCAGGCTGGTACTGGGGAGTGTCTACAAAGAGTCCTGTGATGTGAACCGTCTTCAGTTCTCTCGGCCGTGGACACCAGTATCTGCTCTGGTGGAGGTGGAGGGGAATCAGGTGGACTCTGTTAGGATCTTTGGTTGTGGCTTTGTTTATTGTACTAATTTTGTGTTGGTTGACTTCTAGCCCAGAGGTGGTGCTTTCAAGACAGCATCAGCTGTGGTGGTAATATAGGGAGGATCAGGTGGTGGGTGAGGCCATAGAGCTCCCAAGGGATTATTTCCTTTGTCTTTGGCTACCAGGGCAGGTAGAGAAAGACCATCAGGTGGTGGCAGGGTTAGGTGTGTCTGAGCGCAGACTCTCCGTGGATGCGGCTTGCTGTGGCTGCCTTGGGGGATGGGGTTGTTCTCAGGGGAATTATGACTGTCTCTCCTGTGTCACGCAGGTCACCAGAGAAGTAGGGAAAAGCCAGCACTTACAGTCCTCACCCAGCTTCCATGTAGCCCAAAAGGCCAGTCTCACTTCCACCATACTTATCCAACAGCACCGAGTTTATTTCCAGGCAGTGGGTGAGCTGGGCTGAGAACTAGCCCCAGGCTACCAGCCTGCCAGCTGAGAAAGCAAGCAGGGCTTTCAGGATTTATGCCTTCCCACCTGTAGCAACTTCTGTGGTGTGTCTGCACTCCTGATTCACTCTCACCTCCAGGAAACTTTGCATTCAGGTGAAATTGTTACAAAGTTCAGCTGGAAATTTCCTTCTTCCTGTGGTCTATTCCCATTTCCTCTGGCAGCCCTCCCCAAGAACCCCTGTGAGACAAAGTCAGAAATGGCTTCCCTGGGATCTTAGAGAGCCCCCAGGGCTCTTCCCCCTACTTCTCCTACTCCTGTTTTTCACTTGGCTCTCTAAATGTGTCTCAGCTTCAGGTAAGGTCAAATCCTTCTCTGGTGATCTGGACATTCAGGTTCCCCAGTAAGGGTGTAAATCCAGGGGCAGATGATTCCTTTTCACACTTTTACACTTTGGGAAATCACAGTTTTTCAGCTGTCTCCAGGGGCCTGCAGCAGGAATCCACTTCCTTCAAAGGGTCTGTGGATTCTCTCGGCTTTCCTGGTATGTTCCTGTGGGTAGTTCTTGGAGCAAAAGTTCACGACGTGAGCCTCCACATGTCGCTCTGTCTGTCCAAGTGGGAGCTGCAAGTTAGTCCTGCCTCCTATCTGTCATTTTTATTCTGAGTCCTGATCTTTATTTCTTGTCTTCTGCTAGCTTTGGAGTTTGTTTGCTCCTGGTTCTTCTAATTGTGATGTTAGGTTAACTTGATATCTTTCTAGCTTTTTGATGTGGGCATTTAGTGCTATAAATTTCACTCTTAACACTGCTTTAGCTGCATCCCAGAAAGTCTGGTACATTGTCTCTTTGTTCTCATTAGTTTCAAAAAAACTTCTTGATTTCTGCCTTTATTTCATTATTTACCCAGGAGTCATCCAGGAGCAGGTTGTGTAATTTCCATGTGATGGTGTGGTTTTGGGTGAATTTTTATATCTTGTGTTCTAATTTAATTGCACTGTGGTCTGAGAGACCGTTTGCTATGATTTCAGTTCTTTTGCATTCACTGAGGAGTCTTTCACTTCGATTATGTGATCAATTCTAGAGGAAGTGCCATGTGGCAATGAGAAGAATGCATATTCTTGAGGTGGAGAGTTCTGTAGATAGCTATTAGGTCCACTTAATCCAGAGTGGGGTTCAGGTCCTGAATATCTTTGTTAATTTTCTGTCTCTGTGATCTAATATTGGTTGGTTAAAGTCTCTCGCTATTATTGTTAAAATCTCTCGCTATTATTGTGTGGAAGTCTAAGTCTCTTTGTAGTCTCTAAGAACTTGATTTATGAATATGGTTCTCCTGTATTGAGTGCATATATATTTAGGATAGTTAGCTCTTCTTGTTGAATTGAACCCTTTACCAGTATGTAATTACCTTGTCTTTTTTTTTCTTTATTGGTTTAAACTAGGATTGTGACCCCTGCTTTTTTCTGTTTTCCATTTTCTTGGTAAATTTTCCTCCATTCCTTTGTTTTGAGCCTATGTGTGACTTTGTACGTGAGGTGGGTCTTGGGAAGACAGCATACTGATGGGTCTTGGCTCTTTATCCAGCTTGCCATTCTGTGTCTTTAAATTGGAACATTTAGCTCACTTACATTTAAGGCTAGTGTTGTGTATGAATTTTATCCTGTCATCATGATGCTAGCTGGTTATTTTGTAGACTCGTTTATGTGGTTGCTTTATAGTGTCACTGGTTTGTGTACTTCAGTGTTTTTTGTAGTGGCTGGTAATGGTTTTTTCTTTTGATATTTAGTGCTTCCTTCAGGAGCTCTTGCAAGGCTGGCCTGATGGTGACAAATTCCCTCAGCATTTGCTTGCCTGAAAAGGATCTTATTTCTCCTTCACTTATGAAGCTAACTTTTGCTGGTTCTGAAATTCTGGGTTGGAAATTCCTAAAGAATGTTGAATATTGTCCCCCAGTATCTTCTGGCTTGTAGGGTTTCTGCTGAGAGGACCACTGTTAGTCTGATGGGTTTCCCTTTGTAGGTGACCTGGCCTTTCTCTCTGACTGCTGTTAACATTATTTTTCTTTCATTTGGACCTTGGAGAATTGTATTAGTCTTTTCTCATGCTACTATAATGAACTGCCTGAGACTGGATAATTTATAAAGGAAAGAGATTTAATTGACTTACTTACCATTCCACATTGCTGGGAAGCCCCCAGGAAACTTATAATCATGGTGAAAGGCAAAGGAGAAATAGGCACCTTCTTCACAGGGCAGAGTCAGTGCAGGCAGGGAAAAGGCTGGATGCCTCTAAAACTATCAGATCTCATGAGACTCACTCACTATCACAAGAATAGCATGGGGGAAACAGCCCCCTGATCCAATTACCTCCACCTGGTCCCACCCTTGACATGTGGGGATTATCGGGATTATAATTCACGATGAGATTTTGGGTGGGGACACAGCCAAACCATATCAAGAGTCTTGGGTTGATCTCATGGAGTATCACCCTGGGGTTCTCTGCAGTTCCTGAATTTGAATGTTTGCCTGTCTTGCTAGGTTTGGGAAGTTCTGGATGATATCCTCAAGTATGTTTTCCAAGTTGGTTCCATTCTCCCCGTCCCTTTCAGGTACCCCAATCAATCATAGGTTCTGTCTCTTTACATAATTCCATACTTTTTGGAGATTCCATTCATTCCTTTTCATTCTATTCTTGTCTGCCTGTCTTATTTCAGAAAAATAGTCTTCAAGCATTGAGATTCTTTTTTCCACTTGGTCTATTCTGTTATTGATACTCATGATTGCACTGTGAATGTCTCATGTTGTGTTCCTCTCTAAACTGGCTATCAGCTCCCATATCGTTTTATCATGATTTTTAGCTTTTTTGCATTTTTTTTTTTTTTTTTGCATTGAGTTACAACATGCTCCTTTAGCTCAGCAAAGTTCATTATTACCCACCTTCTGATGCCTACTTCTATCAGTCCAGCCAAGCCTCAACTCAGTTCGGTGCCCTTGCTGGAGAGGTGTTGCGGTCATTTGGAGGAGAGGAGGCACTCTGACTTTTTGAGTTTTCAGCGTTTTTGCATTTATTCGTTCTCATCTTTGTGGGCTTTTCTACCTTCGATCTTTGAGGTTGCTGACCTTTGAATGGGATTTTTGTTGATGTTATTTTCTGTTTGTTTTTCTTTTAACAGTCAGTCAGGCTACCCTTCCATAGGGCTGCTGCAGTTTGCTGGGGTTCTGCTCCAGACCCTAGTTGCCTCAGTTTTTCCTGTACCTGGATGTATCACCAGTGAAGGCTGAGAAACAGCAGAGATGGCAGCCTGCTCCTGCCTCTGGAAGCTCCATCCTGCAGTTTAGTGACCTGTTGTCAGCCAGAACTGCACCTATAAGAGGTGGCTGAGAACCCTTGTTGGGAGGCCTCACCCAGTCAGGAGGAACAGGGTTAGAGACCTGCTTAAATAAGAAATCTGGCTGATTTTTGGTAGTGCAGCTGTGCTGCATTGTGGGGGACCCTTCCTTGTCCAGACCCTTGGACTCTCCAGAGCCAGCAGGCTATAACAGCTGAGTTGACTGAACCAAAGAAATGACGGTCACATCTCTCCCCAGGAACTTGGTCCTTCTCATGCAGATTCCAGCCTGTCACTTGTGGCTCACTGGAATTCCAAGCCAGTGGGTCTTAACTTGTAAGGTGCCGTTGAAGTGGGGCCCGCAGAATGACACTGCTTGGCTCCCTGGATAGAGCCCGCCTCCTAGGGGTATGTAGGGATTGACATTCCACCTCGCTGGGAATCCCAGGGCCAGCAAAACTGGGTCTCTGTGTTTGCCTGAGTGGCTGCTCTGCAGGGACTCCACACACCTCTGTGAGTCAGACCCGAGACCCTGGTGGCTTGGGCTAATGAAGGGATGTCCTGATCTGCAGGTTGCAAAAATCTGTGGGAGAAGCATGGTTTCCTGGGTGGGATCACTCACTGCTTCCTTTGGCTTCATGCTGTTCCCAGGTGGCTGTCGCCCCAGCCTGCTTTTCTTCATTCCCCACAGGTCGGGTTGTTTGCCTAGTCAGTCCCAATGTGAGAGTCTGGATATTTCAGTTGAAGGTGCTGAATTCAGGCATCACTTTCATTCCTCTCTGTGAGTGCCACAGACCGCAGCTGCTTTTAATTGGCCATGTTGGCCCCCAGGTCCAGCCTCTTTTTACTAGTGTTTAAATTAGTGGCCTGAGGCCGTATGGCCTCGCAAGTCTTAAGAGAATCTGGTTTGCATGGTTCCAATCCTCCTGGTAAACAGCTCTCTGTTTCATGAAATGAAGGTGACCCTTCAAATATGTCCTTTGGAGCAGGGGCTTTTGCAGTTCTGTCCATTGTCATCTAAACTGAACACACAATAAGGCTGTTGGAGTAAAGAATGGCTTTCTAGAATGCAAGGCACTAAAATAAGGTAACACACTCCTTACTGTAGCATGCTAGTCCGCTAGAGCCCAACCTCACCTCCAGCCACACATCTTTCAAGGATATTTGTTGGAATTTATCATTTTGTCATACAATCTCATCTATCTTCAGATTCACTAATTTTGTTCTCAGCTTTCTCATTTATATTTAACTTATTGATTTATTTTTATTTCCTTTCTGAAATTTTTATTCAGCTCTTTTTCAAACCTGCTTTCCCTGTTCCCTTTCAAACTGCTCCTGTGGTTCCTGTTATGTGAGTTTAATCATTTGCTGTGTTTGCTATTATTTCTCAGACAGGCAAAGGGTTGTTTCTTCTTTGTTTTGTAATCTTTCTTTTACTCTGAGCTTATCTCTAGTAGTAATTGTCTAACACATGCCCTAAGCTGTAAATACATCTGTATTGAGAGGTTTTGAGTTTGTCTTTGCTCAGTGCCCTAAAGACTTCAAGGATGCATTTTTAGGTTTGTTTCTCAGTTCAGGATTTCTACGGCATGTGAACTGTGTGCATTTGGACTTGATGCCCATGCACAGAGCAGGCCTGGGCGTCTAACTTCTCGGAGGTGACTTATTCCAAAGTGGTTGTCTGGCTTACTCCCTGCATCCCTCGGGCAGTGGCAGTGTTTATTCTGGGACCCGAATTCAGACAGTCCTTTGAAGCTTCAGGCTTTATGCAGACATCCCATCTCAAGTTTTCTTTGTGTAGAGAACTTAGGTTTCCATTCTTGCTACTCATGGACTTTAAAACTCCAGCTGAGGCAGTAGGCCACAGCTCCTCAGCAGCCACTCAGTTTCAGCCCCCCAGTGCAGCTATGCTTTCCTTGTTTTTGATTCCTGAAGAGTTCTCTTTCCAGCTTTTTTATTTTTGTTTTCTTCTGTTGTTAATGTTATATTATATCCAGCATCTCAATTTATTTGGAAAAGGAAAGCAGTCCCCTATCCAGTCAGGCTGAAAATATGTGCTAAACATTGTATATGCCTTACTTAGCTCAATTCACACAACAAACCTATGCATAGATACTATTATTATCCTCACTTCACATGTGAGGCTCCCAAGGATTAGAAGGGTTCCCTTATTTTCCCAAAGTCAGAACATGATTCCCTAGAAATTCATGAAGCAGCTGTGATACCCAACTCATTACCCAAAGACTTGGCCTGTACCAATCCCTTTTGCTATCCTGTCTGTCTCATTCTGTGGTTCCTCAAACCCCAGGGCAGCTGGTCACTTAGCAGACTGTTCGCTCTGTTCAACCACACTCACATCAAAGCCCTCTCATTATTCTCCTGCTACAAATGGTCCTCTTCCCCTGTTCAAATCCTTTCTGTCTTGCAATAGCCTGTCTCAGACTCACTTTCTCAATCAGTCAACCCTCCATCCAACTCTCCCTCTCTAGTGGGTATTGTAAGCACAGATCAGGAATGAGGGGAGAATAGATAAGACGAAAGCATTATCAGAACTGTGCAGTAAAGGAAGTGGAGAAAGAGTAGGGGAATTCAAAAGCAATGGCAGTATTCTGGCTTGGATAACAGATTGCATGAGGGAGTGTTTACTGAGGCCAGGGATCACAGGAGAGGGAGCAGGCTAGGCTGTAGCATGGGAAACACTGAACTCAAACTTGGACACAGTGTGTTTGAAGTACCTGTAGAACATCCAAGTGGGGCAATTTGGAGATACTCTGACATGCAAGTACACCATTTAGAAGATGATTCTCTGCTCAAGATCCTGATTTGGAAGTGAGCATGTGAAGCTGACATTGGTTACGTGTGAAGTGAAAATATAAGAGGCCATATGTGGAAGCCCACAGTGGTGTGTATGTTAGTTCTAACTTACAATAAGATTATATGTTCCTTGAGTTAAGATATCACGTCATTTCAGCCACACAATTGTGAGGGACTTCAACAGCCCACTGACAGTGTTAGTCAGATCATTGAGGCAGAAAACAAACAATAAAATTCTGGCATTAAACTAGACACTTGACCAACTGGACCTAAGAGACATCTACAGACTACTCCACCCAACAACCACAGGACATACATTCTTCTTATCTGCACATGGAACGTATTCTAAGATCAATCACATGCTCAGTCATAAAGCAAGTCTCAATAATATAAATACAAAAAAATCAAAACCATACTAAGCACACTCTCAAGACTGCAATGCAGCAAAAATAGAAATCAATACCAAGATCTCTCAAAACTGCATGAAAACATGGAAATTAAACAACTTTCTCCTGAATAACCCTTGGGTGAACAACAAAATTAAGGCAGAAATCAAAAAATTCCTTGAAATTATTGAAAATAGTGACCCAACTTACCAAAGTCTTTGGATGCAGCTAAAGTTGTGTTAAGAGGAAAGTGTATAGCACTAAAATGCCTTCATTAAGAGGTTAGAAAGATTTCAATTTAACAATCTAACATCACACCTAGAGGAAGAAGGGGAGAAAAAGAACAATCCAACCTCAAATATAGCAGAAGAAAAGAAATAACTAACATCAGAGGAGAACTGAACAAAATTAGACCCAAAAGTCCATACAAAAGATCAATAAAACCAAGAGTTGCTTTTTCGAAAGAATAAACAAGATTGATTGAGCGCTAGCTAGATTAACAAATACAGAGAGAAGATCCCAACAAACAAAATTGGAAATGACAAAGATGACATTACAATCAATCCCACATAAAGCAAAAGATCCTCAGAGACCATTATGAAAACCTCTCTGCATATAAACTAGGAAATCTAGAGAAAGTGGATACATTCCTGGTAACGCACAATCTCCCAAGATTGAACTAGGAAGCACGTGAAAACCTGAACAGACAAATAATGAATTCTGAGATTTTAAAAACCTACTAACCAAAAAGAGCCCTAGACCAGATGGATTCACAGCCCATTATCAGATCTGCAAAGAACTGATACCAATCCTACTGAAACTATTCCAAAAAATTGAAGAGAAGGAGCTCCTCCCTAACTCATCCTGTGAAACTAGCATCATTCTGATACAAAAATCTGGCAGAGACACAACATAAAAAGAAAGCTTCAGGCCAATATCCATGATGAACATAGATGTAAAAATCCCCAATGAAATACTAGCAAACTGAATACAGCAGCACATCACAAAGTTAAGTCGCCACATTCAAGAAGGTTTTATTCCTGGGATGCAAGGTTGATTCAACACATGCAAATCTATAAATGTGATTCACCATGTGAACAGAATCAAAAACCACACAATTATCTTAATAGATGCAGAAAAAGCCTTTGATAAAATCCAACATCCCTTCATGATAAAAACCTTCAACAAACTAGGCATCAAAGGATCATATCTCAAAATATTAAAGGCCATCTATGACAAACCCACAGCCAACATTATACTAAATGGAGAAAAGCCCAAGAGGAACCTTTCCCCTTGAGAACTAGAACAAGACAAGGACACCTATTCTCACCACACCTATTCAACATGGTAGTGGAAGTCCTAGTCAGAGCAATTAGGCAAGAGAAAGAAATAAAATGCATCCAAATAGAAAAAGAAGTCGTCAAACCATCTCTCTTTTCAAATGATATGATTCCTTACTTAGAAAACCCTAAAGACTCTGCCAAAAGGCTCCTGAAACTGATAAAGTTTCAGGATACAAAATTAATGTACAAAAATTAGTAGCATTTCTATATGCCAATAATGTTCTAGCTGAGAACCAAATCAGGAACACAATCCCATCTACAATAGCCACAAAATAAATGAAATACCTAAGAATTCGTCTAACCAAGGAGGTAAAAGATCTCTGCAAAGAAAACTACCAAACACTGCTGAAAGAAATCAGAGATGACACAAAGAAATGGGAAAACGTTTCATGCTTAAGGATTGGAAGGATCAATATCATTAAAATGGCCATACTGCCCAAAGCAATTTATACGTTAAATGCTATCCCTATCAAAATACCAATGTCATTTTTTACAGAATTAGAAAAATCTACTCATAAATTTATATGAAACAAACAAACAAACAAAAAAAAAAAACAACCACAGCAATACTGAGCAAACAACAACAACAACAAAAAAAAAACTGGAGGCATCACATTACTCGACTTCAAATTATACCATAAGGCAACAGTAACAAAAACAGCATGGTACTGGTACAAAGACAGACACATAGACCAATGGAACAGAATACAGAACCCAGAAATAAACCTGCACATCTACAGCCATCTGATCTTCAGCAAAATAGACAAAAATAAACAATGGAATAAGGACACTCTATTCAATGAATGGTGTTGGGATAACGGGCTAGCCATATGGAAAAGAATGAAGCTGGACTCCTACCTCTCACCATATACAAAAATTAACTCAAAATGGGTTAAAGATTTAAATATAAAACCCCAATTATAAAAATCCTAGAAGAAAACCTAAGAACTACCCTTCTCAACATCAGCATTGGCAAAGAATTTATGGCTAAGTCCCCGAAAGCAATTGCAAGAAAAACAAAAATTGACAAGTGGGAGCTAATTAAATTGAAGGGCTTCTTCATAGCAAAAGAATTTATCAACAGAGTAAACAGCCTACAGGATGGGAGAAAATATTAATAAACTCTGCATGTAACAGAATTCTAATATCCAGAATCTACAAGGAACATAAATCAACAAGCAAAAACAAATAATCTCATTTAAAAATGGGCAAAGGATATGAACAGATTCTTCTCAAAAGAAGATGTAAAATTGGCCAACAAAAATATGAAAAAAATGCCCAACATCATTAATCATCAGAAAAATTCAAATCAAAACCACAAAGAAATATCATCTCATACCAGTCAGAATGGCAATTATTAAAAAATCAAAAATAACAGATGCTGGCAAGGCTATGGAGAGAAAGGAATATACTGTTAGTGGGAATGCAAACTAGTTCAGCCACTATGGAAAGCAGTTTGGAAATTTCTCAAGGAACTTAAAACAGAATTACAATTTGACCCAGCAATCCCATTACTGGATATTCAGAAGAAAATAAATTGTTTTACCAAAAAGACACATGCATTTGTATGTTCATCGCAGCACTGTTCACAATAGCAAAGACATGGAACCAACCTAGGTGCCCATCAACAGTGGGCTGAATAAAGAAAATGTGGTACATATACACCATGGAATACTATGCAGCCATAAGAAAGAATTAAATCATGTCCTTTGTGGCAACATAGATGGAGCCAAAGGCCATTATTCTAAGCAAATTAACACAAAAAAAGAAAACCAAATACCGTATTTTTTCACTTATAAGTGGAAGCTAAACATTGGATACCCATAGACATAAATATAGGAATGATAGACACTGGGACTAATAGATGGGGGAGGGAAAGAGAGGGGAATGGGTTGAAAAACCACCTATTGAGTATTATGCTTGGGTAGTACTTGTGTGATAGGATCATTTGTCCTCAGAGTCACACAATATACCCATGTAACAATCTGCATATGTACCCCTCAATCTAAAATAAAAGTTGAAATTATCTTGAAAAATAATGTCATTTCTTTCTCCTTAATTTTCTAATAGTGCCTAAGACAGAATTGGTCCTCCTATTTTATAGGGTTGTGGTGAAGATTAAATAGTATAAGGAGGAATAGGAAAAGCTGCTTCAATACTGAAAAGCATGTTCCAAGACTGATGGATTGTTTTTATGACTATCACCCGCTTCTCCCACCTAGAAGCCTCCAGATCTCCCATTGCCTACAGAATAAAAGCAATCCAAGTCCTCAGTTTCAGATCTCTCCTTGCAGCCTTATTGCACACTCTTCACCTTTTGCAAATGCAGCCTGACAACCCCAAACTCTGTCATCCTCATCTACCTCAACAGGGTTAACATGGCACCTTGCACAAATCTGTGCTGGATATGAATCCCGATCTGTTATAAGCCTTTTTGTCAATTCCATGGCTGGACTATAAGCTCCATAAAGGCGGGTGCTTTTTTGTTCACAAAGTAGGACGTGCATTTAGTAAATGTCTGTAGGAGTTAACGAATGAGTGAATGTGTATATCTTTATATGTCCCCAAACCTAGTGCCTCTGACAAAAAAAAGATGAATGAATAGAGGAATAAGAGGTTTCTGCTTCATTGCCTTAGAATTTATTACTTGCCATCTATTCCTAATGAAATATTAACAGTTCTTCAATATCCACCCTAAATTCCACCTTCTCCAAGGTGAGAAGAATCTCTCCATTCCCTGGGACCTCACAGTGCCTTGCACCTGGTCTACAACACTTATCTCAAGTTTCATTACATTTGAAGATTTTGTGTACTTGATACAGCCCCTCCATTAGATTGAAAATCTTGAAAGCAAAGGACCTATCTCATAACTTCTGTATCTCTTGCAGCACCTAGTAGACATAATAGTTGACAGATAGTAGTTGGTAGGTGAATGTATCTTATGTTGAATAGCTGCATTCAAAAACACCTGATTTCCTGAGGAAACCAAGGCAGAACTTCCAATTTGGCCACTTATATAACACTTGGATCAACCAGTCAGAAACTACACAGAGAACCTCTCACCTGATTTTCTCCTCCTCATCTCATGGGAGGCTTCCCTGGCCCCTGACTCACACTGAAATTCCAGCACACTCCTAACTCAGACCTCCTTTGGCGTTGTCCCTGCTACCCTTCCTGAACGTGTATCCCTGGGTCTCTGGTCTCTGAGTCACTTACCAGCTATGCTGCAGCTGCCTGCCGTGGGAGTACATCTGCAGGTGTCCAGAGATTCATGTGTCTTTGGACTAGGCAAGGCCTCAGGCATCATTCTGGGGGATGGTGTCAGACATTCTTGGAGCTTGGACATACTTGGTGCGGCTGGATACACCAGTGATTCATGAACAGTCGGGAATTGAAGTTCTTCTCTCCCCCAAGGAAAGGTCACTTTGCTGAATTTTCTTCTTTCTTGGTTGAACTATGCATTGACACATTTATTTTAGCTGCCTCCTGGCTTGATCATTTTTCAATTACAGTTTGTCCCTGCAGTTCTAGCAGAGGGTCAATGTAGGTCTCTTCCTGATCATAGATCCACATTTATAAAACCCTAATTAGGCATTTCCTTTAGCTGCTGTCACAGATTACTTGGTGGAAAAACTCTGCAGGCATAAGCTTTGTATGAGCTAAAAGATTGTTTAGACGCCCAATTAGGAGCTCACTGGGGCAGCTCCCAAGCATTCCTACCTTTGACTCTTGGCTGAGGCTGTTCTTCACACCAACAATGCTCTCCCTGTTGATGTTGGAGAATATAAATCTTGCCATCTTTTGTGACCCATATTAAAATGAGATAAAATGTGTCCCTTTTATAGTAACAGGATTTTTATTTATTTTTTATTACTCAGTGTGGCAAGGGTGCCATGCATAAGCTCTCTTAACCTCTGTGAGTAGGAGTATAAATAGGCGTAACCTTTGCAGAAAAAAACATTGATAATATGTATCAAGAGTCTTAAAAATACCTCCAGCCTTTGACCCAGTAATTCCATTTCCAGGAATCTTTCCTAAGGATATAATCAGAAATGCAAACAAATATTTATACACAAGAAATTCATTATAATACCATTTATAATAGCTGTTACATAATTAATATCTGGAAATAAGTATAGTATATAGCCATATTACACAGCTACTTAAAATGAAATTTTTAAAGGCATTTTAGTGCTGATGCTACATGAAATATGCAAACTCTCAAATTCTTATGCAGTGTGATCCAAATAGACCTTTCCCAGCTGTTGTTTCACGGATGTTTATAGGAATGCTATAAATAGAAAAGTTCTATTTTTCAGTAAGGTTGAAAAGTTATTATAGTTTGAGAATCACTGTTTTTATGCTGCGCATCATGGGGGCTGTTGTTCAATCTAGCATACTTTGGAAGAACTGGAGAAAAAACACCTAGGAAAAACATTGTAATGTTGAGAGGGGATGCTGCTACTGTTGAGTTATAGAATTACTTCTTCTTTGCAATTGTTTATGTTGTCCTACCAAAATGCTAAGTGTTGTAAATGAAATAATGCCAGAGGATTATTCTCCATCCAGCTTCAGCAGATGTGGATTGCTGTAGAGCCAGCTAAAGCACATGGATTCAACATGCCAGTCACACAGAGAGGATGGTCACCGTGAGGGCAGTGATGGAGGCCAGGATGGGGGAGCCCCCAAGTGCTGTCTGGTTGGTTCTTGGCACTCTACCTACATTCCACAGGGCATGGGGTATGGTCAGGGTTACCTCACTGTCACCCACTTCCTCCCTGCCCAGGGCCTGACCAGAGATTTCCAGATACCTCTGGGAATATCCTCAGGATGTGAACCGCATTCCAGGTTACCTCTGTTGCTTGGCTATCCTTGATTGCAAACCCCAAGCCCAGGGTGCTCCTACCTCTTTGGGTTCGGTGCTTGATTCAGATATGTAGTTCTCTACTAGTCTATCAGCCCTGCACTCTGTGTTCAGGTCTGCCTGTGTGCCACCTGTATGTCTTGGGGTCACCCCACCCCAATAACAGGCCTAGCTTGAGAGCCCTGCACCCAGCCCAGGGTTTGGTCCAGGGCACCGAGCATGAGGGGAGTGGAAACTGGGTCAGGACCTCTCACTGAGTATAACAGAACTTCACAGAGATCTGTCTGGACCCCTCCTGCTTACCTTCCAAAGTCCCCTAAAATATTCATCAGGCTTTATCAGACTAATGGGCTTCAAAAGGAGCAGTTTTCTGAGACATGAGACAGGACAATATAAAAAGAACATTAATGAAAAAAATCTTATTTCAAACTGAAAGGAGAAAGATTATTTAGCATCCCTGTTGGTGTTATCTGTTCATGAGAAACAGCATATTTAATCAAGCATGGAATTGTAGGGAGGGCTTTGATGCCCTCACCTTGGGGTCACCTTCATTCAGAACTCATCTGTCTCCTCTGCCACAGATGGCAGAGTCGATGGAGACAAGAGGATGCAGATGAGAGACATTTCAGAGGGGTCCTCCACAGGGTGTGGGGGGATTAGAGGGAGCGTGAAGGAGAGTCCAGCATGACTCCCAAGGCACTTGCTTAGGGATAGGACCGGGGGTGGCATCGTTCTCTAGTCTTGCCACCTTTCATGCCTCCCATCTCCCTTTCCAAGACATGCCCATCTTGGTTTCTATCTTGTCTCATGCTGTATGAGTTCATTCCCTTGAGGTTAAGAATTGTGACTCTCTTCTAGCCCCCCTGCATCTCCACTAATCCACTAAGCTGCCTTCTGTAGCCCTGGGCACTTGTGGTTTCCCAGAACAGAGGGTTTGGGGATTAAACAAGTTGTGTGGGTATAAAGTGAGATCCTTGGTTCCTGATCAGCCTAGCAATAATCAGAGCCAACTGGAAATTTTGACACAAGATTCCCAGCCCTGAGACCAGGAGTCTTGGGTTTAAAAGGTTGTGAAAGGGTGCCCTGTACTGAGTCCAGGCCAGTAGGACCCACTTGTGGTTCTTCTCTGCCTCCCCAGGTGCACCATGGTAAGGCTGAAAATCTCCCCATCATCCACTATCTGCCTGATATCGGATTCTTGGGTGTTTCTCTTTCCCAGTTTGCCCCATCATGTTTGATGACAAGCTTCTATAACTTCAGTGTATGTCAACTGTTATATTCCTTGAGTGCTTTGCAATAAAAATTGTTGACCCAAAAATGTGTTGTTCTCCTTTCATAGAGTAAAAGCCTGTTTGATGTTTTATTACATATTCAATTTTAAATGTTGCTTCTCTTTCCTTTTCTTAGATTTGTGACAAAGAGTGGCACTACTATGTCATCAATGTGGAGTTTCCTGTGGTAACCTTATACATGGATGGAGCAACATATGAACCATACCTGGTGACCAACGACTGGCCCATTCATCCATCTCACATAGCCATGCAACTCACAGTCGGCGCTTGTTGGCAAGGTAATCCTAAGTGAAACCCTTTTCTCTGACCTGTTTGTGAATAGTTCTTGGAAGATACTTGTAGAGAAAAAGGAAAAGCAAGTGGTGTGAGAATAGTCTAGAAAAATTACTACCCCTTACAAAAAAAAATTCAAGACATATAAAAATAAGTATAAATCTACAAACTAAACGTATTGTATAATAACAAGCTTAAGGCCAGATTTTGATTTTTAGATCGACATGAGCAGTTTCATGGTTGTCTCTGAGTTTCTAATGTATTTTATTATTTTGAAGTCTTATTCATTTCCAAACTGGGGCAATGCAGAGAAAAAAACAGTATAGAATCTTGTGTTCAAACTTCTGGTTGGCTCTGATGAGTGCTAGGCTGATCAGGAACCAAGGATCTCCCTTTATCCCCACACAAATTCTTTAAGCCCCAAACCCTCTGTTCTGGGAACTCACAAATGCCCAGGGCTTGCCCAGAGCTGTGGAAGGCAGCTTGTCCACAAGCCACAAGGCCACAGAAAGCCACTCTCAAGGTCAGCTCAGCCCTCAGTGCCTTCCCTGGCATCTAAGGACAGAGGCCCTTTATGCCTTCCCACTTGAAGGTATCTGCCCCTTCCTCTCTTCTTGTGCTGTTGCCTCTCTCCTAATCCCCAAACCCAGGCTAATCTCCTTGGGATCAGGAAACCCGGCTCTCCAAGCATGCGTGTGATCTTTCTGTCTCTCACTCAGGTCTGCTGGAGTCTTTGTTTCAGCTCCTTTAAGGGCTGGGTATGCTTTGAAGTACCAGTAAGAGAGCAGAAGGATATGAAAATGCTCCCCAAATAAGCAGATTAGTACTTTGAGATGTGGCACAACCTTGTGTTGATGGATTCTGTGAAAATTACCAAGATTTGTGACTTTGACTCTTCACCATGAGGGGCTGGGGATAGAGGTGGGCTATAGTATAAGAATATGCCGGCCGTGCACAGTGGCTCACGCCTGTAATCCCAGCACTTTGGGAGGCCAAAGCGGGCAGATCACGAGGTCAGGAGATCGAGACCATCCTGGCTAACACGGTGAAACCCCGTCTCTACTAAAAAATACAAAAAAATTAGCCGGGCATGGTGGCGGGTGCTTGTAGTCCCAGCTACTCGGGAGGCTGAGGCAGGAGAATGGCATGAACCCGGGAGGTGGAGCTCGCAGTGAGCCGAGATCGCGCCACTGCACTCCAGCCTGGGCAATGGAACGAGACTCCATCTCAAAAAAAAAAAAAAAAAAAAAAGAATATGCCTTCAGAAGACCAACTGACCCATGAGTGAACTAGGACTGACACATGCCCCTGTAGGTTGGACAAAGTGAGTTATGGGCAGCTCCATGTAAAAGAAGATGAAAAGGAGTACATACAGTGCAGCCTGGAAGCACTAGAGATTCAAAACCCAGGAAGGAGATAAGGTATAAATGAGGCAAGAGAAAGTGTTCTTGAGCTGAGCCCACCTACTTGATGTCTCACTTGTGTCACATGATAGCAAAATGTTTATTAAATATTTCAGTAGAGCTTGGCAATGAGAGTATCTTCAGTTGCAGGCTCCCCAGAATGCCAGGTAGACCGTGTCACATGGCAAGAGTTCATGAAACTATTTAGTATAGCAGGGCAGTGATTCAGAGGTTGCGCAGGAATCAATAACACTGAACACAACTATGCTAGAGAAATGTTCCCCTGGTGTGGCTTAGTGCCCTAGCCAGACACACTCCAACCAGCCTGTGGGTGTTATGGAACATAGCCTGGATAATGCCCCTAAGAAAACATTGCCCTAATCATGTCCCCTTCCATGTTACCATGCTTCTTCTCAAGAGCCCCTCAGAAACCACATTTGAATCCCTGTCACCCCAGTGTGCAATGGAAACCCACCCCCATGTCTGCAAGGCCAGCTACAGCAACTGCTGCTGAGTTACATGCCTACTGCCCAGAGTGGGGAAGTAGCCCCACAAAATAAAATGTGATTTTATAAGGAACTAAAATCAATAAGAATAAGTTAAGTTGCACTGCAATGACAACAAGCCCCAACTCTCAGTTCCTAAAATAATTCTCACTTCATATTTACTGAAAATCAATGAGGGCTCTTTTCCGCCTTATCCACAGTCAGTAGACAGAGCAGCCACATTGCATGGCTGGATATGTAGCAAGAGGAAAAGAAAACATGGCAAATCGTGCACAAACTCTTAAAACTTCCACCTACAAGTGATGCCAATAATTTTTATTCATATTTTATTGGCCAAAGCAAGTCAGAAGGCCACATCTAACTACATCAGGGCAAGAAAGTGAAATCTACACTGTATCTAGAAGAAAAATTGAAAATATTGTATTAACATTGATGAACACCACAGTTTGTCCACCAGGCCAATAGATATTTGTTTGGCTCTCTTTCCCACGTAGAAAATACTCCCATCCTTCCTTAAATGGGACATGCCCACATTCTCACTTCTTTGTGGTTCCAGGCTCAATGTCCAAGCTTTCCGAGTGATTTCTAGTGATCGCCTCATCAGGGTGAGATGCACAGAGGCCTACAGCAGGCCACATAGTAGCTGCACTTGATGTGGAGACCTATATACTAATAGGACAAATTACTTTCCACCAATGCAACCACCATGCCCTCCCCACCAACACACACACATTCATGCATCTGCATATGTGCACGTGCACACATACCATACAACAGTAGAATGAAGCAGACCAACCAGAAAACTCTTTCACTAAGAGGGAGAAATACAGCAGTCTTTGGTCCATAGCAATTCTGAAATCCCTTGGGGCAGATGTTATAAGGGCCCCTCCCTTAGGGTGGGAAATATTATTTGTGGCCCTTTATTCCATTCCCCGGAAGATATTTCCTTCCTTAGTATCCTTCTAGGCTACATCTGAAGAGGACATTGTCACTCCATAAATAGCTGCTCTACTATTGTATCTCATTACAATTTATTTAAAAGCCATTCCACAAAAATGATTTCAAATGGGAAACCCAAGTATACATTGACTTTCAAAGAACACAGTAGAAAGAATGATGACAAGGGTGTTCACCAAGTATTTTTGGTCCTTTTTCCAGATATACGCTAGGACTGATCTCCCTTAGAGTTAGGTGTGGTCATGGGACTTGCTTTGGCAAATTAACTGTGAGCAGAAGTGCCTTATGTTGTTTCCTTATGGAAACTTTAAAAGCTGTAATTGCAAGGAGGCCCTTTATACACATGGGGTGTTCACAGTTCTGAAATAAAATGTTATTCGTCACAATTTGTAGATAAGGAAACTGAGGCTCAGAGATGAAGGGGTTTACCCAAAGTTGCTCAATTGAATATGCCCAACCTCAAGCCTCCAATGCCTATGCTCTTTTCACTGTGTCTCACTGCCCTCTATTGCTAATTGGTCATTTTGCTTATGTAATTATGTCTGGAAAAAGGCAGGAGCTAATGTGTACTGATACAAATGCTACAAACCCTTTAACTCCTGAGACATATGACAACCCTGTAATAAATTTTTAAAAACACACAAGAATGCTGCGTTCCCCTTACTAATCTTTTAAAAACACACAAGAATGCTGCGTTCCCCTTACTAATCTTTTATTATGTAAAACCTAAGTGACCAACCAAGGAACAATAAAAGAGTTTCAGCTTTGGGGTTAAAAAAAAGTGACCTCAAATCAAATCCCAGCCTTGCCATCTACTAGCTGTACGGACCCAGCAGTATCCTTAACTTCCTGGAGCTTGTATTTTATTTTTAATCTATGAAATAAGAGTAAGACCCACCTCACAGAATTCCTGTAAGGACTAGATGCTAGGCACATCTAGTGTGCTTGGCATGTTTTGCTTGAATGATTGTGTAAATTTTAGAACATCTCCCTGTCCCCCTGCCTCCTCCACAACCTTCTCTGAGCCTCTCATCTAAGACCAACACTGTAGACAATCTGCAAGACCATAGCATGATCTAGTTTCTGTGGCCCTGGCTTTCCCATAGCTCCTTGCATGCACTGACTTTTTTCTCCTTCCTCAGGACTAACCCTCACATATAGACCCTGATGACCTCACAGGTTCACTGATGGTCAGAAAGGTAAATGAAGCTGGAAAATAATCAGAAGACAGGTATTGGAAGGTGGGGCTTGAGATGGAGATAGGAACCTTATCATGCAGTGTTTTAGGCCATGGGAAGATTTGAGTATTTTCTCTAGAGAAATGACAACCCATTGGTGAATTTTCAGCAGAGGAAAAATTCTTAAGATCTTTAAAATTGGGCTTTATAGAATGTCTAACAGTTCACTAGGAAGGTAAGGGAGGCAACACCATATGCTATGGCAGGGAAGTTTGGCATCCGTGTATTCAGGGTTCCTTATCACTGGAATGTACGTGAACCAGAAAGAGTGGAATCTGGGACAAGGAGATGAGACCAAACCCTGGGACACCACACTGCTTTGTTAAAGACCTTGGATTCCCACAAATATTCACATCCTCCTTGAAGCCACATTTTTGTCTTAGATGAAAATATCAAAAGATCTTTCAATAAGACCTGATGCTGTGAAATTAATGGCCTATGATGCAGCCCTTATCTCTGCATGTTTCTAAACCTTCTGAAGTCCACTTATATACATAGTATAATCTCTCTGTGTGAACCTTTAATTGCCTTTGGGCTTGCAGTTGTGGGGAGTGTTTCAGGTGCTTTTGAGGTTGGCAAGGGAACTAGCTCCCATTTGTGAAATTTCAGACGAGGCTTTAACAATGGAAGTAGAAAATGGTTTGATAGCAGCTGCTTGTTGGGATCTCCTGGGAACTGGCTCTAGCACTGTGGCTGGTCAGTGTTCTGCAGCCCTAATTAGACAACTAGTCCTATTAGCCAATTTGAAAGCCAAAATAAACACTGAGACTTCATTTCCATTAGTATTTATTCTAGCAATGAAAAAAAAATGGGACTTCATTTACAGTTAAGAAATGTTACCGGAAAGGCCTACAGCATGTGGCATCTCTCAATTGTAGGGAAAGGCCTGTGCAGTCGGGATGAACCTAGCATCACAAAAGAGGTCCCCTTCCTCTGTGTAGCTGTGGCTAATGCACACCCCCTTGCTATCATTTCTGTGTCCAGGATGACACAATATTCAGGATGGAGGCAGACCCTCTCCCATGGCTGAGCTCACCCAGTGCTGAGTCAGATCCTCCTGGCTTTAGACAAATACCAGGTTCTTTATTTCTCTCTGGGTCACAACGTAAAAGATCATTTAAAAGACTAAATTAATTTGTCCTTTTCCTTAGATTTCCTACTTATCCCATTTATAAGAACAAAAATTCAAGTTCTACTCATAAACAATAAAAATTGTATACTCACATCTGCCTCAATCCTGGACCTCTAAACTGGTCCTGATCACCTGGGTACTATAACCCAGCTGTGCAAGGGAGTGAGTCAGGTAGGCTGCTGGTTGTGCCAGACCAGTGCCTTAAGGGAGCCCTGGGGTTTCCAGGAGATGCTGCAGCACGTGGAGGTCCAGGGCATCTCTCCCCGTGCCATGACCAGAGCAACTCTGTTTTACCTATTTTGTGTTAGCCGTTAATGAAATGGCTAAGCATGTTTGAAGAACTACAGTTCTAAGCACTTTCTCACAAAGCTACCACCCTGCTCCTTGCCTGATCCTCATCTATTCTTGGTGGAGATCTCATCTCAGGGTAGGCTACCTGTGACTCCACTCTAGTGATTGCCTCAGCCCCTGTCTCTGTCAGGGGACTCTCCTCCAGTGTCATGGGTTGTAACCTTCCTAGAGTGTCCAGCCTTGCCTATGATACCTCCCTCTAGTCTTAGATAAGGAAGCCTTTCTACCCTGGATCCTGGTCTTGCTGAATCCTACCCTCTACTTAACAAATAAGGCAGCAGGATGTAGAGAAGCTGTTTCTAAATATTAGAGCCTGTAAATAGACAGATGCAGAATCCTCACTGTGGCTTTTGGGAAAAGCCAAGGGAAAAGCCAAAGCAAAGAATAGGAAGGGTCAAAAAGGGATAAGAAGGCAGAAATAACCCCTGAGAGTTGCAGTAAGCAGTAACGTACGATTTGTGGGTATAGGGAAACTGGAGCCTCATGTGGTCCTGAGATCATGTGGTTGCACATTTTCAGGTCATTTTCTTCTGCCAGACAACAGCGTTAGTACAGAGGCTTGGAGTGCATGCCTTCATTTAATAAGCTTGGTCTAATTTAGTACAAACTTCTCTTAATAAAGTCTGTGTTTAAATTATCCTGAGTCCCTAGGGTGTCTACAGCTGGAAGAAAGAGGCACATGCTAGCAGAGTCTGCCTTACATTCAGGTCATGTTTTCCAAGGAGTTCTTCATGAAGCTCCAGTCCTACAGGATACCCTTTCACAAAAAGGCCAAGGTCAAGTCGGGGAAACAGGATAAGCCATTCCCAAACCACCATATTTGAGAGTCACAATGCATGTTCACTTATTAAAGGCTCTCAAAAGTACTCCAGTAAAGCAATCTGTTTGACTTTGATTCAGGTTCCTCAATCTTATGCAGCCATAGAACTCACTCTGTGAAACATCTTAAAGGAGTTATTAATGCAGTTCTTCCCTATTAGGTCAAGAGTTTGCAGGGGGCAAGGGCTAGCTGCTCTGAGAGATCCTCTCCTCTGCCTTCCTTGACTTCAGGATCTATAGAAGGTTAATAATTAATGTTTGTTAAATTATATCCTATTCTTGAGGCTACTTTGACAACTTCAGGATCTATAGAAGGTTAATAATTAATATTTGTTAAATTATATCCTATTCTTGAGGCTACTTTGACAAAGGTATGTGGCTCATGTTCTGGCACACACAGAGGTAACTAAAAAGATGTCTCTTAACATTGTCTATATTAAAAATCAAGAAAAAATTGTTTTAGGTCCTGGAGTCAATTTGATATGGGGGTGCATTTGGTGTGAAGATGATACAGATTAAAATCAAGTTTAAAGTTCAGTGAATCATGTCTGGAAACAGAGTATCACTGAGTTATAATTTTAACTTTGTATCAATTTTGAAGATGTTATTAATTAGAAGATTTGATGAGGGTCTGAAAGCAAAAACAGTATCGTCTCTGAGATACTCAGTGGGAGAGGGGAAGAGACCCTAAAAAACAAGACAGAAAACTCACCTGATGCATCCCATCCTGGGGTTTCTTGGCACCTTGCTCTCTATCACTGACTGCCAAGTCTGAGTTGTACGCAGCCAGTGCAGTGCTGAGCATCTTACATGTGTTCTCACTTAGTCCTCACAACCTGATGCATAGGCATAAGTATGACCCCCATTTTGCCAATGAGGAAACTGGGATTCAGAGGTAAGTACCTTGCTGCGAGTCATGTAGAGCTGGACTTGAATGCAGGTCTATGCCACCAAAGCCCTCGCCCCTATGTATACTGCTGGACCACCTCAGCCAAGTAAGGAAGGCCAGAGGATTCCGGATTTACCCAAACTCCCTTGGCATTTTTCACACAGATTGAGCAGAGTCAATCTGAGGACTAAAGATTGACAGGCCCATCAGACATCATGTTTAGTAGGGGGAGGGGTGAATTTGGAGTCAGTAGAGAATTCTAGAACCTTCCTACTGCTGCTTATTTGCTCTAGGTCTTTGAAGTCAGTATCTTCCTTTTTCAGGCCCTTAGTTCCTTCACGTGAAGAACAAAGCAACATTCTGGATGATAGATGAAAGCCCTTCCAACTCCACGAGTTTAGGTTCTCAACCCCAGAGAGCTGACATTTGTTGTCATCGCTAAGTTGTATGTTTCATTCACTGTACTGCTATATAAATATGTGCTGGAAAGCCTGCAGAGGCAGAGTCATAAAAATGAAAGGGTTGAGAAAGCCTGCTGGGAGTGTGCCATGGCCAGCCGTGATGACAGGTCATCTGTCCCCACAAGCCACCTGCAGCCTACAGCTGTGTGAGCATCCCCCGGGATTGTGTGGACCGAGTTTTAAAGCTGCACTTATAGGGGTCTATTACACACTTCACTTAGTCTTTGCATTCCACAGGTATCTACATCACTGAAATGAGGAAATGAGAGAAAGCGAGATTTCAGATGGTCTCGTTATTTGCATTGCTTAAAATTGACACCCAAGCATCCATGAAATTGTGTTCATCAAGGGGCATCCCCAGGAAACAGCCATACACAGAGCAGCATCCAACCCCAGCAAGAGGATTCATGGCCCCCAGTCCTTTCCATGAGTTTCTTAGACTAAATAGCCATGGGAATGACAGCTGGAAAGACCAGCAGCATCCTGAACACACTTTGCACAGGAAGAGACTTAGTATGTTCACACTACATAGATGCGTGCATATTTTTACCTCAAAATAGAAGAGGTAGACACACTGGTTCAAAAGCTGTATTTATCATGTGTGAGCCCCACCTCTCAAATGAAAGGAATCTGGGGGAATGAGTGTGTAGCTCTTCATTCCTGATGCAAACTCCGACTCAGAATAAGACAGTCTGCATTAAATTGTGTTTGCTAAATACAACTGTTTTTTAAGACAACCATGTATTCCAGCAACCTTAACACCAGTTTCTGGGAGTTGCTGCTGAAGCCATTCTGTGTCCACAGAGCCCACTATAACTGAATATTTTCCCCCAGCATTGAGTCAGTCCCAACCCATCCCCCTCCAAGAAATTCCCCCTTGAACCTTCCAAGCCACATCTCATTGTCTGGCATGTAGGCCAAAGGCTTGGAAGCAAGCTTAGGAGTTTGAATCTTGGCTTCACTCACTTCTGGTTATGTGGCTTTGGTCAAGTTACCTAACTTTGAAAACCTCATCTATTAAAGTTTTAAGTGTGGCAGATAAGAATCTCAATACACAAATTTAAAAATTGTCTTTCTCACATCCAGCCTTGTTTCAGTTCAAGTCCCCAGTCAACCTGAGTGGGGGAGATTTAAGTGCTGCTAATTTACAATTATTCATTTTCTGTAGGGTGCTTGGCTGATTGCAGGGAGATTTGCAAAGTGCTAGAGTTTTCAGCGGAGCCTCCAGGAACTTTTCCATGCATTGTGGAAATTGTGCTCACCAGTTCTGATTCTCGGTCACTAATGGTCTGTCAGAACTGGCAGCTGTCGGGATTACCTTACTTAGGGGGCACACAAATATTTCTGCTGCTTCTCATGCTTTCTCTGTAGGAACATCCGTGGTCCATCTGCCTAGATGTACCAGGCCAGCATTCCTTGTCGGCATCACCCCTGCCAGGGCTCAGCCCAGGAAGCAGGCTTCAGATGTCTCTGCTCTGCACCTCGGATGTCTTCGCCCCTTCCCTGCCACAGTCACACACCCACCTCCATGTCTAGGGTGTTCTTTATGACTCTGGGAGGAGGCCAGATTCTCTTATTCTGTTTTTCCCCCAAAGGCTGATCTATACGCAGACCTCCTCCACCCTCCTCATGGTTTAGGCTTCTGGAAACCACACCAGGCAGAGACTCAGCTCCAGGCCCCTTCTACTCTTCTCTCTGCCATGACCCTCCCTGCGACAATGAGCTAGAAGCCAGGGTGTATTTAGATGGAAGGTAAGGTAGAAGAAACAACTAGGGAAAAATTAAAAGAACAGAAGCTAAGACTTCAAAAATACTGTCCCTCCACTTAAGGATTAAGTAAAATAGCATGTGAAAGAACTTGTCATGTTTCAAGGGCCTAACAAATGATGGTTATTTTTTTTCCCTCTTACCTGTTGGACACATTGCCTATATCAATTGTTTGGAAATGAATCATATCCTGCCTTAGAACATCTATCATACTGGCAATTTACTCATATTTTTATTTTATTTTCAGTGTCAATATGTTATTCTCTCAAATCCATGTAAGCTCCTGAAGACCATGGTTCACATCTTAAATTAACTGAATCTAACAGAAGGCTAGTCATACAGAAAATGCTTTAAAAATGGGTGCAGATCTAGCATCAGGAATCCAAAATCATGTTTGCAAACATTTAAGGAAGATTCTTTATGGAAAAAATCAGGTTAAGATGATTCATAAGCATGTTTATGTCTAATTGTTAACCAACAGAGGAGTCACGTGGCCTATGCAGCCCATGCAGACACCCTAGATATTCAAAGGAAAGATTTTTCAATATATCTATTATTTTTTTTTAAATCCTGCATCATAACCACCTGAGTGCAAATATATTTCAAATTTTATACTGGCCTCCTGTTGAAAAATGCTCATTGAATCAATTTCCTGGAGCCTTGTCACTGATAAATAGAGTGCATCACACATCTGATATTCTTGAGTCAAAAATATAGAACATGAGTGTATTTTGCTGAGAGAAGATGGCTTATAGGAAACTGTCTTAGCATTCAAGACAGTCACAAAGCTTGGCCTTTGAGGCTAAAGCTGCTGAGTGAGCAGTTGAAGAGGGTTAGAAGATAGATCCTAATGGGCTTTCTGTCAGTCTCATTCTAGGCCTGGTTGCCTGGCACCACCAGGAAACCTCAGCTGGTCCTGTGCATGGATGGATGTACTCACACTATAGGAACACACATTTTACCACTTTCTACCGGTGTGGCTTTTGGTCACCTACTTCCCCTCTGTAAGCCTAAATTTGTTCATCTATAACTATAGAATGAGTATCTACCTCACAACAGTTTTATGAAGATTCCATGAGATGATGTACCCTGAGGATATCACATGGTGTTGGGTACATATTGTATGCCCAGTAAATGATAGTAGTTGTTGTTGGATTTGCTGCTCCACGGAGGAGGAGGCTGTGAAGAGATGACCAACTGGATGCCCTGGAGAGGAGCAGCTCCACCATTCACACACAGGCTCACACCCTCCGCCTGCAGATCAACAGAGATGCCCTTTTGCTGGGACGGGAACATGCTAATGGCTTGAAGGAGTACTTTATGCATGGGGTCACTGAAGATTTAAATCAGAAGACCCCAGTTAGCTTTCCCATAGCCGTGGGCCATCTCAACTAATTCCTCAAAGCCAAATCTGTTTAGAACTTTTTGTAAACTGAGCACCTCAAAAGAAACTTATCCTTTATTTCCAAAGTGAAGATGTTTTGGGTGGCAAGTAACAACACTGTGGGTCAAAATGGCTCAAACCATAAAGATGGATGAGTGGCACCCCAGGCTGAGAACGTCCCAAGGCAGGGCAGAGAGCAGGGCAGCTCAGGCTCTGCTCTTCCCTGCTGGGGCTCTCCTGCCACTGCCCTTCTCCATGCAGGGCCTTGGTCATCACCAGTCTGCTGGCAAGATAGCTGCAACAGCCAGCCTCCCATCTTCCCAGAACTGTGTCCAGGAAAGAGAGCAAGAATTTGTTCCAGAAACTTTCAGAAGAGAAAAAATGGAAGCTTTTTATACAGAGGTTGACAATCAACTTATTTCATGATACTGGCCTCAATTTGTTCTCATGATTCTTCCTGGATCAATTCCTGTAGCTTATTGAATGCCAGGTGATGGCTTCATCCTGGGTCCCAGGTCCACCCCTCAATCAATCACAGGTGCAATAGGGAAGGAATAATCTAATTAGCTTGAACTAAAGACAGTCTGTCTCTGGAGCTAAAGTCAATAACCCTAAACTTTAGGGCTGCCTTTGCAAGAAGGAAGGAGTGAGATGGATATTGGAAAGACAACCACAGGGCCCACCACTCTGCTGATATTCAAATCAACATCTCCTTCAATTCAAGCAAACAATTACAAAACGTCCGCTATGTGCCAGGCACAGTGCAGGATGCCAGAAAATTGCAAGATGCCCAGTGTTGTTGACAGGAATAAATGAGCTGACTTATGCAAAGTGCCTGTTGCAGCACTCAGCCCCTAACACTTGCTCAGTATTATCTTCATTAAAATGAATAATGCATGAGTGATACCTGCCATCCAGGAGAGAAAGACTCAAACTAATAAATTATAACAGTGTGCACAGAGTGACAAGAGTAAGCCTGCGGGTGGCACAAAGGATAGAGATCACAAGAGGAGTGTGCAAGAGGCCCAACCCCACAAGAAGCTATAGCCCAGTGGTTCTTAACCTTGACTTCACATTCGATTCACCTGAGAAGCTTTTAAAACTCCCCACACCAATTAAGTTAGAATCCCTGGGGATGTGACCCAGCACCAGGAATCAGTTTGTCTTTTTAAGGATCTCCAAATGATTAAAATGTGTAGCCAAGGCTAAGAACCACCATATTTTAGGCTACTGAGGACATAAACACCCACATGCAAACCATTAGCTAATAATGCCAGGTGGTGAAGGGTATGTTAAAATGAACGTTCTAAGGCTCAGGGTGGGGAGGGGGCAGGGTGGAGTAGGGCTCCAGGCAGAGAGAGGGTATGCAGGGGAGGGGTCCCAGGAGAGGGAGACACATGGTGGGCAGAGGGGGATCATGGAGGGCTTCCATGAGCATCAGGAAACAGGAGGCTTAAGGGGCCTTGAAGAACTCTGAGATTTGCCTAATCTAAGCTATTTAGGGGTGGTGTCTCAGTATAAAGAGGAATGGGTTTAAGCAAAGGCATATGGGCAGACATGGAAGGTATATGGATCTAGATTCAAACAGGAGAAAGAAAACTATAATTTCAACAGAAAAACCTTTCTAAAAATTATAAATATGGGGATTGGAGTAACATGGGATTAGTGGGTAAGAACTCTAAAGAGAACTCTAAAGAACATAGGAATAGATTATATAAGGACCATCCACTACCCTCAGGGCTGAGGTAGAGCACCCCAGAAAAAGCCAGCCCACCCCCAAGCTGAGGTCTAGACTTTGTTGGCACAGCATGGCTTGAAGAATAGCAGAGAAGTTGCAGGGGTGTCATTTGTTGGAAGTCTGGCCTCTAGAGAGCCAGAGAAGACTTTCACAGAAGGTGTCCCACTGGAGCACACACTGTTAGCAACTGCTGGCAGCAAAGAGGGCTGGGGAAGCTGCTGGCCAGGTGTTGCAAGAGCCAGGCATTGGGGAAGCTGAAGGAGCCACCAAGAGAGCCCAGGAGAACCTGGAGGCAAAACCCAGAAGTGTGCCCTAGGAGCAAACAGAGGCCCAGAGAGCTTATGAAACCTTCCCAGGAAACTAGCAAAGCTGGAATTCAACCCAGGCCCATCTTTTCTATGCGTTGTTCTTCTTCTCTGAACAAACAGTACAAGATCCAGGCTGGGAAGGTTGCTCAGAGATGGAAGGAGCCTGTGCTCAGTAAAATCAGTGAGGAAGGTCTCCTAGGGAAGGCGAGGCTTCAAATGGACCTCAGAGATCCGATTTGGAAAACCAGGGAGAAAAAAGGAGGGAGTGGATTCCAAGCTGGCATGGCAACACAAGCACTTGGAACACTTGCACATGGGTAAAAGTGGACCTGAGCTCCCATAGGACTTAGCACAGCCAGGAGAGAGTATGACAGTAAAAGAAAGCAGGCAATGAGAGGAAAGCCAAAGGGAGAACCACAGGAATCAGGGAAGTCCTTTTATGTAAAAGGCCTTGAATTTAAGCACGGGTGGAATCAACACATTGTGAGAAAGCCAGAGCTCATAAATGCAGCATTTCTAGTATTCCTCAGTCTCATGCCAAGCTCTCAGTGGAATGTAGGGAAGCAAATGCGAGCTTTGAGGTCAGACAGACCAGAACTAGAGCTCCAGCTGCAGTGTTTAGCTGTATATGTCCTGGGGCAACTACCTTAATGTTTTTGAGTCTCAGGGCTCTGCACCTGCCAGGTGAAAACAATGCCACCACATCATTGCAGGCTTGTTCAGATGAAGTCCCTGACAGACTGGCACAAGGCAGGCCTGAAGTTTAATCAGTGACACCTTCTCCCTATTTTCACTCACGAGAGCCCTCCAGTCTCCTAAGACAGTGTGCCCTTGAAAATAACCTTTAAAATTCAGAAATGCCAGGATTCCTAAATCTGGTGCAGCCAGGGAATGCCAGGGTATTAGCAGCGTATAACTTCTTACTGAGATTCTGGCTACTGTGTTCATCACTCAGAAGGAAAAGCTCAGGTTCAGGGGACACACAATCAAGGCGTCTTTGGCTGCATGGCCAAGTGGTGCCTTGAGGTGCTGTTTCCTACCCAGTCTTCACAGGGCAAATGATGGTGTTTGTTTTTTCAGGAGGAGAAGTCACCAAACCACAGTTTGCTCAGTTCTTTCATGGAAGCCTGGCCAGTCTCACCATCCGCCCTGGCAAAATGGAAAGCCAGAAGGTGATCTCCTGCCTGCAGGCCTGCAAGGAAGGGCTGGACATTAATTCCTTGGAAAGCCTTGGCCAAGGAATAAAGGTAAGGCAGGAGCTGGCATCACTCCCAATAAGACAGGGATTCATGATGCCCAGCCTGCACAGCGCCAGCACACGCCAGGAAATGGAGCTTCCTGGAACGTTACACAGAAATGGCAACAAGGCAAAGGTGCAGCCACGAGATGGGGGTTCCGGAGGGAGATTAGTAACCATGACTTCCACAATGGGCTTCTGCTGCCATCTTCTGAAACTCCTAGATCAAGCCCTTGTGTATAATCAGTCCATTACCCAAAAGCAGGCACATGTTCAATGTCCACCTGGAGGAAGTTGTTGTATTTCATTTGTTTGTGCGTTAGTTGGCTGCTCTGTTGTTTATTTGGCTAAAGGAACCAAAGGATGCAAGGATGCACATAAAAAGTAAACAAAAACTTAGGACCTTGTGAAATACAAATTAAAAAGGAAAGCGAAAACCTGGGTGAGGTAGAATGAGAAAGCAGGTATGGAGGTCATTCTGTCTTACATTGTCACTTCAAGGCACAAGAAACATGGGCTGCGCATGGTGGCCTGTGGCTCACGTCTGTAGTCCCAACACTTTGGGAGGCTGAGGCAGGTGGATCACAAGGTCAGTAGTTCGAGACCAGCCTGACCAACATGGTGAAACCCCATCTCTACTAAAAATACAAAAATTAGCCACACATGGTGGCGTGCACCTGTAATCCCAGCTACTCAGGAGGCTGAGGCAGGAGAATCATTTGAACCCAGGAGGCGGAGGTTGCAGTGAGCTAAGATCGCACCAATGCACTCCAGCCTGGGCAGCAGAGCCAGACTCCATCTTAAAAAAAAGAGGAAGAAGAAGAAGAAGAAAAAGAAAAAAAACATGAACAGTTCATGATTTGTATTGTTTATGCAAAATAGAAATATTCAAGTGATCTCAGAGAAGCAAAGCTTCTTCTGACTGAAGCTTCTCTCGTTCTCTCATTTGAGAGAAGCTCCTCCCAAAGAGGGCAGGGAGGGATGTGACAGACTATGGCCTCAGCAGGCACCCCAACAGCCAGGGTCACTTTCTAACCTCACCTGGACTTACAGAGCGAGCACTTGTTGGCACCTGCCCATGAGGTCCTGAATAAAGAGCAGAGCCAATATCACTGTAGCCCCCACTCAATCATAGTGGACCCCAGTGTGAAAAAACAGTCCCTCGGCCTCCTCTGGAAGTTGGAACAGACCAGCCTGTGCCTCCTGGAGCACAGGACAGCCCCATGAAGCCCCAGAAGCTATGAGGGTTTCTGTCCTTGGCCATTTCCCCAGAGAATGTGACAAAAGCAGAGGTTTCTCAGCTGGCCTAACATCCTTGACCCAGTACTGCCCATGGGCAGCTCTGCCCTGCCTTGGGCCTGCCTCTCCTGGACAGGGAGTCACCACTCCAGTAGAAATTTCCAGATCAGTAGCCTACTGCTAGTCAAGCTCTGGTGCTAGGTGCCCTTGGAAAAGCTGGTGGTCTGAGAGTATTCTTTAAATTGCAGCCACTTCCATAATCGTTCCATGGATATGCTAGTATTCTGTTATAGGCTAGTTTCTGAGATATGAAAAGAAATGTTCTGAGGAACTCAGTGACCCAAGCAGACATTTGTAATCCAGTTGATGACTACCACAATAATTATGAACACTAACATTTCCTGAGGGTCTCCCAAGTACCAGACACTGTTTGTTCTAAACGTTTTATGGGTATTGATTCCCAGAACACTTGTACATGAGGAACGAAAGACTGAAGGAGATGGGAACTTGCGTAAGATCCCAGAGTTAGTGATGAGTAGATTCAGTCCCACTCCAGAGATCCAGAACCTTGGAGACTGGCAGTCAGGGAAGCCTCCTTGGATGAGGTGATGAGGCCTGAGTAGAATGTTTAAGAATAGGTAGGAACCAGCTAGGAAAAAGGCAGTAGTGGAAAGGGGATGGGAAAGAGGGAAGTCATTCCAGGCAGATCCAAAAGTGTGAGTGATGAGAGAGGGCTGAGGAATAGCACAGTATTCACTAGAACTTCAACAAAGCCAGTGTTATGAGTCCCAAACTGCAGGAGGAAAAAGATGGAAGGTGCCAGAGAGGTAGGCAGAGGCCATATCAGAGCCCACCTATTAACCATGTTTAGGTGTTTACGTTTTTTTCTGTCAACAATGGGAAGCCACTGAAGGCTCAGGCAAGGGAGCATGATCTCAGCATATGTGGGGTTTAGGATGCTCACTCTGGAGACTGGGTAGCATGGGGAAGATGGGAGGAGTACAAAAGTCATGGCAAGGCAAGATTGACTTTCCAAAACAATGTTTCATGGATTAGATACACACACAGAGTTGCTCTCAATAGCTAATCACTTGTCATTGGGGCAAGCTCAAAAGACCATCTCATATTGGAAAGGCCAGTCTTGACGTACTGTTTGTGTTGCTTCCTTAGGGTTTTGTCAATCCAGTGATGCAAAAATCTGTCTTCCTGATGTCTTCTCTTTTTCTGATTCTAAATTTACTCTTTGCATCTGCGTAGATCTTCTCTGCTCTGAACTGTTCCAGGCAGGCACAGTTCCAGGGTACTAGGCCCCATAGAGCAAAAACACAAAGATGCTGGGCTCAAAAGTCATGCCTTTTAAAAACTATAAATTAAAGAACCATAGCAATTTCTAGAGTCATCATAGCCTATGAAAAGAGGAGGTGCTAAAATAAGTGGCACAAAAAACTGTGGGGACTGAGGAGGCTAATCTGATTTTTCAGGATACTGAAACTTTTTATAACCTTTTTATAACCAAGCCACTGCAAATGATCCTCTTCCATTCCTAGGGCATGGCTGGTAAGAACTAGAGCACCGTGTGAGAAGTTAATAAGACGCCCAATTTATGGAGCACCCACTGGGGGCTATTGTATGTTCATTATCCCTACTTCTCACAACAAATTAAATACTATGACCCCATTTCAAAACTAAGGGGACTGGGGCTCAGGGATTTGTCCAAAATCAGTTCATGCTCTTTCTTCCATATCAGCAACTCAGATTAGAAGACATTCTTGAAAATCATTAAAACAAATTTCTTTCCTTTCCTCCCTCCCTTTACTCCTCATGTCATTTCTGAATAATGACTACTATTTTATTGGACAGTTACTGCCCTCCTCCCACCTCTCTGGCTGGTCGAGAGAATTGAGGCCCTTTTGTGATTAAGGAAATTCTCTATCTGCTCACAGGGACAAGCCCATGTTTCTTGCTTTACCTGTCTTCTTCTGAATCATGCATATTTATGAATATTTCTCCAGCATGTCTGGAGTCCTAAAATGGTTTAGTGGCTGCTGTATTGTATCCATACAAGATACTGTGGAATCACCACATTCCTGAGTAATACCCTGTTCTGATTTTCATAGCACAATCCCTGCCAATTTTTCATCTCCATCATGTGGAAGAGTGGGAAAGAGCAAGAACTTTAGAACTAGACACTCCTAGGTTCAAATCACTGCAGGAGGAAAAAGGTGGAAGGTGCCAGAGAGGTAGGCAGGGGCCATATCAGAGCCCACCTATTAACCATGTTTAGGTGTTTACGTTTTTTTCTGTCAACAATGGGAAGCCACTGAAGGCTCAGGCAAGGGATCATGATCTCAGCATATGTGGGGTTTAGGATGCTCACTCTGGAGACTGGGTAGCATGGGGAAGATGGGAGGAGTACAAAAGTCATGGCAAGGCAAGATTGACTTTCCAAAACAATGTTTCATGGATTAGATACACACACAGAGTTGCTCTCAATAGCTAATCACTTGTCATTGGGGCAAGCTCAAAAGACCATCTCATATTGGAAAGGCCAGTCTTGACGTACTGTTTGTGTTGCTTCCTTAGGGTTTTGTCAATCCAGTGATGCAAAAATCTGTCTTCCTGATGTCTTCTCTTTTTCTGATTCTAAATTTACTCTTTGCATCTGCGTAGATCTTCTCTGCTCTGAACTGTTCCAGGCAGGCACAGTTTCAGGGTACTAGGCCCCATAGAGCAAAAACACAAAGATGCTGGGCTCAAAAGTCATGCCTTTTAAAAATTATAAATTAAAGAACCATAGCAATTTCTAGAGTCATCATAGCCTATGAAAAGAGGAGGTGCTAAAATAAGTGGCACAAAAAACTGTGGGGACTGAGGAGGCTAATCTGATTTTTCAGGATACTGAAACTTTTTATAACCTTTTTATAACCAAGCTTGGTTATAAAGGCTTGGTTATAAGCCTTTTTATAACCAAGCCACTGCAAATGATCCTCTTCCATTCCTAGGGCATGGCTGGTAAGAACTAGAGCACCGTGTGAGAAGTTAATAAGACGCCCAATTTATGGAGCACCCACTGGGGGCTATTGTATGTTCATTATCCCTACTTCTCACAACAAATTAAATACTATGACCCCATTTCAAAACTAGGGGGACTGGGGCTCAGGGATTTGTCCAAAATCAGTTCATGCTCTTTCCTCCATATCAGCAACTCAGATTAGAAGACATTCTTGAAAATCATTAAAACAAATTTCTTTCCTTTCCTCCCTCCCTTTACTCCTCATGTCATTTCTGAATAATGACTACTATTTTATTGGACAGTTACTGCCCTCCTCCCACCTCTCTGGCTGGTCGAGAGAATTGAGGCCCTTTTGTGATTAAGGAAATTCTCTGCTCACAGGGACAAGCCCATGTTTCTTGCTTTACCTGTCTTCTTCTGAATCATGCATATTTATGAATATTTCTCCAGCATGTCTGGAGTCCTAAAATGGTTTAGTGGCTGCTGTATTGTATCCATACAAGATACTGTGGAATCACCACATTCCTGAGTAATACCCTGTTCTGATTTTCATAGCACAATCCCTGCCAATTTTTCATCTCCATCATGTGGAAGAGTGGGAAAGAGCAAGAACTTTAGAACTAGACACTCCTAGGTTCAAATCACTGCAGGAGGAAAAAGGTGGAAGGTGCCAGAGACGTAGGCAGGGGCCACATCAGAGGCCACCTATTAACCATGTTTAGGTGTTTAAGTTTTTTTCTGTCAACTGATTATTAGCTGGGTGACCTTGGGCAAGACACGTTAATCCTTTAAGCCCGAATCTCTTGTGTATAAAATAAATTGATATTATTTACCTTGTAGTGATGTTGTAAGAATTTAATTATACATCTAAATTATATATTACATATAAATATATATTATATATTTAAATATATATTATATATTTTAGTGTATACATAATATATATCCTAGCAAACCTAATAGACTCTCAACAAATTATAGCTCCCTTTTGTGACAGAAGAACTTCTAAAGTGGCAAATCTTCATCTGGCCCCACTCAGAGAAATGGTTCAGCTGAATCTGTAAGTCAGAAAAATCAGAGTCCAAATTTACTTAATATGGACCATGGGCAGGCAGGTGTCATAGGGAGCAGCAGGGTTCCTATCAAGTCATAGCCAGCCTTCTCTCAAGGAACAGGCCAGGGCTTTGAGCAGGGACTTCCCTGATGGTCCAGCCTGCTGTGGGGCTGCAGATGCCAGTCGAATCTCTAAGAGAAGTCTCTAATAAGAAGACCATTCTGCAAGGGCTATCTGTCTAGCACCTTCTTGGCTCAACGAAAGGCTATGGTCACAGCACAGATACCCAAGGGCGAGTGAGCAATGCCACCCTTTGCTGGGTCCCCTAGCATGTCACCATCTCCTGCCCTGGTAGAGATGCAAGTACAAACAGGTATCTTGTTTAATCAGAAACCCACCCACAGAGCTGGGAATACCGCAGTTTAAAAAAAAAAAAAAAAAAGAACACCCAAAACCTGCTCTGGAGGTTTTATTGACCCTGCAAGAACTATGCTGATGGCTAGGCCAGTGCCCACATTCATGCGCTGTGACAGACCTCCCAATGCTGTGGCACAGACCAGGGTATTAACTGGAGATCCAACACACTCTCCTGGTCTCTCTACAGGTGGCTGCAGAGAGATTGTGCCCTCTGCTGATTGCCATAGGATACTGTTTATCCATCCCTCTAGAAGAACCTCTTGATTTTCCTAGGCAGCCCTCATGTGAGGCTCAGAGACCAACCTCCACTGCAGACCTATCATCTACCTCATGCTTTCGATGTGCTAGACCCTGCAGTGATGCTGAGGAAAAGTCAGTAGCCCCTGCCCTTGAGGTGCTCACAATCTGCTGGAGGATGCAGACGGACAGATAGCAACAGCACAAGACTCTGCTATAGGAGGATGGTGCAGGGGATGAGGCTGGAGAAGAGGAGCAGAAAAACCTTTTAAAACATAGATGGTATTTGTAGAACAAGGACCTTGGGTCTTCTCAAATCTGAAACTGATGACTTGCGAATACCTCATAACTAATCGTGACTCACTAGCGTGAGGCAGCTCCAGGAATAAGCACTCTAAGCTGGTGAGGCCTTCCAGGCAAGAGAGATGCCAACTCAGACACTGACTGTGGCATCAACCATGCATATGCCTGGGGGCTCCAAGATCTAGCACCAGAGGGTGGTGCTCTTGGCCTGATGTCACGGCTCAGTGAGACACCGCTCCTCAGGACTTGGAAGGACAGAAGAGAATTGTGTCACAAGGGTACAAGAGCAGTGAAGGCTGGGGCACAAAGACTCAGTGCTGGCATAATTACAATAGTAAGAATGATCATCCAAGCTATCATATATTTAATATCTTGTAAGTGCTAGAAACTTTATATATATTATCTCATTTAAGACCCACACAGGTAGATATTAATTTCCCCATTATTTAAATGAGGAAATGAAGTCTAAGAGGGAAAAGGAAATACTCCAAAGTTGCATTTTGTACTAGAACTGGAATATTACAGTCCACAAAGCCCATGCTCTTTTAAAGATGCCTTATGACCTTGGGGAAGTGAGAATCAGGCCTGGGAAGTGCTAAATTTTCCCAAACAGGCTAAGCTGTTACAGTAACATATGATCCCCAAACCTCAAGCTTCACTGGCTTAACATGACAAGTTTAGTTTTCTCTTATACTCAGTTAGGGAGGTGGGGTGGGGTTTCTGCATAGAATGCTGCAAGCCACTGAAGTGGAGGAAAAAAAGAGGCTCGAGCATCTTTCAGGATCTTTCACTGCCTCAGCTCAGAATTGCCACACCTCCCTTCCTCTCCTGCCCATTGGCCAGAGGTAGTCATGTGACTCTGGCCACCTGTGGTACAAGGTGACTGAGAAGTGTAGCCTCCGCAATGCCCAGGAAGGAAAGGAGAACAGGGTTTGGTGAGTACTGATAATGACTCCCACAGCGCTTCACTAAAAAGACAAGTGAAAGAAAAAAGTCCTTTTGGGGAGTGACAGGAGATGATAGTGAGTAAAATGTAGGCTCGAGAGCCTTCACTCATTTGTCTAACAGGGGCTTTCAGAACACTAAGGCTAAGTTCTGGGATTCAGGGATAAGAGGCAGAGTCCCTGTGCTCAGGGGCTACTGGCCACTGTACTATAATAGTGGTGTTACCATTTTGTAAATGATATAGGAGAAAGGCACCAAAGCGCAGTGGGGACCAAAATGAGAGAAGCTGGGAGGCCTTATGAGTAGGTACCAATGAAGTACACATGTGATGGTCGAAGGTGACAAAGATTGAGCTATCAGTTGGCTAGGGGACACCATGCAAGGGATTTAGGTGGTTCAGTGTCAACAATAGTGCTCATGAGACATCCAACTCCTGTTTCAGTCCAGACACAGAACAGAACACCCTTATAAAGACATTCAAGTCAGATCAGGGAAAAGTTAATATACATTTTTCCTTAAACCTATGAAAAGATATACTCAGATCCTCATACTAAGAAAAATACAAACTTAAACTACACTAAGATGGGATTTGTCATTTATCAGATTGGCAAAAATCCTGACATCTGATGGCATACTGTATTGTTGAGGAATTGAGACAAGCTGCATTCATACCCTGGTGGAAGGAGTATGTGTTGATATAATCTCTAGCAATGGAGAAGTTGGCAACATTTATCCAAGTTAAAAGTGCATATACTCTTTGACCTAGCAATTTCACTTGTAGTGATGTATCCTACAGATGTGTTTGCACAAGATTATTCCTTCTGACACCGTCAGTAAAAGATGACAAATAACCCAAATGTCCATATTGGGAAACTGGTTTTAAAGATTACAGTTTATCTATACAATGGAATACACCTACTAAAAAAGAATAAGGAAGCTTGTCATGTACTGATACAGAAAGAGCTCCAAGATATGAGCCAAGTGAAAAATAAAGTGTGATACATTATGTATGAGGTACTTTTGATATAAGAAAGAAAAAAATGGAAATCTATATTCACTGATTATATATTTATAAGAATACTTGAGTATAACTGTCAGGATAAGCTAAGTTATGCTACAGTAACAAATTATTTAATATCTAAGTGGCTTATACAACCAAATTTTATTTATTGCTCATACTTCATGTCCATTATAGATTGGCTGCAGCTCTGATCCATACCTCCCTCACTGTGAGATGCAAGCCGATGGACTAGCCCCTAAAGGAATGTTGCCAGTTTCATGGCAGAGAGAAAGGGATGTGGCAAACCATGAACTGGTTATTAAATCTTCCATAGCGTATGAATCAAACAATATTTCTGCCCACATTTAGTTGACCAAGCAAGTAACATGACCTCTGCTGAGTGCACAGGGCAAAAACATATATCCTGCAGGGAAGGGTACCATAAGTCATACGATCAAGCCTATTAACAATAGGGCAAACATGTATAAGTGTCCCACGGGAGGGAAAGCAACTAATTTTGAACAATAATGCAATTTACCACTAAGAAACTAACATAATAATGAGTACTTGTGGGATGGGACTGTGGAAACTGGGTGGATGGGAGATAGAAATGAGATAGCTACTTTTCACCTAGCACATGTGTACATTTGAACCATGTGAATATATTATCTATTCAAAAGGGTAAATACTTTTAAGTTAGGTAGCTACTTAAAAAAAATCTATGTCTCCCTTTCCTGTGCCATGAGCATTCGATATATACTCTGAATTCACAGATATGTTTCTGATATTTTATTGATAGCATTTCCTAATAATTCTTGCTCAAACGAGTGTCAAAGTCAATAATTCAGGGCAGTACAAAGGCAGTTTTCCCTGCCTCATTCCAAGAAGAGTAACTGCTGTGGGGACATGGAGAGGGCAAGGATCTATGTCCAGCTTGAGTACCCAAGTGACTCAGTGGGGAGAATCGCCGCTACATGGCCTTTGGCAAGTGTGGGATACCAGGGACTTTGGATGAAATGGATAGATAACAAACCCAGGGCTGCTGGCAGATGTGTAAGCAGCAGTTGTGTACAACTCATGGGAAACCAGAGTTTAGCACTTGAAAAGGAAGACAAAAAATTAGATCTGAGAGAGAAAGAAAGCCATTAACTGAAAAATGAGCTTGAAGGTTGGAAGCTAAGAAGATACGGCATGGGTCAGAAAATGGAGTGCAAGATGAATTTGGGGAGCAGTTCAAGGGCAAAGACAAAGACAGCAAAAGGAGTGAAAACGCAAGTTCTGAGTGGTCCAGACCACCCGGCTAGCACAGAGCATGGACCACTGTTCGCCAAGGGCTGGGCTGTGAGAGCACCGTGGCTGGGTTTTCAATATTCCTTCCTGTGGCTCAGACCGATATTACCAGGCACAGTCCCTGGAAAGACCTCATAGGAAAGGGCCGCAAAGCCCACCAGAGAGTAGGAGGAAATGCTTGAGAGTTTAAACACTATCATTTGTACACACAACTGTGTCACTGGCAGATGCTCTAGAGGTGTTTATGGTGACCCTTGGTGCCCTGTATGGACAGGAAGTGCTCCCATAAAACCATGTACATCACTGACCATTCTCTTCCATGATGCTCACTTTTGTCTTCCAGTATCACTTCAACCCCTCGCAGTCCATCCTGGTGATGGAAGGTGACGACATTGGGAACATTAACCGTGCTCTCCAGAAAGTCTCCTACATCAACTCCAGGCAGTTCCCAACGGCGGGTGTGCGGCGCCTCAAAGTATCCTCCAAAGTCCAGTGAGTGGACGCTGGTCAGCCTGGGGCCAACTGAGGCAGCAGTTGGGAAGGTCCCAACTGAGGTCCCTTGGGAATGTTCCCTCACAAAACAGGAGTTGCCTTTCGTCAGCTGTCCTCAACTTCTGCTATTCCTCTGAGGATGCCTCAAAGGATCTGTGTTCTTGTTTTCTTCCTAAGCAAGATGTTCTGTTGTTTTACCACCTTGAATCCACCTTTCTCTATCTTGTATCTTATCTAATGCCTAGAAGGTACTACTTTCTATAAATTCTCAGAGAGCTAGGAATTTGAAGTGATCTGGGTGTGCGTTTGAAGTGTTCTGATTTAAGGGCGCAGTGCGTGGTACACAGGAAGTCCTTGACAAATGTTTATTAAATTGAATTAAGTTAACCAACCCAGCTATGTAGAGTTCCTAAATCCCTTAGGTATGCCAGAAAAACAGAAGGCATGGTTCTTGTTTCCAAGGATCAGAATTAAATTAGAGGATTACTGAAGCCTTTGGACAACTCACTCACTGGCCTATCAAATCACTTCTCAGCCACAGTGGCTACCTTGGAGGGCTGCTAGGAGGGGGATCCCAGAAAATTCCTGGAAGGTAGAAGTGCAGTCATGCTGCACCTAGAGTCGGGAGAAGGACTCAGAAAGAGAGGAACAAGGGTGGGAAAGATGGATCTGCTGACTGCCACATTGTTGGAGCCTGGGACAGGCACCAGAAAAAAACCCCGCAGATGGTAGTTACATTCAATAGTTCTAGAACAATGGAGGGGTGCTCCACCCTTACAGGCTTAGGGGTAGGAAACAGGTACCTCCAGGTCGTTGCCACATTAGAGTGAAGATGAGAGAACAAATTGGCCTGCGTCCTGCTGAGACCAGGCTTCTGCAAACTGAAGAAAGGTCGGGAGTGCTGTGGGGTTGGCCTGGCACAAGTGGGAGAAAACTGGGAAGAGGAGGAGGCCACCACAGCTCCCACATTTCACCCACCCATAGAAGAGGATGGAGTAGCTCAGCATGGAATCCACCCAGACTACCATTTCCTTGAGAACTTTCCCAAGGCATGTAAGGTGATGGCTGTCACCAGCTGAACCCCACCTAGCACTCCCAGAGCATCTATCTGGCTCTGGGGTCCCCCGTTGTAACCTACATCTAGATGACCAGGGGAGAGGGCTAATGACATAATGCCCCCATGAGGTCTGACGAGAAGTTCAAATCAACCAGTGCTTACTGAGCTCAAACCATGATGCAAGCTCTGGTCAGCTTCTTTTCTATATATGTCTGCATTTAATCCTTTACTATAGGACAAAATTATTGTTATCTCCACTGTATAGATGAAGAAACTGAGGTTCACAGGAGTCAAGTGCCTTGTCCACATTTACCCAGCCCAGAAGTGTCAGAGCCAGGCCATGGATCCTTGTCTGTCTCAGACCTCGCTCTTTTGGTCACACCATTTCTGCCTCCCAGATAATTGTGTGGCAGTGTATCAGGAGAAAGGAGGATGATTACAATAGCACTTTGCTCTCACACCTAGAAAAGGCACACGTGTGTGATATCCACATAGAGATATATCGTATAAGCAGAGGCAGGAGAGTTTAGCCCTGGGGTCTCAATTAGTAAGACGGGTGTAACCAACCAGTTAGACAACAATTTGCTTACCAAATACTAAAGCACATAACAAGCAGTTGCTATCTAATTAATGTTGTCATTGATTTCTTTGTTAAAGGATAATGAAAGGTTTCATGGTTACGTGTTGCTCATATAGAAAATTCCCATTTCTCTCAGGAGCCAATCTTTCAAGTCCCTAGATCACTAGTGGTTTTGATTATAATGTGGCTTTAAATTTGAATGTCTGTTGACATCCTCAGAGACACTTACGCAGTCACGATGCCTTGTTAAGAACTGGAGGTGGCAACCCCTTGTTCCTGGCTGTATGACAGATGGTTTAATTGTTTGCTCATCAGTGCCATGACCGAGAATGTTTTCCCAGGTGCTTTGGGGAAGACGTATGCATCAGTATCCCTGAGGTAGATGCCTATGTGATGGTCCTCCAGGCCATCGAGCCCCGGATCACCCTCCGGGGCACAGACCACTTCTGGAGACCTGCTGCCCAGTTTGAAAGTGCCAGGGGAGTGACCCTCTTCCCTGATATCAAGATTGTGAGCACCTTCGCCAAAACCGAAGCCCCCGGGGACGTGAAAACCACAGGTACAGGTGCATTTGAGTTTGTGGGGAGGGTGGACCTTAATTTTTTACAGCCATGTGAAAACATACTTCAGAACAACAGCATTGTTCATGTAATGTATACATGGCTTAAATGTATACATGGCAGCGTAATGTATTATAGCAAAACAGACAAAGCAATAAACAAATGAAATGAATATGAGGTGAATGGATGGCTTAGCAATGAGGGATATGAGGTTGGAGGGAACGCATTTGTGCTAAATGGTAAGTGAAAAAATGCAAGACACAAAGTTACATAGTACCTACACATAGAATGATCTCAACCATTTAAGAAAAAAAAAAAAACACAGAAAAATGCCAAGAAGGACACACACCCTATGCTAACAGGGTTATTCTCTGAGAGGCATAACGAGAGCCCGTTTGTTTCTGCTTCCCTTCCCTTTCTGTAATTGCAAAAATGTTCTATAGTGGGCATGTGTTATTCTGGTAATCAGAAGAAAAGCTAAAGATATATAAAGAAAAAATATAGCTGCATCTTTATATATATAAAAGTTAGGTCTCATTCAGCAATATTACTCTAAGCTCTCAGGAAACTTTTAAGTTGTTATTTCCAACAACTTCATTATTGGGAAGGTTTTTCAGTGAAAGAGGAGTAATTTGAATTATCTACCAAAGAGAAACACTTAGTTATGCTGAAAGCTATAGTATATGCTGGTGGCGGGGGTCAGGGGGGCGGGGAAGGGAAAGAAGGAAACTGGGAAAGGAACAAGGGAGGGAGGGAAGAAAACCTCCCTTTTGTTACTCCGAGGGACGGGGGAAATATAAATTTCAGAAGTGTCCTTTGCTGCCTCTTCCAAGAGAATATATTCAACTCTCCCCTCCCCCTCCAAAAGCCACTGCTAATGATGTGCTGGTGCCTCTGGTCCTAAGTCCCTGAGGAGCTGCTGTTATAATAATCCTAATTACCTATTGCCTTAAACCACCCTGGTCCCTAGTGAAGGGGGTACTCAAGAGACAGCCCTTCTTAGCTCATAAAAAATAGATGATGTTTTACCACCTGTCCAGGCAGGGCAGTTTCCTGGTCACAGGCCAACATGCATTAGGTTGTATGATTGTCCCTCTTCCCCTGTTCTCATTTGTGGCTAAAATCAGAGAGAAATAAAGAAGAGCCTCTGACCTCAGTGGTTGCAGGCCATGACCAAGTGTCTGGATTTGCTACATCTGACACCAGCATACAGGCAATGCAGGGAAGAGCAATTATCTGGGTTCACATTTCGTCTTCTGTTTATGAGAGGTACAGGCAGAGCACATAGCCAAGTGTCCAAGCGCTATTATAAGTGCCTTTAAATTTTTACTCCTATTGTTGTTGGAATGGTCATTACTATGGATATCTTAAACAAGTAGGATAATGGCATTTGCCCCCAGGCCTCAGTGACCGGCTTCAGCATCATCTGCTGCCCCCATTGACATTCTCTTTATGCTGTCAATACCAAAGACAGGAGATTCCCCCAACATGCACACACACACGCCTCCCTCACACTCTGTTAGTTCACACCTTTGCTCTGCTCTCTGGCTGGAAGGTCCCTTTCCTTCCCTATCCCTTGATTCCTGGCAAATATCCCTGCCTTCAGCACCTCCCCAAGAAGGCTGTTCCACCACCACCATTCTGACACTTCCAACTGCTGGTGCTTCCCTCAGCACACATTTTTTAGCCCTTGGTGGTGATTTCCTGTTTATTAAACCAGACCAGGAGGACCCCGAGGGCTCATCCATGGCCGATTTGCCTCTGGGTCCCTGAACCCAGCACGCTCCCTTGTACACAGTGGGAATCAAGGAACCTGCAGATGGAAGATAATACCCATGGTGAGAGAGAACCATGAGAAAATGGCAGCCGTGACACACTCCCTACCTCAGGGAGCTCTCAGTCAGCCACAGCGGGAGGTAGGAACAAGGACGATATGACCAGACCTGACAAGAAGCCGGCAAAAAACCTGGAAACTGTGGGAAGGCCATTGAAATAAAGATGCACATACAGCATTGCTAATTATAGACCCTGTCTTAAGCGTATGTTATTGTGCTTTTAGATTTTGCTGATTATACACGAAACCATTGTGATTGACAAGCATTTAAAAATTAAGATAAAGAAATTATTTATAATAATATATAATATATACCTAGTGAGAGCAAATATATTTTTGATATCATTTAAAAACTTAAAAGATAATTATTTAAAATAATCCATCTTTAGTGAATTTTTTAAATTTCTGTTTTAATAAATGTTTTATAACACACAAAGTATATTTAGTACACTTTATAAATAAATAAATATACTTATTTAAATTATCTCTCTTCACAAGTTTTTCAATAAAGGAGTGCAAGATCAAAGCCACTTGAAGACAACTAGCCTATCATCAGTGAGATGGGGATAGTAATAGTACCCCCTTTTAATGTCTATTAGGATTATATTTGCACATGACTGGCACATAGCACATACTTCATAAATACCAGTCGCCTTCTTAAGATGGGATTTTAATTTAGGACTGCCGAACTCTGCCCAGCATTCAAATACTCAGACATTTCTTTGGGAAATTTGGAGTCATACAATTAGGCAAGGACAACTTGACTGACCAACTTGCTAATGTGCTCCCCTGGGAGTACATTAATTATATTAATTTATCAAATATTGATTATTGGTTATATCATATTGACTTGATTATTAATGATTCAGCTCCATTTGAGCAAGGTTTATTAATAACAATTCCATGCTAGCTCCTGGGTTAGACATTAAGGATTCAATCATAAAAAGATAGTGCTTCTGCCCTTCAGGATCTCAGGTGGTCAGGGAGACTACGATCACATGGAGAAAGCTATGAGAGCATGGTGGAAGGCCACTTACCTCTACCCAAATGAGAGCTATTGCTTATTGAGCACCTACAATGTGCACTGGACACTGTTTTCAACCATCCCAAGACCCTTGCCTGCCTTATAGATGAGGAAACTGAGTGGTAGGTAGTTCCTCTAACACTATGCAGCTTCTCAGTGGCAGAGCTGGTATTCAAATCACACCTTTTGGCTACAGTATTCCTGCTGTTCCCACTAATTCATGCTACTAATTCATCCCACTAATTCATCCTCAGGGATGCCTGGACATCTGAGCGGTGGATGTGGTATTTGGGATCACACAGACTCTGCTCCTGACCCAGCCTTAACCTGGGGTGCAATAACAGAGGAGGAAGGTGATTAGCAAGGGCTGTTTTCTGAGCTGTCCTTCATGCCTGCATTTCCCATGTCTGTCTTCCTACAGACCCCAAATCAGAAGTCTTAGAGGAAATGCTTCATAACTTAGATTTCTGTGACATTTTGGTGATCGGAGGGGACTTGGACCCAAGGCAGGAGTGCTTGGAGCTCAACCACAGTGAGCTCCACCAACGACACCTGGATGCCACTAATTCTACTGCAGGCTACTCCATCTACGGTAAGGCCACACTCAGCCCCCTTTGCCCCAAGGGTGTCCTCTTAGAATGTCCTTGTCCAGGGAGACATGAGTGAGATTGCACCTGTGAAGGAGCACTGTGAAGCCCCAGGGACCAGTTGGAGATCCTTGGCCTCAAGCATGGATTTCTAGACCCTCCTTTGGCAAGTTACTCCAGCATCTTGGGGACCAGTCCCACATTCCCACTCCTGGGGAGTTCTTTTGTAGAAGCTAGGTGGATGCCTTCTCTTACAATGTTTGATCTCAACAAATGTCACAGAAACATCTGGAAGATTAAGGCAGTCTGTATGGAAAGCTTGTGCATCAATGTAATTTTGGCTCCTTAGAACTTCTGCACATTGTCTGCCCAAAATATCTTGAGCTCTTACCCTCAACAAATTTACAAGACCCATGAGGTCTTGTACCACAAGCCCTGGCTTGTCTCCTCTCTTCTCTTCCTCCTCCTTTTCTGCCTTCTGATGACAGGTGTGGTCTCTTGGCACAGGTGTGGGCTCCATGAGCCGCTATGAGCAGGTGCTACATCACATCCGCTACCGCAACTGGCGTCCGGCTTCCCTTGAGGCCCGGCGTTTCCGGATTAAGTGCTCAGAACTCAATGGGCGCTACACTAGCAATGAGTTCAACTTGGAGGTGAGTGGGTCCTGCCATTGTTAGGGAAGCCAAGGCTCACCCATTCCCTCATTCATTCAGAAATGCTGTAACTGGCCCACCTGCCACTCCTGGGTCAATAGCACCTCTCCCCACTCTTCCCAGGTCAGCATCCTTCATGAAGACCAAGTCTCAGATAAGGAGCATGTCAATCATCTGATTGTGCAGCCTCCCTTCCTCCAGTCTGTCCATCATCCTGAGTCCCGGAGTAGCATCCAGCACAGTTCAGGTAGGGTGCCCAAGAGGAGGGACCCTCAGGACACAGGTCGTCATTGTGACTCAAGATTATCTACTCAACAGACGGTTATGTTGTAGCAAACGTAGGTGCCCAGAACTGAGGGAGGGAACCCAGCAATGGAGAAAATGTGCCCTGGCTTTGAGATACTCACACCCTCAATAGGCAGTCGATAAGTAAACAAGAAATTACGCAACACACATAATAGCAGAGGTCAGTACAAAGGGCTGGGACAAAATTTCAGGCCCAACTCAAAACAATGTCATGTATGAAGCTTTCCATGAGCCCTCTACACACACTCACACACACGTACACACCATATTGCAACGTCCTCTGCCCAAATTTCTATTTGAGCACTTGCCATATTGTGTTACCATCTGGTGGGCACTTGTATCTGTTTCTACTAAACTCTACAGTGCTTGGCTCTGTGGAAGTTTCTTTATAATTTGAGGGGTAAAGCCAGGAATAAAAGAGAATTTGCATTTAATGAACACCTATACTGTGCCTATGTGGAAACTCACAGATTATTTAATTTACACCTAACTATTACTCATAGGATAGGAATTATTATGTCCATTATAGAGGTGATGAAAGTGAAGCCCAGACAGGGTAAGGTACTGCTCTAGAGTTCTACAGCTGGGAAGTGGTAGGGCAGACTTTATCCTATGCACGGATGTTTCATTCATGCTCCCTCACAAGAATGAGCTAGGCCTTTGTTCACCATGTCATGCGAGTTTTTTCCTTGTTCCAGTGGTCCCAAGCATTGCCACAGTGGTCATCATCATCTCCGTGTGCATGCTTGTGTTTGTCGTGGCCATGGGTGTGTACCGGGTCCGGATCGCCCACCAGCACTTCATCCAGGAGACTGAGGCTGCCAAGGAATCTGAGATGGACTGGGACGATTCTGCGCTGACTATCACAGTCAACCCCATGGAGGTGATCCTCATGCACGGCTGGGAGTTCTGGGTGGGGTGCTTCTCCCTCTACCCAGCTCAACCCTTCCTATGCCTAAAGCAGCCCCATACCCCCTCCTTCTGGAAGCCCTGCCCCATCTAGTCCAGCTCCACTGATTCTTCCTGTCTCTGAGCTCCTCTAGCCCTCTCAGCCTGAACAGATCATACCTTCCCACCAACTACATTCTCTGATTTAAAATGTATTAATTGCTCTTACCCCACAAACAGAACCAGAAATTTTGTTAAAGCAAGCAAACACCACGAGGTGGCTAAGCCTTGCTTCCCCCATAGTATTTAGCTCAGAGCTAACTAACACTTAGGGACTCAGTATTGAAGTTTTGAGTAACTAACAGTGCAAATTAGATGGCTTTGCTCTACACTGCCTGAAGAGTTCACTCAAAGGCTTGGAACAGATTAAAAGAAAAATATAGCAGCAACGCCTGCCATTTATTGAGCCCCCATTATGCCAGATACTGTATAGAGTGCTCTATATACACCACCTCATTTAATCTTCCAACAGCCAATAAAATAGGAGTTATCATCTTCATTTACCAAGGTGGAAACCAACTAAGAAAAGAAGTAACATACTCAAATTAACACAGCCAATAGTCAAATTTAAGGTTATCTGATTCTGAAGTCTGTATCTTTCCAGTTAGCCAACAGCCCCCAGAATCTATCCATGAGTGTCAAAGGAAGCCCTCTACATCATGCCCTTTGCCCATGGGTTCTGGTTGATGATAGACACAGGCTTAGAAAAGGTAGGGGAAGATGATTACCCCAGCCTGGTCCCCAGTTTCCACCTCGGCTAGCCTCACACTCCAATTCCAAAGCCAGTGTGCTGATGTGGCTCAGTTCCTCCAAGCATGTGCTGTAGGTAAAATGCTGAGCTCAGTGCTATACAGACTCCAGAATTTCCACCTTCAAAGAGCTGAGCCTTGAGTGTAGAAAACAAGACCACTATACCTGGAGCAGTGTGAGGACAAGGCAAGAGTGTGCCTAACAAGGGCCAACCTTGTGATGTCAAAAGTCAATGACCTTGAGGAGGAAAAGCCTTCAGGACTGCAACAATCAGGGAAGATTCCTTGGAGGAGGTTGGCCTAGGGGAGACCTTGAAGAGTGGGTAGGATTTGGGGTAAGGTAGAAGGTAGGAGGTAAAAGACAATTCCTAAGAAGTGTAAGGGGAGGGGTTGGGTAGCCAAGCAAGGAGAAACAACTTTTATGACCTGGTTCATCAATGCAGAACATAAATCCAGAAATGAAATTTTGCTGGAATTATCCAAAAGCTGGAGGGAGGGGGAATTGGACTGGAAAGGAAGGGGTACAGCCTGAGGACACAAGTCAGGGGGTGAGCAGCAAGCATGGAAAGTGAGGACCAATAAATTTGTCCTTTCCAAAGGAATATTTTTGAGGGGAAGCATACCTGAGTCTTTGCTTAGAATGCCTTCTGCTCCCAGGGACATTGCATGCACACTTGGAAAAGAGACACAAGATCAAATGTCATCCTCTCACTGAGAAGCAAACACTAAGGCTTGGACAGCTCCATTTAAATAAGCTCCAGAAATGCCTGAAAACAAGCCTTGGCCTGAAAGGTTCAGTAAATGATGGATAGGATTGGCTAAAATGTCCAGCCCATCATTTATACCCAACAGTCTACCTTGAGTTCATGCCTTGGAATTTGCTATTTCAGGCTTTTGCCTTGAACCTTCTAGCTTCCTTTTTACCAGAAGACTTCCCTTCCAGGAAGTCTGTCTCCAGGCTGAAGAGTTTTGCACTAAAAGAAGAAATTCCAAGGGGCCGTAAATGTTTCCTTAATGGATGGAGAGACATAAGCTCCAAAATGGCCTCTGTTCAGCCCCTGATGAGCATTTGCTTTTTCTCCTTGATATCCAGAAACATGAAGGACCAGGGCATGGGGAAGATGAGACTGAGGGAGAAGAGGAGGAAGAAGCCGAGGAAGAAATGAGCTCCAGCAGTGGCTCTGACGACAGCGAAGAGGAGGAGGAGGAGGAAGGGATGGGCAGAGGCAGACATGGGCAGAATGGAGCCAGGCAAGCCCAGCTGGAGTGGGATGACTCCACCCTCCCCTACTAGTGCCCAGGGGTCTGCTGCCTGGCCCACATGTCCCTTTTGTAAACCCTGACCCAGTGTATGCCCATGTCTATCATACCTCACCTCTGATGTCTGTGACATGTCTGGGAAGGCCTTCTCCAGCTTCCTGGAGCCCACCCTTTAAGCCTTGGGCACTCCCTGTGTTTCATCCATGGGGAAGTTCCAAGAAGCCCAGCATGGCCATCAGTGAGGACTTCAGGGTAGACTTTGTCCTGTAGCCTCCACTTCTGCCCTAAGTTCCCCAGCATCCTGACTACCTGTCTGCAGAGTTTGCCTTTGTTTTTTCCTGCAGGGAAGAAGGCCCACCTTTGTGTCACTCACCTCCCCAGGCTCAGAGTCCCCAAGGCCCTGGGGTTCCAACTCACTGTGCGTCTCCTCCACACAGACCAGTAGGTTCTCCTATGCTGACTCCAGGTTGCTTCATACAAGGAGGGTGGTTGAACTTCACACACGTAAGGTCTTAGTGCTTAACAGTTTAAAGGAAAGTCCTTGTTGAGGCAGAACTAAGTTTACAGGGAAAGGTACACACATTCTCTCTCTCTCTCTCTCTCTGTCTATCTAGTTCCCCAGCTTGGAGAGCCTTTCCCCTTGCTTCTTTCTGAGGCCATATAAGCTTATAAGAAAAGTCCCAAACCAAGAATAGGTCCTTGGCCACAAGCAGGGTCTGATCCCCCATCAGAGCTATCTGAGCCTGCCTGTCTGGGCACCTGCTGCAACCATGCAGCTACCCTGCCAGGGGCACTCAGCAAACAGAACCACAGGGCCCAGGAGGCATTCCACACAGGCACTGCCCCAGGACAACACAACAAGGACAGTCACAACAAGGACAACAAGGACACAACACAACACACAACAAGGACAGTCACAACAAGCCTAGAGCCAGAAAGCAGATGGAAATGCTAATGAGGTCAAACGTAGGCTTCATGGTGGGTGGAGTGGGGGTGGCTGGGCTCCCCCAGGACAGAGGGGACCCTGAGGTTGGCAAGGCTCTCACCACTCAGCCTTATGGTCCCTTATCTCCTATCTTCCCTCTTGAGAAAATACACGCTTTCTGCATGTATTAGAAACGCACGAGCTCCACCAAGTCTACAATGAAAGTTTGAAATTTAACTGCAAGGAATTAGAAGCATATTTGCAATCATTGCAGCTTCTTCTTTCTTCTGCTCATAAAAGGAGGAACACTTTAGATAGAGGGCAAATATATCTGAAAACCTAATTTCTTTCTTTTTTTGATAAGGAAATCTTTTCCATCTCCATCCTAACATGCACAACCTGTGAAGAGAATTGTTTCTATAGTAACTGGTCTGTGATCTTTTGTGGCCAAGAGAATAGCAGGCAAGAATTAGGGCCTTGACAGAATTTCCACGAAGCTCTGAGAACATGTTTGTTTCGAATGTCTGATTCCTCTTTGTCATCAATGTGTATGCTCTGTCCCCATCCTTCACTCCTCCTCAAGCTCACACCAATTGGTTTGGCACAGGCACAGAGCTGGTCCCTAGTTAAGTGGCATTTATGTTAAAAAAAAATAGTTCAGAATCTCAGCCTTTTCTTTGTGTCATCAAAACAGCTTAAGAAGGGGACTACTGCCAATGTCCTCTAGTCTGACCTCCACCCAGGGAGGACCCATGGCAGGTCTTTTCAACTTTCTGATTCATGAGAACAACCTTGTGAAGCTTTTCCCACCTCCTAAAGTGTTTTCTGCATCTGTTCCTTCCTTTGGACCTCACAACAAATCCTGTGAAGTAACTGAGACATCTGTTGTTAGATACATTTTTGTGATGAGTAAACTGAGGCTTCGTGATTCAATGTCTTGTTCAGAGTCATTCAAAAGTATAGACAAGACCAGTCTCCCCAACTTCCACTCCTGGTGCAGGATTCTACTTATGTTCATAGGTATGCACCTAACAGACACTGCTGCAAACCTACTATGTGCTAAGCATCCTACCAATAGCTGTGAGAAAAAGAAAAGCTGAATAAGATAAGCTCCTTCCCTACATTATATTTGCAGACGGGAAATAAACAGGCCTAGAAATTACACAAGAGACAAATGAAGAGGAAGAGAAGTCACAAGAGAAGAAGGATGCGGTCACAAACTTAACCAGTGCTCTTATTTTTCCCTTCTCAGGGAAAAACACCAGAAGAAGCTGGGGTTTTATATTCATTGGATGGAAACAGATATTTCTCCTGGGAATTCTCCCAACCAAATAGCCCTTTTCTATTAGGCTGTGTCTGTACATCCACAAGAGGAAAGTCTATAGGACTGATTAGTTTTCACAATCCCATTTAAATAAAAAAAAGATCTTTAGTTGGGCATTTAGGAGCAACTGAATTCTCCCAAAATTGTGGCAGCAAAAAGAACACTTCATATGCTTAAAACCCATTCTTTTTGAATTAGATTTTGATTTTAAATATTTAAGTCTGGTGTTTGTGAGAACACTTTTCTCTTTGCTCAGTCTTTTCGATCTGGTTGGGTAGGGAAGGTGTTCCTCATGCTCTCTGGGTGGCTGCCTTATTCATAGTTGAGAGAGCTGTTAGGTAAAATCTTTATATGTGTTGGGGTTTTTTTGGTAGGGGGGGTAGCAGGTAAAGGTGGCCCATGGCTAGGGCAGCAAAGATGAATAATTTGAGGAAGCATTTGGTTGGTGGACTCATTTGCAGAGAAACAGTGGTGACAACAAATCAGAGCTGTTTCCCTCAACTCTGGCTATAAGAGGTCATTCTCTGCATGTCAGCTACAAAGATCAGGCACTTGAATGAATCCGCTGGGTTGGCAGGCATTGGTCATCTTCGCAACACCCTCTTCCTCACCATGGATGAGAACAAGACGGGAGTGGTTATATCCCAGTAACAGAAGCTTTGGGAGGTATCCAGGTGAGCAGGGTAATGTGGCTTGCCCTCCCCCAGATATTCTGATCCCAAGAAAAAGGTGTCATTAATCAGTCTGGCATTTTCCACCCTCCATATGCTGGCATCCAGGAACCAAAACCCCTGAAGGCCTAGACACCCTATGACCTCTAACTGAGATGTTGGCAGCCAGGCAGATGCAGGCTCATGTCCAGGAGGAACTGCTGACTGGTTTGGCCACAGCCCAGTTCATTGCTTGTCTTGCCAAGTGGACAACCAGATTCTGCCTTCCTGAGCTTGAAAATAGGCTACAACTCTCAGGTGATTCAGATGACATGGAGGAGAAGTTGGAGGAGAAGATTGAAATGCTTAAATCCCAGTGCAGAATGAGTTGCTTCAGTGGAGTAAAGCAACCGGCTAGTTGGTAGCCTGCCTTAAAAAATACTAAACATATATCATCATACATTTGATCAAATGCTGTAAGCACAGCCAAGGCCCAAATTCATCTAGATACCAAAAATGTGATTTCAGTGAAATCTCTTTTCATTGCCGCTTTCTTTTGTTGTTGTTTGTTTTTTGAGCCAGAGTCTTGCTGCTCTGTCACCCAGGCTGGAGTGCAGTGGCACAATCTCAGCTCACTGCAACCTCCACCTCCCGGGTTCAAGCGAGTTTCCTGCCTCAGACTCCCGAGTAGCTGGGATTACAGGCATCCACCACCATGCCCAGCTAATTTTTGTATTTTTAGTAGAGACAGGGCTTCACCGTGTTGGCCAGGCTGGTCTCAAACTCCTGATCTCAGGTGATCTGCCCACCTTGGCCTCCAAGGTAATGAGATTATAGGAGTGAGCCACCGCACCCAGCCCTCATTACCACTTTCTTGAATTTACTCAATCATCCTATCAAGCAGGGTTTAGACCAACATCTTTGCATTTAATAAGGGCTCTACTTTGTATACATGGACCATCCAGTGAGAGAGCTGGGGGTGGTGAGAAGCAATGTCCCCCATTCCTATATGTCAGGTGTCAGCAAACTATCTGTAAAGAGGCAAATAGTAAATATTTTGGGCTTTGTGAGCCATTTGGTACCTGTCACAGAATAGTCAGCCCTCCATATCTGAGGTTTCCAAATCCATGGATTCAACCAACCTTGAATCAAAAATATTTGGGAAAAAATGTATAGTTGCAACTGACCTGAACATATTCTTTTTTTCATTATTATTCCTTGAACAATACAGTTTAACAGGATTTACATAGCATTTACACTGTATTAGGTATTATAAGTAACCTAGAGATGATTTGAAGAACACAGGAAGTTGTGCATAGGCTATATGCAAATACTATGCATTTTATATAAAGGAATTGAACATCTGTGGATTTTGGTGTCCGAGGGGAGTTCTGGAACCAATCCCCTACAGATACTGAGGGATGACTGTACTCAGCTCTCCTATTGTAGCATGAAAACAGACAATACGTACAACAAATGAATGTTTCAATACAACTTTATCTAGTTTCCATAAAACAATTTAAAAACACTAAAAAAGCAGGCAGTTTGGATTTATGTAATTTTCATATCTTTTTTTACCCTTTTGATTTACATTTTTAATAATTTAAAAATATAAAAACCTTCCTCAGCCCACAGGCCATACGAAAATTAGCAGCCAGCTAGATTTGGCCCAAGGCCAAAGTTTGGCAACCCGTACCATACACCATGGAAGTTAGCCTTCCACCTCAGGAGAAAGCAAGCTGCTCTCATAAGCCTCTCACCAACTACCCAGTAGTCTTTGCCTCCAAACTGAACAACAGGAAAAAGTGCCATAGTTTTTAATTAAGCTGTTTTAAAAGTCCATGTTCCGGGGGAAAACAAAAAAGAAACAAACAAAACACTTGTTATTTGCTGAACTGACAAACTGACAGATATTCCACGAGAGTTGAAAGCCTTGGATCGAGGTGATTGCCTGGTTACTGAGTGCTAACTCCACTGAGGCAAGTGTTAGCCCCCCAAGGCTCAGTGCCTTCCCAGCACAGCTCAGCCCATAATGATCTCTGAGCAGGAGTGTTCATTATCTCAGACTGATTTTCATTTCAGCCCTACTCTTGCCATTGCTCTAAAAATGATCCTAAAGACTTGTGACTGTTTGAATCAATAGCAACATCATCAGTAGAAAGCCCGACCAAGCACACTTCGAAATTAGCAATCTTCTTGGCTCTATGGCTCAATATCAGCAAGAAGAAAAAAAGACAACTTTTTTTTTAATCATCCCCACATTTAAATTAACCAAATAGTTTTTACAAAAAAGTAGGTAAGTGGGTTTAATTCTTTGAAAGTATTTGCCAGTGAAAAGTAGATGATTTTTAGGTAAGATAACGTTTAGGCCTCTGGGGGATCCCCAAAGCCTTCTGCAATGTACTCTGGCAGGCTATGAATGGTACAGGATTCTGCATCTATATGAGACATTTATTGAGGCTGACAAGCAAAAGCCCTTGGCACAATTTAATTTTCACATAACCACTTTCCATTGTCCAGCTGCAGGCAAAAGAAATGAGCAATGAAAGTTTTGAAGTCTACCCCAGTACCCTCATTTCCTGTCTTTATTTCCTTTACTTTATAGATGTATTCTATACCTGCTATGTAGATAATGCTCTAGTTTTCCCTTTAGTGCCAACTGGAAAAGGAGAGTTGGCTTTACAGGGGCTGTGGATTAAGAGCCAGGCTTCATTCCATCCCAGGGAGACAAAAAGAGACAGAAGAAGTTACCTCCAGCAGCACCCCAGAAAGCTGACAGATATTCCCTGTATGCAGGTAGTAAACAGATGGGAGTCTGTGTTTGCAGCTATGTTCAGTGTAATTCAGCAGACCTTCACTGGGCACTTGTGATGGGTCAGGCCCTGTGCCAGCAACAGGGGAAGGGAGGATGAACAAGGCATGTTTCCCTGACCATGAGGAGCTCTTGGCCTGTGAGCTGTTGGGATGTCCCTTTGTGGTGTTGGAAGCTGTGCACGAGCAGTCAGGACTTTGGGGACAGAAGTTTAGTGTTAGGGAGGCAGGGTAACTTGCTTTGACAGCTACCCACCCTAAGTCAGATGACAGGTGTAATTCTAGGGGCCCTGATATGCATCACTGAGGCAGACTGAGGAGCTCTCCAGGGAAGTAGGCAATATTTCCCTGAATATTCCTCAATTCCAATCAAGGCTGACTCAGTTCACTTATGGATGAAAGCCAGTTACCCTGCCCACTGGGCAGAAATAACATGGTTGACAGCTGACATTCAGAGAAAATAAGACAGAAGCAGTCCTTAAATATAAACAGCAGCCAGGTGGACCTGGAAATTTAGGAAGGGTGATGCAGGTAGAGGGGCCAGCAGGAGCCAAGTCTCAAAAGGCACAAGCCAGACTGATGCAAGGGAGCCCTCCTGAGGCCCAACATCAGAGCTGAAGATCTAAGGAGGGCCCACCTCCACGAGACCTGCTGAGGGCTTACATTTGGTGCTGAGGAGCAGTGGTTCCCTGGGCCAGCTGCATCACCTGGGAACATGTGAGAAGTGCATATTCTTGGGCCCCACCCCAGACCTACTGAATGAGAAGCTCTGGAGGCAGGCAGTCTGTGATTTAATGAGCTTTCTGACACACACTAAAGTTTGAGAACCACTGATGCAGAGGATGAGGAGATGACTTGAGCTGGCATCGGGAAGAACTGACTATTAACTAACAAGGTAAAATCAATGACTAGTGCAGTGAGGGTGCCAAAGCAAACCACCCCCAGCCCCCATCCTGGGCCTTTTTGGCTCCAGTTTATACTCACTGAAGCAGTGGTTTCAAGGAACCTTGGTCCTAGTCCGCATCCTTCACCTGCCCTTGGGCATGAGACAATTCCTGCCTGCCTGCCCCTTCTATCCTAGAGAGAGAGACTGCCCAGGAGAGGCTGCCATGAGGTCACTCATCCCCAGGAAGGCCACCTGCCAGGTTTCTGTAAGCTGAGCAGCCTCTTCGAGGGCCATATTTTGTGGAGAAACACTGAAACTGCAGCAGTGACCCTGGTCACTAGGAGAGCTGCTTTCTACACAGCCTGTATGCTGGTGGAGACACCCAGGGCCTGGCAGAGTGTGGAGGGGGTCATTTAAGGACGTTGCCAGGTTGCCGCAGCACTGCTCTGTTTGTTTGTAATGAGACTGGGGCATGCAGCATCACAATTCAAACACTGAATTGCTTGGGGAATGGATGGCCTTCCTTGGAAGGGCAGTAACTCATTCTGGATGTTACTAAAAGTAGAAAACAAAAATCCAAAAACAAACCTACAGCCTCATTTACAATTAGAATCTGTCTGGGCCTTCTGATTTCTAAAGTCTGTGAGGCTGCCAGGATTCACCAATTCTCCTTTCCCCTGAGGCCCAGCAACTATTGATTTATAGCTTAAACTCTGTGAAGGTCCACAGACCTTTGAAAGGAACTTGCTGGTACTTTGTCAGTCGTGTACACCTAACTGACTCCTCCTACGAGGTACAGTCTCCTCATACAAGGGGTTTTGAGATGGAGAGTCAGAGGGCCAGGGCCCTGGGCTTTGGGGTGGAAGGACAGAAGAGTAGCAGTCTAGGAAAGGGACTAGACATGTAGCCTAGGAAAACTAGCACCATCTGTTGAGTTCTGAAGAACCCAGATTCTCTCCTGCTCACAGCCTCAGCAGTCTTTTCAGAGTCCTCCTGAATGGCCCAAAGACACCCCTGTTTCTGGGGAACAGAAGGGAGCTGGTACCTCTGGACCATTGAGGCAACACCTCCCCAGAGGCAGGACCCCGCCCCCATGAGAACATGCAGTTGAATGATGTGGTGCCTGGCCAGGACCTTGGAAAACGTGGCCATGTGAGACTAGTATAGATCTCCAACTATTGCTGCCTCTGCTGATATGGCCACCTCCTTAAGGTAAGAAGACTACCGACTTAGCTATTGTGGCACCACGGGAGCCTAGCACTGCACCTGGCCCATGACATGTGTGCCACAAATGTTGAATTGAATTGAATCCCAGAGATCACTTGACCTCAGTGAAGGGACTGGGTTTGAAGAATTAAGACCCCCCAGTGGAGAAAGCCTCCTCCAACTTCCTTCTCGGTTTGTGAGTCAAGGTCCTTTGTAAAATCAGATCGACGAGGGTGGAAGTGCAGTGAACAGAGGACAACATTTGTGATGCACGTGGGAGAAAACAGGAGTGGGGTTGTTTGGGGACTACCCCTTCCTAGCTATAGTCAGTAAATGGAGCCCCTAAGCAAGGAGCAGGGGTAGATGTGCCTGGGTGAGGCCTGCTTGCTCCACCGTCGAGGTCATGGGCAGCATCCCAACTGAGGAGAGAAAACCCTAATTTGTTAATGACCCAGCCTTGTGCTGCTCTCCAGTTCCTTTCATCAGATTTACTGCAGAGCAGATTCATCAACATGAAGTTCAATTCCCAGTAGACTAATGAAAAGAGGGCAACAGACTTGAGAAGAGCCAAAATGCAGACAGTGTGTATTAATCACAGACAACAGAAACGTGTTAGCTTTAATGTCTGTTTGCTTTTATCTTGAAATGAAAATGCATCTCTGTTACCTGGACCCTTTTTACTGCACATTTCAGAACAGAAATGGGACACCCACACACGTATTGAGGGTCCTTTTCCCCGGCAGGAGGAGCTACCAGAGAAATGAGCCCACATTTTGTGTGCAGAGAGAATCAACCCACAGGTCTCAGCTGCAGACTCCAGCACCTCTGCAGAGAAGGCAGGCAAAGGGATGAGGAGGTAGCATCTCCTCTTCAGAAGGATTCATAAGGGCCTCTGTGAGGAGGGCCTTGCTTGTGCCTGTGGGTCATGGATGTTAATATAAAGGCTCATCCACCCTTGGTGGCAAAAGTGCATCCATCCTGGCCAATATAGAACACTCACATCTGGAGCCCACGCCCACCCACCTCCAGCTCCTCTACATGGCTGCAAGAGCATGGCTGATGTGTGGGATTCAGAAGAGGTCTGCTCATGTTCACTAGCCAAACTTTAGGTGGTGTGATACAGCAAAAAGCTTTTTTTGTTTTTCTGTTTTTGTTTTGTTTTTGGCGTGGAGGAGAAATTTAGACTTGAAAGTCAGGGCTGATCACTCAAAAAGTAAGATAGGAGATATTGAGGGAAAATGTGACTCATAGTTGGAGAGGAAACAGGAGAGTGGGTACAAGTGACAGCACCAGGAACAACCCCCTCCCCCAGATGCCAAAGCATTGCTCTGTATCTAAAGATGCATCCAAGTTTGCAAAAAATTATGGGTAAATCTGGCCATGTGACCAAAGAGGCAGTCAAATCAATTGCTTCCAAAGTCAGAGCTGTTTGAAGGTGATCAGCTCTTAATTGAACTAGTCATGATGAATCAATCCAACTGACTGCATCCAGTCTGACCTCGGTGGTTTCCATAAAGGGTTGTTGATGTCCTGAGCTGGACAGGGTGGGCAGGAGGTTGAAGAAAACCAGTTGGTGAGTATAGAAAAGAAATTGCATGTAGAAGTTGTTTGTTCTCAAAGAAATCTGTAGGTGTTAGAGCTGGGTTTGTTATGTTATTGTCAGGGACATTATAATATTGGTAAGGAGGAGAGAATGATTTGGTAGGGGTATTCGAGAAATTTGAGTACAAAATATAAATTATCAGAGATGAGTAGGCTATGGACAGCTGATTATATATATGTGTGTGTGTGTATATGTGTGCATATATGTGTACATATACACATACCCCAAAGCCATATACATATCTATAATACAGAAGTAAGAATAAAGTCATAAGTACCAGCATATTTTAAATCCTTAGAAGCACTGGTTGGGATGTTACATGTTTTTTCACTGTTGTTGTTTACCGTTAGCTCTCAAAGCAGTGGGAATAGTGCTTGGCACATAGTAGGAGTTTGGTAAACATTTGGAAATTGAAGACCCAGCTTATCACTCCTTCATAGAGACTCAGTAGTATGAGTATACCCCAAATTGAATGAGCCACAGAGAAATGCATCCAGCCACACTCCCTCTTAGCTGAGGAGAAGCCTCTGTGAATCCACAGATTCCATGCAATATTCAGCCAGCCGCAGACACAAGGTCTGGCTCCCTTGTCGTGAGAGTGAAGGCATGCTGCACACAGTGGGTTTGCATGCACCTAGACTGCATCTGCTGAACACCCAACAGCTGTTTCTACAAGCTAAAGTTGTAGCTTCTCTCTACCACTGTCTAAAGCTGTAGCTTGTCTCTACTATTGTCTCTACACCGTTGCCCAAACACTTGGTATAATGCTATTGAATTTTTCACCTCCAGGCATGATTTTGTAACCAATGTAAAGGTTCTGGGTTCAGCCAGTCTAAAAAGTCTAATAATTTCTTCTCTCAGTCCTTCCCTTCTCCCTTGTCTGGAGCTGCCACCGCCATTTAAAAGTGTTGGACGCTGTTTATTCCCAGCTTCTCAACCTCAGTGTGTGTGGGAAAGGCCTGAAAGAGAGAGGTATGTTTTCTCTCCTCCAGAGTCTCTGTGGTGTTGACACAGCAGAGAGAGGAGGGGGAGCAGCCTCGTCTTGCAGAATCACCTTCAATCACTGCTACTGTCTGGGCCATTACTGCCAGTCTGGCCGGTGTCTCCCACAGTGGATGGCTTTGCCTCCAGCGGTGGACCAGTGTGTACCTGACATGTATCAGACTTCTGAGCTCTTCAAGCTGCCTCAAAGAATGAATCTTTTTAGTCTAGAAAATGTGTTTATTTGATAAATATACTATTGTGTATGAGTGTGAAACAATGCAGACTTTGGAGTATCTCATTAGAAGGACTGTATGAATTTATAGAAAATTGAATCTAATTTCAGAAGAGCGCACTGTCTTCTCAGTCAACAAGGTTGCCCAGCCACAGAGGGTCAGAGAAAATGTCCTTTCCCCTCCCCACTCCTTTTCATAGAATCCTCTCTCAGGCCTAACTGAGCTGTCATATCCAATTCAGACTGACACAGAGTGAGGGGCGCTGAGAGTCTCTATGTATATAAAGATATAGGAAGAAAATAAGGATCATCACAGGAATCTGTTGGGCTTCTCCCCATGACTGTGATCTTACCCATGTTTGAATCACAAACTTTAAATTTATAATAATTATGATTCTTGCAGTTTTCAAGTAATTTGTTAAATGCCTATTCAACACAGACAGATTTTTATTTTCAGCTGTGGCTTGTAAATGCCTACAAACTGATTCATGTTGGTGGTCGTTATGACACTTTCTGTGAATTGGTGAATAAATATGATTTTAGAATTTCACAGTAAAGATGACCTCTGAGAGTTTTATTCTTCAGACTATTTGATAAGGCAAGACACCAAGAACTGCTCTGGCTGGGTCAATACTCTCTGGGGCTCTGTCCTAAATCCATGCCTGGGGAAGAGAGATGGGCGGGATGTGAGGCTGGTGGCATGGCAAGTTGGCCCCTATCAGGCTTCAGTCAGGGAACTTTTTTACACCCAGAGCCAAATTTGGCAGCGCAGTTATTGGAGACCAATGAAAAGACGTTCCTTATAACACTGGGCATTTATTCAGCACTTACGAAGTGCTGGAGCTCTACATGCATGATCTTAACCCCCAAGGTAGGCTGTTTTTACTGTTAAATGTGGAAAAGATGAGACTCAGAGGAGTCAGGGGCCCTGCATGAGGGCAGCAGAATTGGAACCTCCCTGTCTCTCTCCTACTGCTTCTTTTGTTCCCTCTTGCTCCTCCAGTAGACCTTCGTCCTGCTGACCTGCCCTAACACCCAGATACCCCCCCAGGGTCCCCTTTCCCCCAAAGCCCACTGAAGACGGGCTCCCTTTGCCATCGAGAGCTGGCAGAGATCCAGAGCGCTTCCCTAGGATTCTGCAAGTTGTGGTTACTGCAGCCTCCATCCTGTTTTGTATTGGGCCAACCCAATACAAAACCCTATCTTTTGCTTGAATTCCTCAGGGCAGCAGGGAAAATTCAAACAAAGTATTGTTGGAAGTGTTGGGGTCATGAAGATGAATCACTTGCCCAGGATATGGCAAACAGCTACATATCACAATCGACATTCTTGTTTTTGGACTCCTTTTGGCCAGCCTCCCCAGCCATGTGCCATCTTCCTGCCCTCTCCCCACTCCCTTCTCTCCCTCCTCTCATCTCTCTTCATCCTTCTCAGATGTAAAAAGTGAGTTTTTGTTTTTTGTTTTTTGTTTTTTTAAGAGAGATGGAGTCTCTCTTAAAGCCTGTCACCCAGGCTGGAGTGCAGTGGCACAACCTCGGCTCATTGCCAACCTCCACCACCTGGCTTCAAGCAATTCTCTTGCCTCAGCCTCCCGAGTAGCTGGGACTACAGGCACGCACCACCACACATCCAGCTAATTTTTCTGAATTTTTAGTAGAGGAGGGGTTTTGCCACGTTGGTCAGGCTGTTCTTGAACACCTGACCTCACGTGATCCACCCGCCTCAGCCTCCCAAAGTGCTGGGATTACAGGCATGAGCCACCACGCCCAGCCTCTTTTTTTTTCTCTTTAAAGAGCAGCATCATCATCTTTTCTTCATTGCCTGGTCTCCTGCCAAAAGCCATACTCGTCCTCCTACCCCAAGCAGTTAATCAAGATTTGTTCCCAAATATAGATCATTCACACCCTAATAGGAATTTTTCTTCTAAACATTAAGATAAGATTTTTTTTCTGCCCAATGTTTGTCAACTGGAAATATAATTTTTCTTTTACATCTCAGAGAGTCAACAAGGAAACTAAGAAGCCTTCATCGGTTTGGTAGTCCTTCCACACTATACCTTGGTAACTTCCATGTGTACATGCGCGCGTGCGTGCACACACACACACACACACACCTATTTTTGGGCTTCCCTGGTGCTCAATGTAGCAGCTAACTACCAAATTTCTGACAGTTCGCACCACTCTCTTACTCTCCAAACAATTCTGGCCTGTGTTCTTGCTGTCTGATAGATTCTTCATTGCCTTTCTGTGTCTATTCCTTCTCATCTCTTTTAAAAGCATCTCCTCATCCCTCAGCCACCACAGCAGCCTCCTCCCTGGCTTCCATCTTTCCAGACTACGTACGTGCCATGGGGCTAACATTGCTGAAGTTGCAGTGGGAGGTGCCCCTCAGGCTGACAAGCCACAGAGACTTCCAGTAACTTATACTTTCAAAGCAAAGTCCCTGGTGCTCTAAGGATTCCCCAGTCCCTAGGGGGCCAATAAACTATACTCTTTATCCTGAAAAAATACTAGTTTATCTGGCTTGAATAAACTTGGTAGAGGTTCATGGCAAAAAACTTCAAAACAACAACAAAAACAAATGTATAAACTATGGATAAAAGTCCTGGACAGAGGTGTTATCACAATCATATCTGGGTTCATGCTCTAGTGGAGAGCTTGGGATATAGCAAGGGCTCAGAAATAATTTATTATACAGAATTGAATTAAACCTCAAATCCAAGGTTCTAAATGACCTGGCCTCAACCTAAGTTTTCATCCTTTTATTGCCCACTTGCCCAGCACAAATCCTAGGTCTTGGCATTCTCAAAGCACATGGCAGTCCCAAAGCACATGGAGACTCCCATCTCCAACGCTTTTGTTCCTGCTACTCCTGATACCTGGAATGTCATCCCTCCTTACATGTCTTACACAATGAAAATCTTATCCCTAACTGGAGGTCTCACTTCAGAGTTGCAGAGCTATTTATCAGTGAGGCCATGCTTGATTTCCCCAGTGGAATGTAATCCTACCATTCTATGCACCCCCGGACCATGTCCTGTCTTATTGTTAAGTTCCTTCTAGTGGCAGGTGGGGAGAACAAGACATAGAACATGTTGCTCTAAACCAAACTCAAACACCTGCAGAGGTAAGGCAGGTAGCATAAGTGAATACAGCTGCCTGAGTGGGACTAGGGTGAAAAGAAAAATGCATGGCAAGTGCAGAGGGCTTGCTGTACCTCAGCTTCAGCCAACTGTCTCAGTACAAGGATGGTTGCCAATTATTGCCAGATCTTCTGATTTTTTTTCTTTTAAGAGAAGTCAAAAACACAGATTTTCCATGTGAAATCTACCCGATTTAAAATTGGGGCAGGAAATTCACTTTTTAAACAAATGTTACAGGGGCCAAGTAAAATAAGTTGTCAGGCTGAATTTAATACATGGGCAACTGGGTTGCAGCCTCTATTCTAAACTATATTAGCATGGACCAGGTGTGTCAGATTAACCAGAAAAAAAATTGTCCCAACACCCTCAATTTAGGTGATTGGGTCTTGTAGGTGATGGGTACTCATAAATGCCACTGCAAGTGTGGCAGAAGGACAGAGATGGTAAAAGCAAAGATTAGCCATGTGAGCATCTCGGCAGTGGTGTGCTGGTAAATGGTTAACAACCCCCTTTGGGGTTGGGGCAGGTCTAATTTGTAAAGTGTTGATTCCCATGGTGCAAGTACCACCATGGCTGGTTTTAAGCCATCAACATGATGTCACTGAGCTCAGAGTTGGAAAGAGATGCTACCATTGGCTTTTGGGAGCCAGCTCTAGCTCACATCACTGTTTAAAGATCAGATATCAAGAAAAACCCAAGAGCACCTTTAACCATGAACAAATAAGCCTGCCACCTTCCTAATGACTCAATCTAGTATTGGGAAGGCTCATGACCTACATGAAAACCTCCTTCACACAACCAGGGATAAAATGCTGCCACTTTCATTGATGACTGTAATCTCTGTTAATAGCTAAATAACTTGAATGGGGGCTGCTGGTTACATTAAGTGAGGCTTAGTCACTGAAGACTCTGTGGGGAGAAGGAACCAGAATGGAGAGACAGAGTGCTGTAAACTGACTATGCTCCAAAAGACAGAGGAGCCTGGAGGGCAGAAAGGACAAGTAACTCAGCTACCTTTCCTCCATCACAAACCACAAACCATGTGGCCACCTCCTGACTTTTCATGACTGAGAAATGAGACACAGCCAGGGTACAGGGAGCAGGGGGAGGAGAGGAAAAGAGCAATGCTGGGAGAGATGAAACGAGGCCTGAAATAGAGGAGAGTTGACAATATCAGGACCCCACCTAGAAGAACAGAAAATTTTCAAAAGAGGCCCAACCCCTAGTGCTCCTGTTTGCTCTCCTTTTGGAATTTGTTGTGAATTTTATAATCTTCTCTAGACTCAGTACTGCCCTATTTAAAGCCAAGCTGGAAATGTGGACAGCTCGGTGGAGGGCGGGGCCCCTGTAGAAACTGCCTGTGTTCATCAGGATTCTTTTTGGTGGCAAATTGGACAAATCTAAGCAAAAGGATATGTATTTTTCGCTCTCATAACCCAAAAGTGACAAGAGCTGAGGTGTGGCTGGGCCTCACTGATGACGAAAAGCTTAGGACTTGCTAAGGTGGTTAATATCTAAATCATTACATAAATCTAACTAATCATTGTACATAACCATATATAATTCCATACTTACATATTATGTGCTTACATACAATTAGGACTTGCTAAGGTTATTGAGATATATATATATATACACCTATATTTTATATAACTATATAAAATTATATATGTTTGGTATTGTATATATTGTAATAATACATTATATAATTTTATAAATTATATATAATATATATTAACCTTAGCAAGACCTAAATCATTCTATATTATATAAACATATAATTATACGGTGTATATTAGGTAATTAAATTACATATTATACTATATAATTAAATTACATAATTATATATTAATTACATAATTATATTGTATACTATTTATGTGTTAATATCAACATTTTATGCTATATCATTTATTAGGCCCTAACTAGGTGCCCCTCATGTCTGCCCTTTTTGCATATTGGCAGGTTTTTTCTAACCAATTTTTATTACTAGGTGGGTTCTGTAGTAGATGGCAGCTCTCAAGCTCACATTTTGTCTGCTATAACTTCAGAAAGGGAAGTGCTCTTCTCCTCGGTACTGGCTCAAAGTCTTGATTAAGCACTGCTTTGGCCCTCCCTGTGTCAGGTACAGCCCCTGGGGCTATGCATGGGACTAGGGTCCATGTCTGACAGCCTCCCTCTCTCCTCACCACCAAGAACAAATATCTGGGAGACAGATGGTGCAGGGGAGAGGGGAGGAGCATTGCTCAAAGAAGACACAGAGAACCTTCACTGAAAGAAGGAACAGGGCTGGGAAGACACAAGAAATAACTCCCCACTGACTGCTTCAGTTCAAGAAGCCCTTGAGCCTGATTTTCCTAATGTGCACTGCATGGAGCACATAGAATATTCTTCAATTGATGCGATTTTTTAAGGCTCCCTGAAAAGTTCTGTTCTTGAAAATAATGGGTTGAACAGGTTTTGTTTATTCTAGGAATTTTCAGGATGTTTACTGCAAATCATCTAAGGCAATAGGCAAGTGTTTCTCAGACCAATTTGACTATGGAACCCTTTACCTCCTTAAACATTTTTGGGACCAGCATTCACTCCAACATGCTTCAGGAACTGTGACCTTAAGTCTGAGATAAGGACCTGGAGCCAAGATGTAGGGTTCTTCCCCTTGTTAGTACCTCATTCCGGAGAACCATCCTGAATTAGACAATTAAGCATCCATTTAATATGACTTCTAGGATGAAGAACCTGCTCCATTTCCCTCAAGGCTTGTCTACTCTGACTACCCATTTAATATGCCTTACCTCCCCGTTTGTACCCTCTTGACCTTGCTCAGGAAGGTCTGATCTCAGGTTCAATCAGCCTATTTCAAAAGCTGAGAAAAGTTATGGAGGCCAAGTATGCAGACACTGCAGCTGACTAGAGGATGCTGGTGCACAGGTGTGATGGCAGCCATGACTGGTGCTGACCACCTGAGTGTCGACACCACAGGCTGGAAGATGGCTGGTGTCTCCAACCCCACAATGCTCAGGCATGGAAGGGAAATGGCCAAAGACAAAGGACTCCACACTGTCCTCAAGGCCCAGTACCCCGAGTGGCACATGGCAGCCCTGGGAAATGCCTTCTCTCTTCCTCTTCACTAGTTGTCCAGAGTGTTAACAGCCTGGGTTAAAGCTCACTCTGGGTCAGTCCCACTAAACTAGGACCAGAATATGTTAGCAAAATAAACCAAGGTACAAACCTTCCAAAGAGCCTCTGTGTCTTGTTAGTGATCCTAAAGCTGAATGGACTAAGGCTTACAAATGTTTTTCCCTGTAACAAATTTTTCATGGGAATCATTATAAATATATGTACTTTATTAAGCACTAACTAGGTGCCAGGAATTGTGCTGTGCCTTACATACATTATTTCATCTTCACCTCACAAAAATTGTATCAGATAAACACATTTATATCTCCATCTACGAATGAGGAAATAAAACACAGAAAGACAAATAATCCAAGGCTATGTGATACCAGGGTTCAGGGCCATACAGGATCCCCATCCAACTTAAACTGGTGCTTTCAATCTATATGTCCACTCAAGACAGTCTGCTTCATGTCACTCAAAAACTGGGTGTCAATATTCCATGTGTTTCCAGTGTTATTACAACTATAAAGCTACTTGGAAGCCCTTAAGAGGGAAAGCTCTGGATGCTGACATACATCACTTAATTCACTACATGCAAAGATGTACACACGTGCCCAATGGTTTCATCAGTGCCCTTGCTGGATACTAGCCCTGCAGCCTTGGATCCTGGGATCTGTGAACCTTCTTGCCTTACTCAGAGGCTCAGAAAACTCTCCCAGGTCTCTCATCTCTAAAGAACAGGAAGGTAGCCCCAAAAGCCCTCTGTCAATTGCCTTTGTGTTCCCCTTCCCAAGGCTACCTTGTCAAAGCTACCATTCCTGTTCTACCCTTCACTTTATCTGCCTTTACTCTTCCAATCACCACCAACATTTATAGTCACTCAATAACTGTACAATCATGTCCTGGATGACTACTATTTTGGGGAGACTAAGATAAATACTACACATGTATGTATGAGTGTGATACATATATACATATACCCACAAATACATCTACGCACACACATACATATCTGTGGCCTTCTATTTTCATGACACCTTAGTAAAACCACTTACTAGTCATGGCACCACTGTTATGTGACAATTTCACTGAGGTTTTGTTTCCTCATTTGTAAAATGGTGACTATGGTAACTTTCTTAAAGGACTCTTACAATAGTTACATGAGATAATTTCTGTAAACTGCCTGCCACAAAGTCCAGCCTTTGGGCACTCACTAAATAATTACTGTCACCACTACTGTCCCAGCATCCTTTAGTAATGAATTGTATGGCTCACATTATCATTCATTCAAATCTTCCTTTCTTCATTCACTGAGTTAATTCACTCATTCATTCAGAGATTCTGGGGTCGAGCCTAGATAAAATTCTCCATGGGTGGCCTCCTCAGATTATTTTGAGAAAGAGGGGAAAAAGAAAGGGCATGGAGATGTATTATACAAAGATTTGCTGAGTATTTACTTTGGATCAGGACTTCACTAGTATTTTCTATTTAATCCTTCCAGCAACCATGAAAGTATCTTCATCCTCATTTTAATGAAGCAACTGAGTTCCAGAAATATTAGGTCTCCTGTCCAAGGTCATACAGGTGGTGAGAGGCAGAGCCCAGATTCCATCACAGATGTCACATTCTGAATACTGTGGTTGTATCCCTGAGCCAAACGTCTACCCAAACCACTAGGGAATAATCAGCCTTGAAGAGTAAAATGTGGCTTTTAAGAAAGCAGAGTGTACAGTACTACAACCCAGTGACAAATGCCATTTTCCTTTTTAGCACTTTGAGCTACAATCAGTCCCCAAACACACACCAGATAGGAACTGAAAAGCCCTGGTTATACAAGTACTGTTCCAAAAATAAAATGAGTGTTTTTTATGAAAAGCCAGAGAGAGACTAAAAAACAGCAGGAGCGCAAACTATGTGGAAATACAGACTTAGAAATAAGGGAAAATCAATCTACTCTCCCAGAGCAGTAACACCATCCTCAAGATCTCTGACCATTTCCATGCCCTGAGACCCACAAGAACCCTGGAAACATAGAGCAACCTGAAGTCCTTATTCATTAACTATTCATTGCCAAAGATGTTCTGCAACTACTGTAACTCTGTTCCTCCTGTGAGTCATACCCTGTGCTAAGCACCAGAGACACCTACAGCACCAGGTTCTTGCCCTCACTGAATTTCCACTCTAGTGGAAAGAAAGGATTATTAAATAATCCTATAAATAAGTATATAACTGCACTTACAATAAGCACTATAAAGGAGAAACATCTGGAGCTGTGAGCCTCTATAATAGGGTGAAGTGCCATAATCAGGAAAACCTGATTACTTTAAATTTACATTACCCTAAAGAAGTGAAGAGTAAGTTGAGAGAGAGGGAGAAAGCGATGTGTATTGGTGAAAGTTCTTAGATACAAACAAGAAAGTCACCTTTAGCTAGTTTAAGACAGCAGGCTTTTATGGAGGGATATTAGACAGCTCACAGGATCATGGAGAGGACAGAGAACCTGAGCTTCTAGCATCACCTTCTCCAGCAGAAATAAACTGAGGCATGGGTACCAATACGGGATGGTGATCTAGAAAGATTTCCAACTTGCTTCTCTCCCTTTCTTCCCATATGACTTTCATTTCAAACTTTCCCTGTGGTTTCACCTCTTGAAACACCATGTCTCAGCTTGGATGAGCCACCTGAAAGACAATCAGTGAGTGTGTAGAGTAGGCATGAGGATCTTTCCAAATGGGCTCAAATTTTATCACTCAGGATTATGCTGCTCCCCTGCTCAAAATCTACTAAGAGTTTCATGACTTCAAGATAAAAGTGAAACCCACTGCATGGCTCCCAGCACTGTTAATGAGCTGGCTATAACCTACATATAACAGACACATCCACACCATTCCTTGCCTATGTGGAATTCTGCATTCCAGAGCTCGCCTACACATCCAACAGATGTAGCTAAGCAGTGGGTAAGGCAGCTGGAAAGTGAGAAGTGACCACAATGAGCAGGCGGCCTTCTGAAAAATGTAGCTATTTATCTGCCTCACTAGTGATGAGCAGCCACAAGCTTCCTCTGACAAGGCGTTTAAGGAATGGGAAAACTGCATTGTATCCTTTCCTTCTGTTAATAAACGATAAAGTAATTTGCACTTTATAAAAATATGTTAACTCTGTCACTTGGTAGGAGAGTACTTTGATTAAAAAGGCCCTCTGTGTACTCCGTCTCTCAACAGTAGCTAGAATTCTATCATTAAAGCCTGCTTCTAACAGATTTTGGCCCAAATACTAGAAGCTGGTTCTTCCACTATGAGGTGCCTCCAACAGAGAGACTGTTTGACAGAGAGGCCACGGGACAGATGACTTGCTACTAGGAAACCCTAATGAAGGTTTCCACAAATGTGCAATCTGTATGTGTGTCCAGCTCGCCTGAACAGGTTTGGCTGCCAGATTCAGGCCAGAAAAATGTAAATATTTTGTCTAGACTCAAGGATAAAGGTGGTGTTGATGAGTTTGTCTCCCCAGGTGTATTATTAAGGACTAGGCACTTCTAGTTGAAAACAGAAATTTAAGGTAACAGTTTCAGAACCGTGTGCTGGCTTAGGTGGAACCTCCAGATTTTTCTGGGGGTGAAGGTGCATGCTCAGCCTGCACTGTAAGCCCATCATGAAGGCAAGCTGGACTTCTGAAATAAGGACCTCTGGAGGATCTCGTCTGTATACAGTGAAATCTTAACACAAGACAGATGGGTTTGAATGTATTTTTCCCCTGACGTAAACATCTCCTGGGGAGAGCTAAGGCAGACTAGTCTGGGGATGTTCTTCTCCTGGGTGAGAGGCTAAGTATGAATGGAGAGTCCAAGGAAGCCCCACGTCAACCAGGATAATGGTGCAGTTTGTGTGGATATCTTATGGCTATAGAGCCTTTATGTTCTCTGGGATAAAAAAATATTTCCCTCAAATGCGATATTCTGCTTTAGACAACATTGTACACCTTAAAAACATCCCCAAAATCATAGAGCTCCAAATTTCCAAGGCTCTTATTTTGACTAACACACCAGAGAGTGAGAGAGAGAAGGAAAGAGGGAAGGAGAAAGGGAGGGATAGATGGAGAGAGAGGGAGAGAGAGAGGGAGGGAGAGAGGGAGCGAGGCAGGTAGAAGAAAGAAAACCAGACCTCCCACCTTCTTTAGTTTTTTAATAGGTTTAATTTACTATAAGATGAGAGTTTTAACCCCCAGAAATGGTAAAAAAAAAAAAAACTGTATGTTTTTGTGCATTTAGATGGTAAAAGATTTATAGTAGGCATAAAGAAAACAGTGATAGTTTAAAACTAAATTAACTACTCCAAAGAAATCCTTAGTTAAAAACTAACTAGACAGATTGTTACATAATTAAAGTGATAATTTCTTCAAATTTACTTCATTATAAATAGCATCGTACATATGTGAGAGAGAGAATAAGGAGAAATGGTTAGTTAACACTTGAAATATTTTGAACAGGAATCCACACTTCAGAGAGGGCTGCTTAAATTCTAATTATGAAAATCTATATATGAGACTTGTTTATCAGCTAAAAAGAGATCAGAAATTTTTTTTTTCAGAACCCAATAGAAAAATGGGCAAATAAAATGAACAAACAATTAACTGAAGGGAAAACTCAAGATGCTAAAAAGCATATAAAGATTTCTCAAACTCATTAATTCTAGAAATGCAAATTTAAACCAAAATCTGACATTACAGACCCATCAGATTGACAAAACTAGAGAGCTGGATAGCATCAAAGTTGGTGGAACTTGGAACCGCTGTGCACTATTGGTGGGAACACAGGCAGGGGCTGGGGCGGCCATGCTGGAAAGCAACCCAGCACCATTAACTAGGACCCAGAAATTCCCTTCTGAACAACCCCCAGGGAAGTTTTCTCAAATGCACATGGTAAATGGGCATGTTTGTTATAGCAGCATTTGCAGTACAAGGAGTTGAGGAAATGGAGGATGAATGATGAGGTGGAAGGTATGCAGATCAACATGCAGCCTTGGAAGCCATGTGTCAAAGATGGCAGAGCCAGGAGATGGAACCAGTTGGAAAAGCACTATGTGCCAATCAGGAACACTTGCTTTGGACTTTATAGGAGCAAGTTCATGTAAAGAAATTAAAAAAGAATTAAAACATGTCATAGGACAAAACTAAGAGATGTAACATTTCATCATCTAGTAACCATTGTATACACTTGGATTTGTGTGTTTAGGTTTCTGCATTTCCTTAATCAGATCTGTTACATCTGCCTGCTTACCTCAGGAATTAACCAAAAGAGTACTCCTCATTTTATTTCTTAAATAATCAAACGTCGTTTTAAAAAATAATAAGAAATACCCAGGTGAGAAATATTCAAATGTGGCTCTCTTTATAGGGGTGGAAGCTAAAATGAGGCCACTTATGAATAAAAATCCAATATTTCTAATGTGCTGGTCAAATATATACGGTTATATTAAGTTTTTAATTATACAAGTGGCTTTATTTTAACTCACTTAAGTTCGTGAGATAACCCTAATTGCCTATTTAGTATCCATTTCCACTTTCTTACTAACAAAACAATTCAAACTATTCAGCCTCCCTGCTGTCCTTGCTGCTAGGCATAGTGATTCAATTCAGTCTGGCAATAAGATGTGAGTGGCCCTGACGAAGATGTTTTGTCTGAAATATAAAAGAAAGCTTTGTTGAGAGGTAGCCTTTTGCTTTCCCCCTTCCTCCTTATTTCTACCTGGACCATGGATGAGAGGTTTGAAGGGCAGCAGCCACCTCATAACCATAAGGCACACCAAGACTGAGCCAGAAAGTCTGCATGTTGAGGGTGACAAAACAGAGGGATTTAAAGGAGCTGGGTTCTGGTGGCTTTGCCGAGCCACAGGAACAGCCTGGACTCCCTGCTACCCACCAACCCTACCCTACTTCTTATAATCTGTTAGTCAGTGTTAGTTGGTTTTCTATTATTTGCAGAAAAACAGATTCCTGATACCATGTTAATCTTTCTGCACAATTTCAAATACAAGGACTTCTGTTTTCTTAAAAAAGTGGGGATGGTGGAGAAAGCCATGAGCTTAGTGTTCTATAATTTATATAAATGTCTTGTAAAGTAATTTAAATGTATAGTTTTAAAATGATATTCAGAAATTAAGTTGAGGGGGAAAAAAGATTGTCTGATAAGTAAGGGTTTCTCCTGAATATCCAACATAAAATATGAAATTGAAAATCTAAAACTCTATTTATAAAAGTGTATTTTTTAAAACTTCTTTTAAAAAGTCAGCTTGACAGTGTGGTGATTCCTCAAAGAACTAAAAACAGAACTACCACTGGCCCAGCAATTCCATTACTGGGTATGCACCCAAAGGAGTAGAAATCATTCTACCTTAAAGACACATGCACATGTATGTTCACTGCAACAGTGTTTACAATAGCAAAGGCATGGAATCACCTAAATGACCATCAATGACAGATTGGATAAAGAAAGTGGACCACCTGAGGTTAGCAGTTCGAGACCAGCCTGGCCAATGTGGTGACACTCTGTCTCTACTAAAAATACAAAAATTAGCCAGGTCTGGTGGCGTGTGCCTGTAATCCCAGCTACTCGGGAGGCTGAGGCAAGAGAATCACTTGAACCTGGGAGGCGGAGGTTGCAGTGAGCTGAGATCGTGCCACTGCACTCCAGCCTGGGCAACAAGAGGGAAACTCCATCTCAAAAAAAAAAAAAAGTAAGAAAAAGAAAAAGAAACTTGGTACATATACACCATAGAATACTATGCAGCCATAAAAAAGGAAGAGATTGGGCTGGGCGCAGTGACTCACACCTGTAATCCCAGCACTTTGGGAGGCTGAGGCAGGCAGGTGGATCACCTAAGGTCAGGAGTTCCAGACCAGCCTGGCCAACATGGCAAAACCCAGTCTCTACTGAAAATTAAAAAAATTAAACGGGTGTGGTGGAGGGCACCTGTAATTCCAGCTACTCAGGAGGGTGAGGCAGGAGAATCACTTGAACCTGGGAGGCAGAGGTTGCAGTGAACTCAGATCATGCCATTGCACTCCAGCCTGGGTGACAAGAGCAAGACTCTGTCTCAAAAAAAAAAAAAGGGGAAGGGATTATGTCTTTTGCAGGAACATGAATAGAGCCTAGAGGCCATTATTCTTAGCAAACTAACACAGGAACAGAAAACCATATACTGCATGTTCTCACTTGTAAGTGGGAGTTAAATGATGGGAACGCATGGACACAAAGAGGTGGCTGGAAGGAAGGAGAAGATCAGAAAAAAATAACTACTGGGCACTGGGCTTAGTACCCAGGTGGCTAAATAATCTGTACAACAAACTCCTGTGGCAGAAGTTTACCTATATAAGAAACCTGCACGTGTAACTCTGAACCTCAAAGTTTTTTTTTTTTTAAAGATAAAAACATTTTTTAAAAGTCTGCTTGAGAAATAAATATGTCCTAACTAGGAAAAAGTGTAATATATACAAGTGTTTGTAAACAGCTGCAAGTTATAATTTTTATCAATTTCATGATAAATTCAAAATCAGGAAATAGAATGCTATTATAATCAAATTGTGCTTTAATTACTAATTTTATTTTTAAATATAATCTTCTAAAAAGAAAGTAATTAATATGCTATGAAACTGGCAACACTCTAAAATTATACTAAAGTATAAAAATAGAAACTTAAGATAAACATAAAATGACATTAGAAGTTCAAGGATAAAATTTCCACCATGAAGTTGTAGAATCTGAGCCAAGAAAAGAAAACAGAACTATTCCCTAACTTGTCTTCTAAGAAAACAAATCTTACACATGAGCTTTATTCTCTCTAAATGATTGGTAATTTCAAACTTGGGAACTTTTTATTGAATGCTTTAGTTCAAAAGAAATAAAAACATATTGTATAATAAAACTGGGAAATTTAACTTTTCATAGTCTAGCAATTTCCTTATAAACTGAAATAAGAAAAAAACATCTATTGGTAATTTTTTTTGTTGAAATTCAATTCTTTATAAGTGACTGTGTGATTTATCTGTCTAGCATTTGCACAGTTTCTACAGAAAGCAAAGATAGAAATATATCATGACATATTTTAATTATACCAAGATTAGGTTTTATGGCAGAGGCAAAGTAGCTGAAACTTTTTATGACTGCAATTTTCTACATTTTTATACTTATTTTCATATAAAAACAACAATAAAATACAGTCTAGTTACTCTTAATTAAATTGATACTGGAAAATATATAAATGTAATGTTAATGTGGTATTACAATATTACAAATAATATTTCTAAATCCAAAGAACTGGGTTTTAAAAAATAAATTGCTTCTAATGAAACTAGATATTGTAAAATTATATAGATGCACACTGGGTTTACATAATTTTTAAGAAAAGTATTTTGGTAATACTGTTAATATTAATTGTAAGGTATCATTAATTTCCTTATATTTTGCTGCCTTCTATCTTCTGGGACCCTGGATTTATACAATATCGAGTGTGGCAGAGAACTGTACCACCTGCCATGGAGGAATTGTGCTCCTCCATGCAATTAGATGAGACTGCATGCTTAGTCCTGGCCAATGTGCTGTGGATCAAAGCGGTACGTGCCCCTTCCCAGACAAAGCATTGCAGAGACAGGATGTGATACAGCATCTCTCTTTTTCCCCTGCTGAGGATGGTGCAGTTTTAAGATGGTGGGCCTGGCAATGGCTCACACCTGTAATCCCAGAACTTTGGGAGGCTGAGGTGAGTGAATCACCTGAGGTCAGGAGCTTGAGACCAGCCTGGCCAACTTGGTGAAACCCCGTCTCTACTAAAAATACTCTGTCTCAAAAAAAAAAAAAAAATACGGTGGACCCATGTCAGAGTGAATCCCTGAGTAATCATGTGGAGCATAACTCCCACTGACCCATAGTAAATATAAACCATGAGTGGAAAATAAATCTTTGATGTGTTAAACTATGTAGATTTATTTTGGCTAATTAACTGAGATAATTAGTATGTCTCTACTCATCTAAATAGAGTTCAACACAAAACTATCTAGAATGAGAGTTAAATAATGTCATTAATAAATACACATGCATATGCAAAATCTAGGTTTACATTTTAGTCCACAGAGATAATTTCAAGCAAAACACAATATTTTCCATTTGTCTATGTTCTGTACTAATTGTATGGAATGTCTCCATCACATACCAAAAGTCCTATGGTTTTGTATTTCTTCAAGTCTTTCTGAGGAAAAATAAAAAGTGAATGAAAGTAGTTTTTTCCTCCAAATTATATACCATAACCAGATGATACCAAGAAGGAAAATTACCTGGAACTCTAAAATGTAAAACACACTCACCATTATTTGGGTCTTCACCAACCACCAAGTGTTTCTTGAAAGCTCTGTGGGATCTATTGTGCACTAAAAATCATGCTCAAATTCAGGACCCCCCCCCCCCACCCCTGGAGACCAATCTTCCTTCTACGTTTTGACCACTTCTTCCTTGTGTTCTCTGTATACTCCTCCTCTTCTTTGCCTTCAGTGGAGTGGGTCTCAGGGTTTGGTTCTATGTCCCTAACCCTTTCACTCCACACACTCTTCTTTGAAAAGCTCATCCCTATCTGTGGCTTCATTGACTTCCAAATCTCCCCCCACTATGCAGATCCCTTATCAGCAGTGTGGGCGCATGTGGCACCCAAAGGGCATCTCCACTTAGGTGTCTGGTAAGAACCTCAAGAAGTTCATCATTTCCCCCCAGCAAGCCTGCTTCTCTTCCTCTGTCCCTGCTCTCAGCATTGTCATCAACCCACACATCTAGAATATTATCCTTGGAAATCCTCTCTCATCAAGTTTCCTCCCACCCCACACTCCTTAGTTTTCCCATTAAACTCGGACCTTTTTTCACACACAGCTACACTCACCCATATTGCTGCACCAGCTCCAGTCTTACCCCACTCCTACCCATTCAACACTGCTTCAAGTGAGCTTCCTAAATGCCAATCTCACCTAAATCCTTCAATGCCTCCCCATCACCTAGGATTGAGTCCCCTTAGCATAGTACTCCAGGTTCCCTTTGATCTCATGCCTACATTTTTGTAATGGAGCCTCTTTTCTCCCTACTCCTCTCCCTAGCATCTGAGCTCCAGCTGTACTGAACTCCCTGTGCACCCTGGACTCTGCTTGCACCCTCATCTCTGGACCCTTGTTCATGCTATGCCCTGTGTCTGAAATGCCTTTCTCATCCAGTTCATCTGGTTAAGCACTAGTCATCATTCAGGTGTCAGTGTGGGCACTCCTTCTCTGAAGATGCCTTCTCTGCCAAGTTGAGCCAGGCTTCTCCTCTCTGATGTTCCACTTCCCTGTGCTTCCCTAAAGTGGAAAGATAGAATCACCCTGTCATTGCCTGTCTACTAGCCTATTTATCCTCCTCACTCCCAACTCTATGAGCTTTCTATGGGCAGTGTCAGAGGTAGATTCTCCATGAATCTGAGGATGCCCGAGCTTCAGGTTCCTCACTTGCCCAGCTCCTTCCCAGGGCTCTTAGAGGGGCCACAACAATGTCCTCAATCAGTGAGAACACAATCGTCAACAATGTCTTCTCATGGTCATATGATTTGTCAAAAAGATTCAAACACAACCCATTAAAAATGCCATCTTTTTCTACCTGACTTCCCCTCTATGTCACTTCCTTTCACGTGGGGTACACTGAAGTGGCTGTGGGATAGGTTTAATTTGGGGTCAGTGGGGGTATTTTACAAAAGCGCTTCACAGTAACTTCCGTGGAATATTCTTACTGTCTACTGCACAGACCCCTCCAGTATCATGTACAAAAGTGCAGGGCCAGAGATTGTGTTATGATATGAACATGTTCTACAGCACCTGGAGGTGGAAGATAAGCAAAGTTTAAAATGCTCAGAGCTGGAAGCTTATCTGTGTAATATTCTTAAAATCACAGGAAGAATAAAATTACTAGCAAAGACTTCTATGTTCCTCCACATCTAGATTGAAAATGCCTCTCAGGAATATATTCAATAATGTCATATATGGAATTATAAATTTGGCACACATTTAAACATTTTTTATAGGAATACCACAAAATAAATTGTGTCATAATTCTTGTGCTATAGGGCACAAACCTGTAACAAAGCTACAAACAGAGAACATGTCGATATGGGAAGTAGCATGTTTTAAACATCCCTATGGATCAGGGCAGATCTTGGTGTATCTGAAACAATTTGTCTTCCCCAAACCTGAAAGATTCAGATAAAACAGCATACAAAATCATCACCAATGCAGGAAGATGATCTGAAGAAAGCAGCCTGGCAAAAATGCTACACAATGTATGTAGTATAAAAGTAAGTTCACAGGGTACTATGTTAAACATGTATTTAAACTCCTTTGTGTATGCATTAATTTCAGAATAATATTGTCTATTTTTTGGAATTATCACTGCAAAACTCAAATATGACAGAAAGGAAGCATCCTAGTGGAAGCCAAAAATGTCAACTGAGAGACTAGCAAAGGCTTCACAATGTCCAAACCTCCTATGTCACATGGATTAAAAAGCTGATGGCACAGAGGAAGATAAGGAAAGAATCACGATATTCAAAAAACAGAAATAGATAAAAAAAAAAGAAGGGATAAAAAGGTTATAAGAATCAACACACTATCAAACAAGAAATAAAAGAGCAGAAGAGATGGAGTGCAGAATTCATATATCCAAGGTAGAGGTTTTGTCCACATTCACAACAATCCTCACTCTTACATGACATTACCGTAACGATGCATGAGGATAAAAAACTTTTCCCAGCTCTCGATAATATAAAGCAATTTTTGATGATAAACTATACAAGACAAAGGACTGAATCGTCTTTTGGTCCTTCTTGGAAAATAACATCACAAAAACATTGTCATATGAAGAGATGATCAAAGACCATGCTATCAAAATATAATAACAAATACTATAGATATATGTCAGTTAATTCAAGTAGAGGATTGTTTTTCTGAATTTTTCAGCTTTTAAAAATGTAAAATTTGATGTAATTTCTTATGCTAAATAAATATTCACATTTTACCTATATTCATAATCTTATATTATTTTCACTAAAAGGATACATAGCAGTGAGATCCACTCCCAGGTGGGTGAGGACTCTTTTTCATATTTCTACCCCCTATCTCAGCCCTGTGCTGGCACCTTGGACTTGCTCAGTAAATGAAAGGGATGAGTTAGTGAGCTGGCTATGTTACTATCACCCTGCCTCTGTGACTGCCTAAGTCATGCCACCCTTTAGGCCTCTGATTATTCCTTTACATACAGAGAGTCCTTTCTTTCCCAAGGGTTTGGACATCCCTAGGGCTGAGGGATCTGCCTCAGAGTCTGCCAAGTCAGTCAGCAAAACCGCAGAACAGCTTGTACTCCACAGATAAGCAAATGTCCTGGGAACTTTATTTGGCTTTTTGTTTGTTTGTTCAAGGACTTCAACTTTTTAGAGCAGTTTGAGGTTCATGGAAAAACTGAATGGAAGGTAGAGAGATTTCCCACATACCCTCTCCCCGACACATCTAGAGCCTCCCCCATCATCAACATCCCCACCAGAGTGGCACATCATTTCCACCCATAGTTTATACCAAGGTGTCGTACATCCTATGGGTTTTAACAAATGCATAGCAACATGGATCCATCATTATAGTGTCTTAAGAGTAGTAGTTTCACTGCCCCCCAAAATCCTCTATGCTTTGCTTATTCATCATTTTTTCTCCCAAACTATTTATCTTTTTACTGTCTTCATAATTTTGCCATTTTTAGAATGTCATATAGTTAGAATCATACAGTATGTAGCCTTTTAAAATTGGCTTCACTTAGTAATATACATTAAAGTTTCTTCCATGTCTTTTCATGGCTTAACAGTACATTAATTTTTAGTTCTGAATAATATTCCATCATCTGGATGTACCACAGTCTATTTATCCACTCACCTACCGAAGGAAATCTTGGTTGCTTCCAAGTTTTGGCAACTATGAATAAAGCTACTATAAAGATCTATGTGCAGGTTTTTGTGTGGACGTAAGTTTACAATTCCTTTGGGTAAATACCAAGGAGCATGACTGGGAGATAATACAGTAAAAGTATGTTTAATTTTGTAAGAAATCATAGAAACTTTGTTTTTGATGCACATGGCCCAGCAAGGAGTCCCTCTGTAACTGGGCCATTGTAGTTAAGCCAACATAGAAGTGATTGATCACCTGAAATCACATCCTATGTTGCACGTTCCTGCCCTATGGACAGTCTACAGGCTTGTTGATTTGCACATGAAATGGAAAGCATCTCACCATTCTCTAAAGCAATGGAAAATTCTCTCATCCTCTGTCATGGCTGATTCTTTGCACAGGTAACGTGCAGTGAGGATGCTCAGCTCACATTGATTTAGCATAGCCAGGCCTTCACTGTGTGTATTCTCCTGTTGGCTGCCTGAGTTCAAGGCAAGGCTGTTAATTCTCCTGCTTCAGGATGTTAGAGGATGGTTGAAGTTATTTTTTTTTTCCTGGGCATATTTAAATGGACCTAGGACATTGTAATGGCTTGCCACAAATGGACTCCCTTCCAAAGGCAAGCTGCCCAACTTGATAATTTCTTTGAAGGCTCACATTCTGCTGCTGTCTCCTTCTACCCAAGTGCTGAGCAGAAGCCATGTGTGGAGCCAGGCTTCTACCATGGGGACCCACCCACAGCCCAGTGCAGAAAAGGACATTCATGCTGAATGTGCAACTGTCAGAATAAGCTACCGACTGTGCACTGAAGGAGACTCAGTTTTTCTTGCTCTAATAAATACTATAGAATACTTCTAGTAAAAACAACTATAGGGCACAAGCCCTGCCCAAGAGCTTTATTTTTCTAGTCAATCCTCTCAACAAGGGCAATCAGTTGGTAATACCCAAACAGACAAAACTCCCTGTATTTAACACTGTTTGCTTAATTGTAAAATAGCAGTGATGACAGAAACCACAACTGACTGCACACCTGCCTGGTGCCAGACCCTGTCCTAGGCAATGGGAGTGAAAGGTGAGAAAAACACATTTTCTTCTCACAGCATTAAGGAGCTCATGGGGTCGGGATGGAGACAGACATTTAAACAGGGGATTTACAACAAAGCAAATCACAAACAACACAATGTTTAAAGGGAAGCTTGAGCAAGTCAGAGACATTTTTTGCTAATGCAGGACTAAAAGGAAGCTATTTGGCTTCCCAAAATAATTTTCTATGAAAACCCTTCCAGATTGTATTTAAAATAGAATTGGGTTTAGAGAAGGACGGGAAAACAGAGAGATGCAGACCCAACATCCAATCTTCATTGCTATGCATCTTTCCCCCATTAATCTTCACAGTAACTCCCATTATGTTATCACCACTTGATTATCTTTGTTTCTCAGATAAGAAAAAAACTGAGGCTCAGAGAGGTTAAGAGACCAAAGCCAGGTCACACAGCAGCACTAAATCTGAATGCAAGTGTGTAAAATTGTCAAGCCCATGTGTTCTCCAGCACCCAGCAATCTTTTCCGGAATGCAGACATAATACGAATAAGGGACCCCCTTGTATTATAGAACCTGGAACTTGAGAAACCCCCAGGCTGAATTGGAGGTGTTGAGTCCTGTTTCTTCATTTCTTTTTCCCCTTTCTCCTCCTGTTAAACACAGCTGCTTCACCTTACCAAGCCCAAAATTCATTGCTGCTGGTGTTCAGGCCTGAGCTCAGCTCTCTGGGGACCATGTTTGAGGAGCTTGGTGACTCAGGCCCTCCGCTCTAAATTCCTATTAAGCACTCTAGATTTAATAGCTGCTATTAATACAAATTATGCTTCATTAAGCATGAAGCTAAGGAGAATGCAACTTGGAGGCTCCAGTTCAATACAGGGCTGAAGGACAAACAGAACGGCTATTTTTAATCCTGGCAATGTCAGTGGGGAGAGAACAGCCTAACATTGCATGTGCCTGTCCCTACTTCTGCAAATTGAGTTTTCACATTTTCAAATAAGCATCCCTTGTTTTCAGCTTGTGATGTGTGACAGAGGTAAACCTTTCTAATCCTTGAGAGCTAGTAGTATCAAGAACATTTTTCCCTTCAGGAAACTTTTTTTCTACAAAACCTAAGAAGGTACAGGGAGCGAGAAGCTACCAGCAGGTCCCCTAGCAGGGGTTTCCGTTAGAAATCTTTCTGCAGACTCCAACTCCACACCTCAGTGAAGGCTCATGGGCTGGGGGTTAGGAAACCTTGCTATGCCACCCTATTCACCTCGCTGGTTTTATAGACTGTGTTCTATTCAGAGGCAGCTCAAAAGTAGGCAAAAATCATAACTGTGGAGTTCTTCTAGATTGGCAATCAGTAAGTATTTTCTGTAAAAGGCCAGAAAACAAACATTTTAGGCTTTGTAAGACCTATAATCTCTGCAATTGCCGCACAAAAGCCACTACAGACTACACATAAAGGTATGCGCATGACCGTGTTCCAATAAAACTTTATCTGCAAAAATTAGGTGTAGGCCAGATTTGGACCACAGGCCATAGCACCCTACTTCTGTCTGCTTCAAATTGTCTGTCTCATCATAGATTTTGTTGTCATGGGTATAACCTTAGTTTTGTAAGAATATGTTATGACAACTCTGTTTACCTACAAAATTGTGACAGCTGACAGTCATTTAAAAAGAAATTCTCTGTGTGATACCAGTACAGGCTTATGGCATTACCATGTTTGGATGGCTCGAATTTAGTTGTTAGTCCCACTATGTTCAACTAAGTCTGTATCACATTGATGGGGGTGCAATTTGCAATCAGCACTTTAGCTGATAAGTCAATTTGGATATTTTTGTATTTTATATAGTACATGATCATTTTTGTTATAAGAATCTGACAATGAGTACACTGCCCTTTCTTCTAATGAAATGTTCTAGTTTACCCACTATAGTAGGTAAGATATCTGTTTGGCTAATTTTCATTCCTACCTCCTTTTGAGAAGTTCCTTGCCCTTCAATTTGATGTTATTGCTTTGGCCAATGAGATATTAGAGCACATAAAGGGAGGAGAAGCTTGAAATGACAGGTCTGAGCATGCTTTCCACCATAAGTCATTCCAATAAGGTGATAGAGCTGCTTCCAAGAGTATATGAGGAATAGGGTAAGCCCTTGAATAAGATTGCTAGGGGAAAAAGAAAACAAAATTAAAAAAAAAAAAACAGATTGCTAGGCCAGATGCAAAACTAGTCACTGTCTTACAGGGCAGTAAGACCACAACTGAGGGTTGGCAAGGGAGAGGTTATTTTCTGTTAAACAGATTACAAATTGGCATATAACTTGACAATGTCTGGACCAAAATAGTGAATAGCAAGGTCAGACACAGGTACATTCTCATAGATATTAAAAATTAATCTTCAGTTGAACCTGTTAACCATTGGAAGGATATCTGCCTGCATTTTTGCCTTATTCTCAAGCTTTAAGCAATTTTTCTTCATAATGTTGAGGGCTACATAATGATCCCAAAGAATGGTCTTGAAGTTGTAAAGGAAAGTCAGTGCCTAAGCAACAGCACTCAGGAATTTCCTAGGTGCAGCAGATCTGTTGACTCATGCAATGATGCGGCCATTCATTGTAAATAAACCATAGGTTTTGTGTACCCTGTTGCCTCAGCTGTTCCACCCAGTGTCAGGGGCAGAATGGCCAGAAACCCCATGATAAAGGAAGGCACAGGTCTTTCTTCCCATGCAGTGGCTTTTGTGGACTGGCTTAGACTGAGAACAATTGCAGCATCAGTAGATCCACTTGAAGCTCCACTTCAATTTCTTTAGCTTTCCCTGACATTGAGGCCACTAAGAAGGTTCGAACTCATCCAAATGGGTTAAAATGAATAGTCATCTGATTTTATTGGCCTCACTATATCTATATAAAGCAAATACGTCAAGACTCCAGAATTGTCATGGTAATAACAGTATGCCTAAAGCTGAGACAGCCTCTGCAACTATTAAGGAAAGGGAGAAACACTGACCTTGAGTCCTGACATTGTTGGACCACTCAGTGAACCCTGGAATACCCAACCTTACTTATCCTAAAGTAAATCATAAATGTCCTTATGGTTTAGCCAATGTTGATTGGGTTTCTGCTTACATGAGGCCAAATGCACCCTAATTAAAACAGTGTGTGTGTATGTGTGTGTGTGGTGTGTGTGGTGTGTGTGTATGTATATGAAGATAAGGAGGTGAGGCAAGACCTCTCTCTTAAAATGAGCCTACAGACCCAAATTCCGAATGCATGAGGAAATCAAATGCAATGGAAGACAAAATAATCAAATATGAATTCATTCCAGATGAGAGTAAAATTATAGACACTCTGATGATGACTTTAAATATGTCTAGGATCCTTATGAGAAGAATTATAAGTAAAAGTGACAGGAATTATGAGACAAAATAATGCATAAATTAAAATCACAGTCAGCTATTGAAATATATTTAATTTTCAAGATTTCTGATTCTGTTCATTATCTTTTTATATTTTTTCTATTTTAAGCATTTTAAAGATGCTTTGGCCAGTATCAAATTGATACTCCTAAGGGTGTATCAATTTGACTTGACTAAAAGTCCCAGAAATATTAAAGATGACAAGATAGAAAAATATGCCTCAAAGAATGTAGAAATTACATAAAGAACTAAATTGTCTAATTTTATGTTTAACAGTTTCCCAAATGTGACAACAACTCTATTGTCCCAAATGTGACATTTATGGAAATAAAGTGTACAACTGAAAAACAATTTCCAAAACTATTGATGACAAAAAGCAAATTTGGATCAACCACACTAGAAGATTGATTGATTTACTATTTAATTCTCTCTATAAACAATGACATTGCCAAATTATTGACATGTGAGAAGGCAATCCAAAGAAGCAGCCAAAAATGTACTGAGAGGAGCTAATCCAGGAAACTCTATTTATTAGATGATGCTGAAGGCCAGTGTCATAACTCCACATCCCAGCACTAGCTGCATCTCCAGCCCCTCAGCACAGGTGCTGCCCTTGATCGGGCAGAGCACCTGACTCAGTACTCAGGGACACAGCACAGATTCTGAACACTAGTGGTAGGATGCAACTAAGCACTGTGACTTGCACCTCTCCACCCTGTGCCTACCTAGACAGCCAATCATCCCAATTGAACCCTGAACTAATACATGAGGTTGAGGTTTCTTTAGCTTACGATATACAAATCAAGGATTTCTGTCCTTTGACAAGCATTACCAATAGACCTGTAACCAGGTAAAATCTCTATTCACTGAATCAGAAACTTTAACCTTCAATTTCTTTAGCTTTTTGACTTTGAGCCCTGAGGCCAGTACTGATTAGTGAAGTTGTTGCAAGTAGTGGCAAATAACCCTATGGCTGTCTCTCCTTCAAAAGCTATTTTATTCGGGCTGCAGAGTCTGGAAGGCAGGCCGCTGTCCCCATTTCCCAGTTCCCTGTGGGTTTTGTTGTACTGTATTTTAGAGACAACTTACATGGAATACAGTCCTCCAATGTGAGACAGCTGATCATAGCCCACATAACCACTGCTCCAGACCCCAGAAGCAGCCCTGCCCCATCTGTCATTATTTAACCTTATCCATGTAACTGACCAAGATTGTTTAAAATAGCCTGTCGTGCAAAAATGCAATACAATATGCCAGATCTTTGAATTTAGCCATGGCAATTTTTCTGGTTCTTAGTCTTCCACTAAAAAAAATTATGTAGAGCAGATGTTGCAAACTAAACCCACAATGTGTTCAGTTAGGCCTACACAAAATTTTTACTAATTTTAAACTATTTAACAATAAAAATCAGGATACTTCACCGTCAGATCCACTTTTAAATTCAAATTTCTGCTTCTTTGGGAATATCACGGGCAATAGCCACACTGAGCTGGCACTCCTGCTTGGCACAGCATGTGTGGCTGGAGAGGGAGCAGCTCACTTCTTCAGAAAGGGCATGTTCCCTGCCCCTCAGTTCCCCACAGTCTCTACTTGTCTAACAGTTGGCTTCGCAGCTCCCTCCCTCTTTTACATTACCTGCCTGGATTCTGTAGGAGTTTGGGTTTGTGGTCCTTCATAACATCACAAGCACAGCAAAACCAGCATAGGTCTAACTAAGAGGGAAAAAAAATGACCTGGAATCCTGCCTTTCTAACTGCCTTCCACTAAAGTCAGTGTTCACTGGCTGGGTGACTCTTGACAAGTTCTATAACTTTTAGGAGTCTTGCTTTTCTCCAGGGTAAAATGAGGCTAACGGTACAGATCCTGCATGATGTTTATGAGGATTAAATAGTATAATATTTGCACAGCACCTGGTAGCTATTATTATGATTAGTTTATTCAGTCATAAGCCATACCCCATTTCTTAAAGATGGGCCTAAAGCCAGCTAGGGCCTAGCAGAGATCAGAAACATGCTGTGAATGCTGTTTCATATGCAACTTATACAACATATAGCTTGAAAACACATTTTTAAATATTTCATTAATTCCTCACAATGATCTTGGGAGGTCGCTATTGTTATTACCTATATTTAATATGCGAGGTTGTTGAGGCTTAACAGAGTCCCAGCCCCTGTAATATCCTGAGTACATCTTGGCATCACAGCACTTGCCAATTACATTATAATAGTTATCTATGCCTATGTCTGCTTTTCTTCCCAGGCTGTGAGATCTTTGAAATTAGGGACAAATTGAAGTCACCACTGCAACTCTGCTGGATCACAGAGTGTCAGGCCCAGGAAAAGTGCTCAGCCAGCTCTGGCTAAATCAATCAGTCTATGGACAAAGCCCCAAGGTCAGAGAACCAGTGAGTAACTGTGAGTCAGGTGCAGCCCTAGATCCACTTCCAGTCCACTGTTCTCTCCTTTCCTCAGTAGTGCTGATATTTTTCCTTCACTTCCTCAAACTTCTGAGCCTACAGCTTCTTCACCAGGCAGAAGCTGGGAATTTCGCCTGTGCAGTCAAACGTGGAACCCAGGCTGCTGATGGGGGCTCCAGTAGAAAGAAATGTGATGTCACCCATTAGGTACTAGAGGGAGTGGTTGTCTTCTATAAAGCTGCTGATGCTTTGCAGCCCAGGCTGCCCCTCTTTCCTCACAGTACTCTGCCATGCACCCTAAACCAGGTCTCAAGCACTCGGACACCTCACCCACTGTGCAATAACATGGAAACCTTGTAACCAGCAAAACAAAACACACTATAACAAGTTTTAAAATGAGAGTTACTGAAGTTTAACTTACATACCAAAAGTCAGCCATTTTAAGTGTACAATTTTATTAGTTTTGACAAATTGAATATAATCTTTTAACCACCACCACAGTCAAGATATAGAATATTTGCATTACTCCCAAAACATTCCCTTTGGCCTCTATCCCAACTTTCTTTCTTCAGGCAACCACTGATCTGGATCCCATCACTGCACTTCAGCTTTTTCTAGAATATCATACAATGGAAGAATAAAGTATATGGTCTTTTAGGTCTGGCTTTTTCACTCAACATGATGCTTTTAGGATTTATCTGTGTTGTTCCACATATCATTAGGTTGATCCTTTTTATTGCTAAGTAGTATTCCATTGTATGAATGTATCAAAATTTACTTATCCATTCACCTGTTAGTGGACATATAAGTTGTTTCTAGTTTTTGTCTATGTTGAATAAAGTTGCCATGAACGTTTGTATACAAATCTTTATGTGGCATATGTTTTCTTTTCTCTAAGATGAATACACAGAAGTAGAATGGCTGGAAGATAAGGTAAATATATGTTTAACTTTATAAGACAATACCGAATTATTACCTAAAGAGCCTATCCTGCTTTGCTCTTGCGTCAGCAATTTACAAGAGTTCCAGGTGTTCCACATTCTGTTTGACATTTGGTATCATTAGTCTTTTTATATCTGGCCATGTTCATGTGTATGTAGTGGTATTTCATTGAGGTACCATTAATTTGGAGTTCCCCTGTGACAAATAATGTTAAGCATCTTTTTATATGCTTATTTGCCATTCATATATCTTCTGTGGTAAAGAGCCTGATCAAATCTTTTGCCTTTTTAAAAATTTCAATGTTTTGATTCTTAATACTGAATTTTGAGAGTTCTTTATATATTCTGGATATAAGTCCTTTATTCAATATACAGTTGGCAAAAATTTTGTCCCAGTCTGAGGCTTGTATTTTCACTGTCTCTTTTTTTTTAACTTTTATTTTAGATTCAGGAGTATATGCAAAAGGTTATATAGGTAAACTCATATCACAGGAGTTTGGCAAACAGATTGTTTCATTACTCAGGTTCTAAGCATGGTACCCGATAGTTATTTTTCCCGACCGTCCCTCAAGTAGGCCCCATTTTCTTAAGATAGTCTTTAAAAGGGCAAAAGATTTGATTTTCATGAAGTTCAATTTATCAAATTTCTTTTATACTTTCTGCTTTCTGTGTTTTATCTAAGAAATCTTTACTTAAGCCAAGGTCAAAAAACTTGCCTCTATGTTTTCCTATAGAAGTTTTATGGTTTTAGCTTTTATATGAAAGTACTATCTATTTAGGGTTAATTTTTATATATATTGTATAAGGTCAAGATCAAGGTTCAGGACAGAGAAGAGCCAGGCTGAGTGGATACATTCTGTTATAAGTTTCCGAAGTGGGAGCTGAAGAGTGCTCTCCTGGGACACCAACACTCCAGGTCCTGCCTTTACTGCTCTATGTCCACTGCTCTTGGAGTCCCAGGTGACTCTCCCACAGCCTCTGTGACTCTATGACCTGCAGGTATTGGGAGACACATAACTACGATGCCAGGACCCCCAGAAGCCAGAAAATAGTGTTGCTATCTCTAAGCCAGACCTGATCACCTGCCTTGAGCAAAGGAAAGACCCCTGGAATGTGAAGAGATGCAAAATAGTAGCCAAACACCTAGATGTTAGATTTCTTGCTTTTTAAAAACTGAAAAAGCCAAGATGGCAAACTAGACTCAGCCAGGAAGAGCTTCTGTCACTGACAGACCAGACCATTAAGAAGACCAGCACATTCCGAGCAGATCTTCAAAAGGAAGGCGCTGAGAGCAAACAGAGGGAGGACACAGACCCTGGGCTGAAGTGAGAGGAATCTGGGAACCCTGCACAGGGTTGCTGAGCACCAGGACTTGTTCCTGGCCCCAAGTAGCTCCTGGGGAAAGAGTTACAACAGGCATGGAGTGAGCCACACTTGCCATGGGCCTCTGGAAATCCTAGATGCAAAAGACCCCACAACCCACAATGACATTTGAGTTGGCATGGAGAGCTGTTTAAAACGTTGGCAGGACCAGGGATCCAGTCTGTGTAGAGCCCAAAAGGTTTAATGTGGCAGTGGGGGCAGTGGAGCATGGCCAGGAATGCTCATCCACCAAGACTTGCCATGTTCCTCTAGGAGGCTTTGGCCTTTGTTGACTGTCAGACCTGGACAGAACAGGGATATCCTGCCTAGGGGAAGGGGTCAGTCTGATCTGAACACTGCCCTGTATGCCAGCCTCTCCCAGGGTCCCTGCCTGGTCACACCTGCTTACAACACAGCCTCGGTTGCCCAATCAGGGCACTTCCCAGCAGCTACCACCATAACTCTTTCACTGGCAGACTCCTCCTAACCATCAGAAAGCTTTTGCAGATGGGCCCTGTCAGCTCACACCCACTCACAGTCTGCCCCAACTGCATTGCTGGCAAATGCATGCAATGTGGACCTTACCACCTCACCACCATTGGCATACACGTGCAAGCACAAATACCACTGCCACTGCCCTGACAAAGTGCTTTTTCTGGCACCCCCGTCAGAGTATTGTTGCCAGTGGACCAGGAACACCTCAGCCCCTCCAATACAGCAGATGCTTAACCTTGAGGCGCCAGAGAATAAAGACACGGGCCTGGTCCCAGCCACTCAGGGTTAGAGCACTCAGCCAAGGAGTGCTGAGCTGAGACTTGGCACCTTGAAATCATCCAGAAGGAAAGCCAGTTGACTAAACCCAACCTATACCACAGTCAAAACCTCAAGAGCATCAAATAATATAAAAGCAGGAAGCCCCAACTAAAGGACAGCAACTTCAAAAATTAAAGGAATATTAGCCCACAGAGATGAGAAAAACACAGTGCAAGAACTCTGGCAATGCTAAAAGCAAGAGTGTCTCCCACCTCCAGATGACTGCACTAGCTCCCCAGCAATGGTGCTTAACCAGACTGAAATGGTTAAAATGACAGACACAGAATTCAAAATCTGGATGGCAATAAAGATCATCAAATTCAGAAGAAAATTGAAACCCAATCCAAGGCATCTAAGAAATCCAGTAAAATGACTAAAGAGCTGAAAGACAAAATAGCCATTTTAAGAAAGAACCAAATTGATCTGATAGAGCTGAAAAACTCACAATAATAATTTCATAATACAATCAAAAATATTAACAGCAGAATAGATTAAGCTGAGTAAAGACTCTCAGAGCTCAAATACTGATTCCTTGATCAACTCAGTCTGACAAAAATAAAGAAAAAAGAATTTTAAACAATAAGCAGAACCTCCAAGAAATATGAGATTATGTAGAGACGAAACGTATGACTCACTGGCATCCCTGAAAGACAGAAAGAGAGAAAAATCAACTTGGAAAACATTCAAGGATACTGTCCATGAAAATTTCCCCAACTTCACTAAAGAGGTTGACATTCAAATTCAGGAAATTCAGAGAACCCCTGCAAGATACTATATAAGATGACCATCACTGAGACACATAGTCATCAGATTATCCAAGGTCAACATAAAAGAGAAAATATTAAAGACAGCTAGAGAGAAGAGGCAGGTCAACTTCAAAGAGAACCCCATAAGGCTACCAGTGGGCCTTTCCACAGAAACCCCATAAGCCCAAGGAGATTGGGGGCCTATATTCACCATTAGGGGAACCTCATAAGGCCACCAGTGGACTCTATAAGCCCAAGGAGATTGAGGGCCTATATTTATCATCCGTAAAGAAAATAAATTCCAAACAAGAATTTTATATCCAGCCAAACTAAGCTTCATAAGCAAAAGAAAAACAAAATCCTTTTAAGACAACCAAATGCTAAGGGAATTTCTTACCACAAAACCTGCATTACAAGAAGTCTTCAAGGGAGCACTAAATATGGAAACAAAAGACCATTATAGGCCACCACAAAAACAAACTTAAGTACATAGACTATATACACTATAAAGCAACTGCACAATCAAGTCTACATTAAAAACCAGCTAACAACATGACAGGACCAATCCACACATATTAATAGTAACCTTGAACATACACAGGCTAAACATCCCACTAAAAAGGCACAGAGTAGCAAGCTGGATAATGAAGCAATACCCAACAATATGCTATCATCAAGACACCCACCTTATGTGTAATACACACATAGGCTAAAAGTAAAAGGATGGAGAAAGATCTGTCAAACAAATGGAAAACAAAAAACAGCAGGGATTGCTATTCTTATTTTGGACAAAATAGACTTTAAACCAACAATAATCCAAAAGGGTGTCACATCATGATAAAAGGTTCCATTCAACAAGAAGACTTAACTATCCTAAATATATATGCACCCAACACTGGAGCACCCAGATTCATAAAACAAGTTCTTAGAGACCTACAAAGAAACTTGAATCATCACTCAATAATAGTGGAAGACTTCAACACCCCACTGACAGTATTAGAAAAACCACTGAGGCAGAAAAATAACAAATATATTTGGGACCCAAACTCAACTCTTGACCAATTGGACTTTACAGATATCTACAGAACACTCCACCCAAAAACAAGAGAATAAACATTCTTTTCATCAGCATGTTGTGCACATTCTAAAATTAATGACATGCTTGGCCATAAAGCAATTCTCAAAAAATTTAATAAAACCAAAATCATACCAACCACACTCTCAGACCACAGCACGAAAGTAGAAATTAACACCAAGAAGATCTCTCAAAACCATACAATTACATGGACATTAAAATATCTGCTCACGCAGGACTTTTGGGTAAATAATGAAATTGAGGCAGAAATCAAGAAATTTTTCGAAGCTAACAAAAATAAAGATACATTTCAGAATCTCTGGGACACTGCTAAAGCAGTGTAAAGAGTCAAGTTTATAGTGCTAAACACCCATATCAAAGAGTTTGAATGGTCTCAAATTAACAACTTGACATCACACCTACAGAAACTAGTAAAACAAGAGCAAACCAACCCCAAAGCTAGCAGAAGAAAATAAATAACCAAAATCAGAGCTTAACGGAATGAAACAGACACATGAACAACAAAATGAAACAGATCCATGAAAAGATCAGCGAAACCAAAAGTTGGTCCCTTAAAAGAATAAATAAGATTGAGAGACAACTAGGTAGGCTAATAAAAAATAGAAATAAACATAGTCAGAAATGACAAAGGGAACATTACCACCAACCCCACAAAAAATTTTTAAAAACCCTCAGAGACTATAATAAACACTCCTATGCACACAAACTAGAAAACCTAGAGTAAATGGATAAATTCCTGGAAACATACAACCTCCCAAGGTTGAACAAGGAAGAAACTGAAATCCTGAACAGACCAATAAAAAGTTCCAAGATTAAATCAGTAATAAAAAAACATACCAACCCCAAAGAGCCCTGGACCAGATGGGTCCACAGCTGATTGCTACTGATGTATAAAGAAGAGCTGATACCAATCCTACTGAAACTATTCCAAAAAAATTGAGAAGGAAGGACTCCTCCCTAACTCATTCTAGGAGGCTAGCATTATTCTGATATCAAAATCTGACAGAAACACAATAAAAAAGGAAAACTTCACGCCAATATCTCCAATGAATATAGATTTAAAAATCCTCAACAAAATATTAGCAAGTGAAATCCAGCAGCACATCAAAAAAACCAATTCACCACAAATAAGTAGGCTTTATTCCTGGGATGCAAATTGGTTCAACATATGCAAATCAATAAATGTGATTCATCACATAAACAGAACTAAAAACAAAAACCATGTGATCATCTCAAAAGACAAAAAAGGCTTTCAATAAAATTCAACATCCTTTCATGTTAAAAACCCTGAACAAGCTAGGCATTGAAGAAACATACCTCAAAATAATAATACTTATCTATGACAAACCCATAGCCAACATCATACTGAACAGGCAAAAGTTAGAAGCATTCCTCCTAAGAACCAGAATAAGACAAGATGCCCATTCTCACCACTCCTATTCAACATAGTTCCGGAAGTTCTAGCCAGAGTAATCAGGCAAGAGAAAAAAATAAAAGGCATCTAAATAGGAAGAGAGGAAATCAAACTATCTCTCTTCACAGATGATATGACTGTACACCTAGAAAACCCCATAGTGTCTGCCCAAAGGCTCCTAGAACTGATAAACAACTTCAGCAAAGTTTCAGGATAAAAAAAAAGTACAAAAATCACTAACATTTCTATATACCAATAATGTCCAAGCTGAGAGCCACATCAAGAATCCAATCCCATTCACAATAGCCACAAAAAGAATAAAATACCTAGGAATACAGCCAACCAGGGAGGTAAAAGATCTCTACAACAAGAATTATAAAACACTGCTGAAAAAAATCAGAGACAACACAAATGTAAAAACACTGTATGCTCATGGATAAAAAGAATCAATTTTATTAAAATGGCAATATTACCCAAAGCATTTTACAGATTCAATGTGATTCCTTTCAAACTATCAATGACGTTTTTCACTGAATTAGAAAAAAAAATTGTAAAATTCATATGGAACCAAAAAAGAGCCCAAATAGCCACAGCAATCCTAAGCAAAAAGAACTAAGGCTGAGGCATCACATTACCTGACTTCAAACTATACCGCAAGGCTATGGTAACCAAAACATCATGGTATTGGTACAAAAACAGACACATAGACCCATGGAATTTGCCTTATCTATCCATCTATCTGCCACCTATCCACCAGCTAGCTAGCTATCCATCCATCCATCTATACATCAATCTATCAACCTATTTCTTTGGCAAGGCTATGGAAATGTCATAGAGAAGATGACCCTGTAATCATTGCCTTTGCTGCCAATGGTATATTTGGGGTAAACAAGAAAAAATATTTCTTCTGCAATGCTATACCCATTCCAGGTATGGCCCTAGATCTGTACTATTGTGGTAAACATGTTTTTTGTCCTCTTCCACATAAGTGTATCCATGCTATGGATACACTTGTCCATTGCTCTGATGACTCTGGAGAGGACATTGCTGGCTGCCCTCTCCCTCCAACATCTATCTCTTTCCATCCATTGTGTAGGCACAGGGTCTGAGTGAGATTGATCTACCAACCCCAATCCTGACACTAGCCCCAAAAGTCCTACAGCAGATCCTCCTCCTCAACAGAGTAATTGGTTCAATTAGAACAAAATTCAAGACTTTTGATGGTTTGGAAAAGAGAATCTCTCTTTCTCTGAATGGAATGGTGTATTGATGTGAAGCCCAGGAATGCTCCAACCATTGAACTCTAAGGCAAGCCAGTCTGGGAATGCAACTGACTCAAAATGGCAGAGCAGAAAGAATGCCAGAGAAATGGAGCCAGAGCCCTGGTCAGAATGTGCCTAAAGACTGCACTCTCTACTGCTAGACATTTTAGTCACGTGAGTCATTATTTGTTTTAACCAGTTTGCCTTCTTCTTTTCCATTACAGGTCTTGGGAACTAAATGCATCATTACCATGCTAGCCCCGAAGAGTTAAGGGTAATTGAGGAGTGGTAGGTGGAGACAGTTTATTTGGTGAAAATCCTCTTCCTCATTTACTCAGCCAGCATGTCGCCTAGGCTCCAGGAGCTTTCTTTGCTCATTTGTGATTAGATCAGCTCATAAGGAACCACTTTTTCTTTCTAAACCTGCCTTCCTCTACTTCCAGAATCTCTCTCACATTTGTGACTCAATCTAAAGGCCTTAATCTGGCCATAACTTAGCTGCAGGAACTCTGAGCCATCCACCAAGATCCTTTGTACTCTTAACTTCCGCCAACTGACAGTGCTAAGTGAGGGGGACTGGGAGCTGCACCTCTTCAGTCACAGGCCTGCAAGCCTCTGAGACAGAGGAAATGCCAACAGATCGAGGAATTGGATTAGAAATGCAATTCCAAAGCAAAAATGGAATTGGAGCCGATGGATTGGTGTGTCTATGAAAGAGTTCGGGAAAATCAGTCGCTGCTGACCACAGCAGCCGCAAGGCTCCTGCCCCTAACAGTCTGCTGCCACCATGTCCATGTCTGTTCAGACTCCCCAGACTACTCCATTCACCTTCCAAAGACAGGGTCCTTTCCTGGTCTCGATTTCTCCACTATCACTTTTCTATTATCACTACATCTAAAGTCCCCATTTCCAGCACCAGAGGTCTCAATTACTCTACCACCACCACCACATTCCATCCTTAGTAATCCAGTGCTTTCTCCTTGGCCTTCTGCCTTTCCTTGTTCTTCTGCCCTCTCTTGAGTCCTCTTGCCCCACCCCTCTGCCTTTCTAAATTCTACCTGTCCTCCATGACACTGCTTCTGAGTAGAAAATGTTTCAAAGAAAAGGCATGAGCTTTGAAATCTGGTTGATCTAAGTTTAAATTCTACCTAGGATGATTGTGAGTGATGGAAACAGGCTAAATTTGTCTGGATCAAGGATACCAAAATTCAGAATCCACTTCTGCACAGTCACCTGTTCCATTTCCCTTTCCTCCTCTATAGTGTCATGTATGCCAGGAAAACATCCTATGTGTTACCATGAAGGAAACTGTGGCCTCAATTCCACTCTAGCCCCCAGTAAGCTAGGATAAACTACGTAGAGGGCTTCTTTTACCTGAGAGGCAGCTATAACCAAAGTCATCTATAAGTCTTCCTTTCTAAAGTTCACCTCTTCAAAGAGGAGGAAAGGTAATTCCAAAGAAAAGCACCCAAAACATAAAAGGAAAGGATTTTGAACACCAAAAACAGAACTCCCCTTTTCCACCTACCACTCAGGCATTTTTTGGTTGAGGCAATTTTGGGGCAAAAGTTGTCTTGAACTTTGTGTGTAAGCACATAGGACATGAGAAAGGGGGAAAAGAAAGATTAAACTCAATTGGTTCATTGGGCCTTACAGCTTTGGATCAGAAAGACCATTAGCCTCTTCTGCTTCTTATTTCATCCTTGGCCATTTAAGTCCCTCCTCAAGCTTGTCCCTTAGGAGACCTCAGGACCATCAGAATAACCACTGGCCTTTTGGCATATAATCCTTTCAAAGAGTAATACATCATGTTAATTTAACTATGTAAGCAAAATAAATAGCACAAACCTTTCAACCCAGTGATTTTACCACCCAAATCTCCAAAGGACAAGCCATCTCAGAGTTTACAGGTCTATCTCTATTCTCTGGGAGCTTACCACAGTTTTGTCCTTAATGAATTTGCTCAAATACTTTTGTTAGCAGTGAGACTCTGCATTCACTGGAATAGAATTTTCCCTGGAAGCTCTTGAATTCTATGGCTTCTACTTATCTATAAGCATTTCTCCACTGCCTTGACTTTAATCTATGCAGCATGGCTGTCTCTCCCAACACTATCAGATCACTGTCCTGGCACAAGTTTACTGTTCTGTATTTGCCGTAAAATATGTCTACTGATAATGAATATTTCAAGATTAATAATTTTGCTTGCTTTCCTAAAAATGTTAAGAGCTTTTTGAGGAATCATTTGGCTAACCCAAGTCTGTTAGTAAACATTGCTCAAAGAAATTTGTGCTGAGGTCTCTTTTTCATTCTGTAAGTTTTGCTCTACAAGCAAAGGCATTCCAATGTCTTTGAAGCTATGGGTGTTTCTCGTAGAGTTTCAGTGATAAAGGTAGAATCCCTCCCTCTAAAACTATTAGTAAAGTGCTTACTCAGTATTTCATTCCTTCATTTCTTCTTACCTCCTTCCTCAGGTCAGCTGCTCAGATTCAGATGGAACATAAGCAATAATGTTTTTCCAAGGTTTCTCTTCCTTTTTGTCAGTGGACTCACTTGACATTTTGTTGGCAGCCTTCAGAGCACTTCAGGCTTCTCTGCAAGATGTTAAAAGCAATTTAGAGGTACTCAGCACATATAATAAATAAGTTTTCAAAACAATGTCTCTCAAAATTGTCAACAGTATCCAGACTGGGTAAAACACTTTTTTCTCTGTTGGTTTTTCCTGGGAGATGTTACCAAATAATTTTAAAGACTATCAAGACTGAGATAGCAGTTCTATGACCATAAATCACTGACTTTCTGTGACAAACTTACATTGCCCAAAAAATATGTTCCAGAAATGACAACACACTGGCATCATATTACTTCTTCCAATCTGGCTTTATGTCCAGAAGTTCAAAAATTCTTGATCAGAGTAGGTGTGGTGGATATCTGTTGCTTTGGCCTCCCATCATCCCTTTGCCATTGTGCTGGTGTCTTATCCCAGTCTTTCTCTGGGGAACCACCCTGTCTCATATTCAATCCATGTAATCTGAATGAGTTAAAGCCATGCCCAGCTGTAAGGGTAAACATGTAATTTGAGTCTAAGCCAATCAGCACACCGCATTTTTCTAGCCACAGTGATTGGCTTAAAGATGCTCACATGACCCAATCAGAGTCAGTAAGATATTGCTGAGACTTCTGGGAGAGAGACAGGTTCTTCATTTCTGGATTTAAACCTTAAGGACAAAGTGTGAGTCTGTTGCCACTATTATGTTACCACATAGAACCTGATACTGCAGCCGATATAGTAATGATGAGAACTGAGTCTTGAGACTATTTGAATCCTCAGAACCAGTTGCACCTGAAACTATCTATGCTCTTGGATTTTCAGTTAAATGAGCCAAAAACTCCTTTTCCTCCCTGCTTAAGCAAGTCTTCATTAGGTATTCTTTTATTTCAAAATAAAAAATCATGAACGCCCACCATATACCCTGATTTTGGTTTGAAAAATATAGTCAGCAAAGGCAAAAGTATAAACTGAATGATGTAATAAAGAACCTCTATTTTTACATTTCTTAAAGTAGCTAACACACCCTGGGCACAATCCAGCTTTCCAAGATGGTATGTATGTGTTTGATTGAATAAATAAATACAGATGGAAAGTTAAGAATAATTCATGCCAAGTGTTAGGGAATCCCTGAGTTTCAAAGCAATACTCATTGGAATTGGAAACTCTAGGGTGGATATGAAACTGTTGATCAATGTTGAATGAGCAGAGCTCACTAAATACTGAGCCACAGAATAAAACACCTGTGAGCAAGATAGCTCTCACTGACCAGGCTCTTGGCAAGACCACCTATCTTCCTGAAACAGGGAATAGACAAAGCCTGAGGGAAAGCCCTTTCTTCCCAGCCCCAACTGCAAATGTACTCCAGGAGGACTGAACAACCAGATTCAGGGCCTCAGAGGGCTCCCACCACAAAGAGGTCTAAAGATGTAGGCTGAGAGGGCAGTGCAAATTCAGAAAAGAACACCCACAGAGAGCCCAAGGTCCATCACAGCCTCTTCCTGACACTAGTAAGTTAAGCATGCCCACAACTCTGAAAATCTTTTTAGACAAGGAAGGCTCAGAACTCCAAGATAAAGGGTCCTCACAAGACCTGGAAATAAAATATGAACCAAAACATAAGCAAGAATGGCTTTAGAAAAGTGCAAATGGTGAAAAATTTTGTTCTCATCCATTGCAGTCTATGATTCCAATCAGCACCTTCCTCCAGAGGGCCAGGTCTTCCATCACTTCAGTCATAAAGGAAATGGGTTGGAGACTCCTTCCTTGTACAAAGAATTTGGGAATTAGTGTGAGAAAAGGGACACAAAGAATAGAAATCCAAAGAAAAAGAGGGATGCTCAGAACAAGGCCAGATTTTAACTCAGACTCACAACTTTCAGCTCAAGTGGTGAAATTTACCAGACATTGACAAGGCAACTCTGAAATCTCCCTCTCTGAACAAAGAATGGAATTCCATTGCTGTAGTTGTATTCTTTTAGCTTCTAACTTACATCATGAAAATACAGATCTCTTTGGAGAGAAAGTATCTTAGACTATTGTCAGTCATTTGCTCCTCTGTATAAAAGCTTTGTCACTAGAGAAGGGTATGATAGCTAGACACATAAATACATAAAGAGGGCAAGGAAATGGAATGTGACTGAAAGGAAAATGTATTTGGGCAAGTGACACACTAGACAGAAGAATACAGACTTTAGGTTTAGAAAGACCTGGATTCAAGTCTGACCCCACCACCTATTAACTCTTATCTTGGGCTAAGTACATCACTTCTTTGAAACTCAACTACTTTCTCTGTGAAGAGTGAATATTAATAACAATCTCCATGACTCTGATTATATTATCCTGTCTGTCTTGTATACCACATATACCTTGTCATTTGCTTGGCTAACTCCTATTCAGGCCATAGGCCACCTCATTTCACCTCCTCAGGAAGACTGAAATGGGGAGGTGTTCCTTGTCTGAGTCCCACAGCATCTACCTACATAGAGCAGAATTCGCATCAATTGTAACTCTTATTTTTCTGTACTATGAATTTACACTCTGATTGTCTCCAATAAAGCAAGAGGACTTTAAGACTCAGTGTCTGTATTTTATTCATGAGTGCATCCCCAGTGCTTAGAAAACCTGAAAAGATAAAGAAGAGGGATCTCACGGGCTCACCTAGGAGATATAGAAACACGGGCTTAGGAGAGCCAGGAAGAAGAAAGTGAACCCTGCAGGAGGCTGTTCTTCTACTACAAGAGGAAATAATGCAGACAGGGCTGAGAGAGAGATGGGCAGCTACATCACTTCTATTGTCCCCAAACCAACTTTCTAACCTAGAGCAGAAATCTGAATGGAGATAAGATAGGAGTTGTGACACTGTTATTAGACAAAGTTGAATTCAAGGTCAAAAGCATTGCATAGGGACAGAAGCAGTCACTTAGTAATGATGAAGTCTGCAGTCCATGGAGATTATACTGTCATGAACCATTAGGAATCAAATAACAAAGCATCAACATTTGTAATGGAAAATCATAGGAAAATAAAAGAGAAACTGACAAAAATATAAAAGTAATAAAAAGATTCAAGTGTACCTGTTTTGGTCTCTGACAGATAAAGTATATGAATATAAATAAGGATATAAAATATGTGAATAATTAAAATTATCTCTAGGTTGCTATAATGCATTTATAAAAATTAACATCTTTCAGGAATAAATTCCAAGAAGCTATTATAATACCAACCACATTCTAAGATGGCAATACAATAAAACAAATAAGTAACAAATGTAGAAACAGAAAAACCAAACACTGGAAAATCAGGAGAAAAACATTTCAATTAACTATTGGGTCAAAGATAATAGATTTAACTGCAATCGTTAACTATCTTTTAAAAATAACATTACAAATTAGAACTACAAAAACTTCAAAATTGTACCCAGAGGAAAGTTCATATCCTTGGACACATATCTCTAAACACACAAGAATGAAAATAAATAAATATTCATCATCAAAGATTAAAAGAGAAAGAAAAAACAATTTTTCAAAAGTTTGAGAAAAATATAAACAAAAAATAAATTGGTGGTAAACAAATAGAATTAAATATTTTAAGAGCAGATTCTTCAGAGAAAAAAATTCAATACAGCTAAAATATCATTTGTCAGTTTAGTCAAGAATAAAATGTAGAAAGTACAAAATTATAAAATAGGAATGAAAAAAGGAGAAAACACAAATGCAAGGAAATCCAAAGATATACACAAAAGAACACTTCATTCAACAATGTGTTAGGAATTTTGAAGATATGAATGAAATGTGTGATTTTCAAAGGAAAATATAAATTACCCAAACCAAAAAAAAAAAAAAAAAAATAGGAGAGGGAAAACCATGATAGAAACTAAGTAATATGTCAAAGAAGACCTGTGGAAAATGGCAAATAGGAGGCAAGACTAACTGTGGGCTCCGACAGAGCAGCATGTGGAGACCCACATCATGAACTTTTGCTCCAAGACCTACCACAGGAACACACCAGGAAAGCTGAGATAATCCACAGACCCTTGGAAGGAGGTGGATTGCCACTTCAGACTCCGTGGGACAGCTGAGGAACTACAAAGGACATACTCTCTTGGGAGTTCTATGGCCCTGCCCACCACCTGAGAAACCTCAATACTTATCTCTAGGTGACCCTAGGGCAAGCTTGTATCCTAGCTATACAACCACAGCTGAGGCCCTCTTGAAAGCACCACCTCCTGGCTGGAGGCCAACCAACACAAAACCACTGTACTTAACAAAAATAGAACCAAGGACCTTCACACAGTCTACTTTACTCCCCTGCTACCCTTGAATCCCAGATCTTCCCTCTGACATAGTCTACCCGAACAAGAAGGAACCAGAAAAACAATTCTAGTAATACAACAAAACAAAGTTCTTTAATACCACCAAAAGATCACACTAGCTCACCAGCAATGGATCCAAACCAAGAAGAAATCTCTGAATTGCCAGAAAAAGAATTCAGAAGGTTAATTATTAAGCTAATCAAGGAGGCAGCAGAGAAAAGTGAAATCCAACTTAAAGAAATTAAAAAAAAAAAAGGTACCAGATATAAATGGAGAAACTCCAGTGAAATATACAGCATTAATAAAAAACAATCACAACTTCTGGAAATGAAGAACACACTTACAGAAATGCAAAATGCACTGGAAAGTCTGAGCAATAGAATCAAACATGGAGAAGAAAGAATGTCAGAGCTCAAAGACAAGCCTTTCAAATTAACCCAATCTGACAAAGACTAAGAAAAAAACATTCTTTTTTTTTTTTAATGAACAAAGCCTCCAAGGAGTTTGGGATCATGTTAAATGACCAAATCTAAGAATAACTGGTTTTCCCAAGAAAAGGAGAAATCTAAGTTTGGAAAACATATTTGAGAGAAGAATTGAGGAAAAGTTCCCCAGCCTTGCTAGAGATCTAGACATCCAAATACAAGAAGCTCAAAGAATGCTTTAAAGCCATAGTTTTATAATTTATAAATATGGCTTTATAATACTATAAAGCTATAGTTATCAAAACAGCATGGTACTGTATAAAAACAGGCATATAGACCAATGGAACAGAATAGAGAATCCAGAAGTAAAGCTAATTACATACAGGCAACTGATCTTCGACAAAGTAAACAAAAACAAAGTGGGGAAAGGACACCCTATTCAACAAATGGTGCTGGGATAATTGGCAAGCCACATGTAGAAGAATGAAGGTGAATCCTCATCTCTCACTTTATACAAAAATCAACTCAAGATGGATCAAAGACTTAAATCTAAGACCTGAAGCCGTAACAATTCTAGAAGACAGCATCAGAAAAACCCTTCTAGACACTGGCTTAGGCAAAGACTTCATGACCAAGAACCCAAAAACAAATGCAACAAAAATAAATATAAATAGATTGGATTTAATTAAACTAAAAAGCTTCTGCACAGCAAAAGAAATAATCAGCACAGTAAAGAGACAACCACAGAGTGGGAGAAAATCTTCACAATCTATACTTCTGACAAAGGACTAATATCCAGAATCAATAAGGAACTCAAATCAGCAAGAAAAAAATAAAGAATCCCATCAAAAAGTGGGCTAAGGACATGAATAGATGATACTCAAAAGAAGATATACAAATGGCTACATATGAAAAAATGCTCAACATCAGTAATGGTCATGGAAATACAAATCAAAACAATACGATACCACTTTACTCTTGCAAGAATGGCCATAATCAAAAAATTAAAAAAAATATATACAGATGTTGGTATGAATGTGGTGAAAAAGGGAATACTTTTACACCATTGCTGGGAATGTAAACTATAATAGTACAACCACTATGGAAAACAGTGTGGAGATTCCTTAAAGAACTAAAAGTAGATCTACCATTTGATCTAGCAATCCCACTCCTGGGTATCTACCCCGAGGAAAAGAAGGCATTATATGAAAAAGATACTTGCACACGCATGTTTATAGCAGCACAATTTGTAATTGCAAAAATATGGAACCAGCCCAAATACCCATGAATCAACAAGTGGATAAAAAAAAATGAGTATGTATACACCATGGAATACTACTCAGCCGTAAAAAGGAATAAAACAACGGCATTTGCAACAATCTGGATGGAATTGGAGATCATTATTCTAAGTGAAGTAACTCAGGAATGGAAAACCAAACATTGTATGTTCTCATTCATAAGTGGGAGCTAAGCTATAGGACACAAAGGCATAAGAATGATACAATGGACTTTTGGACCTTGGGGAAAGGGTGTGAGGGGTGTGAGGGATAAAAGACTATGCACTGGGTATGGTGTACACTGCTTTGGTGATGTGTGCACCAAAGTCTCAGAAATCACCACTAAAGAACTTATTCATGTAACCAAACACCACTGGTTCCCCAAAAACCTATTGAAATAAAAAAAATTATGAAGTCAATCAATTAAATACACAGCCTTGAAAACAAATAACCTAACATGTACAAGCCTATGGATTACTTCTACAAATATAATATTGACTGAAATCTGCTTTTAATAGTATTTGAAACATTTACATCTTACCATCTTTTCTTTATTATCTATAGAAAGCAGATTGGAGTTTCTAAAAGTGCAGGCCATCAGGCTCTCTTCCCAAGTTCTTTTTTTCTTACCAATGTAATAACAACTGTTGGAATATGTAATCCACTCCTCTGGACAATGGCCACATTGATATGCTAAATAAAGATATGAATTCCTATCCAGAAAAACAAATATGTCAAACAGCTACCATCTCAACATCTCCCATTCATCCAAACTTCTATAGACAGATGATTTCACAAATGAATTCTAGCAAATATTCAAAATGCAGGTAATCCTCATATTACCAAAAAGAAAAAGAAGCTGTCTCGAATTCCTCAAAGTAGACCCAAAGGAAAGAGACAAACTCCTACCGCTATGATAAAAGAAGTCACAGGTTCACATCTTAAGAAGAACATATGGAATGGGAAATACTGTCCTGGCCATAACTGAAAAATACAATCTGTCTCACTCTCATACCCCCAACTACGGTCTCCTCTCACATGTGAGCTGTCATTCAAAGGGCTACAAAATAACTCTTGAATGTTACGAGAACATCATGAAAGATATACCTGACACTGTCCTGATATCCTGCTGTGTTTACTGTGCTATATCTTTCTGCTAGAAGCTGAAACCAACTGTGGCCTCACAATTGTAGTTAGGTAACTACAGGTATAATTATCAGGTTGAGCCTAGGAGCATGACAATGAGCTTTGCACTTCACAAACGTCTTTAAGCTCTTGTTCTACTTTTGAAGAACTCCAAATTGGAAATTGTGAACATACATAATCAGAAAGGTACATACTCAAAGAAAATGCCATAGCCCCACATCAAAAACTTGGTGAGTTGGTGTACAAGTATATATTTTATGTTTAAAAGTTTAGGGTAAGGGAATTCTATTTCAGTAACAAAAGAGTAACTTCCATCACAAACTCTCCCATAGATAACAATTATAAACTCTGGACAAAATTGGGAAAGAAGTAATCTAGTAGAAAACATTAAAGAGCAGCGAAAAGCAGGCAGAAATCGGAGGAGCATGATAAAGGGGACATCACTGGATATTGGTTTGTGCAGATTTCCTCCTGCAGGCATTCCCACATCCATACCATGGGGGTGTAAGTTAAGCAAATATTCACAGTCCTGCAGCCTGAGAACTGAGAGGCTGGAGTTCAGAGTTTCCAGGGTGGCTGAAAGGTAAGGAAGCTATAAAGGTAAAGCCGCACAATCTGCATGTAAAGCCAACCCAAATCCTCAGGTGATCAATGAAATACACATGCATGGGAGGAAACTTCAAAAACTGTGGCAAAAAGCAGTAAGTGGAGGACAGAAAAAGCTGAATTCAGCTGTTGCCTACCATAGGAGAGACAGAATGTGGAGTTGAGTCCAACGAAGAAACTGCCTCCTGATATAAACATCAACACTTTCCAGAAGAAGATAAGAGAACTCAGAGTTTCAATCATGTGTCATCCACAATATCCAATATACAATTATATCTTACTAGACAATGTGAAGAAACAGGAAAATATAAGTTAAAGTCATGAGAAAAAAATCAGTCAATATCAACTGACTCTGAGATAAGTCAGACATTGGAGCTATTAGGTAAGGACTTTAAAGCAGCTATTATTAATATTTTCAAGCACTTAAAGAAGTATATGGATGTTTAAATAAAAAAATTAATAGAAAAACGAATGAATAGAGGAGGATCCTCTGCAGAGAAGTGAAAACTATGTAAAATAAACAAATAGAAAAATCAAAAACTAAAAAGTACAATATTTGACATAAATATTTGCCAGATGGGTTTTCTTGTTGTTGTTGTTGTTGTTGTTGTTGTTGTTGTTTTAGTTTTCTTTTTGAGATGGAGTGTCCCTCCATCACCAGACTGGAGTGCAGTAGCACGATCTCGGCTCACTGCAACCTCTGCCTCCTGGGTCCAAGTAATTCTCCTGCCTCAGCCTCCCAAGTAGCTGGGACTACAGGTGCACGCCACCATGCCCGGCTAATTTTTGTATTATTTTTATTTTTTTAGTAGAGACAGGGTTTCACCATGTTGGCCAGGATGGTCTCAATCTCTTGACCTTGTGATCCACCCACCTCGGCCTCTCAAAGTGCTCGGATTATAGGGGTAAGCCGCCATGCCTGGCCTGCTGGATGCATTTTATAGTGAATTGGGAATGGCAGAAGAAAGAGTCATTGAACTCAAACAGATCAATATAGGTCTTCCAATGTGAAGGGCAGGGAAAACAGAAAACTTTAAAAAAATGAAAGGGCCACAGTAATATGTGGACCCATATTAAGCAATCTAACATACATGCAGCTAAAGACCCAAAAGAGGCAACAGACAATGGAGAATAAAAACATATTTGAAGAAATTATAGGTGAAATTTTCTCAAATTTGGTTAATATCAATTTATGGAACCAAGAAGCTCAGAGAACCCCAAACAAATAAATACTAGGAAAATTAGGGCTAGGCATGCATGATCAAACTGCTAAAAACCAAAGATAAAGTTAAAATGTTAAAAGCAGCCAGAAAAAAGCAACACATAATGTAAAAAAGAAATAAATGAATAATAGCTCCTCTTTAAAGACAATGAAGGTCAGAACACAATAAAATGATACCTCTAAAGTGCTAAAAAAATCCAGAATTCTGTATCTTGTCAAAAATTGTCCACAAAAGATAAAAGTGAGAAAAGACATTTTTAGATAAAACAAGATTGAGGCATTTGTTGTCATGAGAATACTACTTGAAGAAATGCTAAATAAAGTTCTAAAGACTGAAGGGAACTTAGATGGAAACTCAAATCTACACACACATGAACATGCGCGCGCGCACACACACACACACACTGAAGAGAACTGGAAAGATCTCTTACCTGTAAAGATACATGTAAATACAAAATATTATAGAATTTGTAATTCCTTTAGAGGATATATAACTAAAGCAAAAATTATAACACTATGTTACACACTTTATAACACATACAGATATGTTTCACAAGAATAGCACAAATGATGGGGAGTGGTGTACAATGAAACTATATTGTTACAAAAGGCAGCAGAAACCTCTGCAGACTTAAATGTCCCTGTCTGACAGCTTTGAAGAGAGTAGTGGTTCTCCCAGCATGGAGTTTGAGATCTGAGAACGGACAGACTGCCTCCTCAAGTGGGTCCCTGACCCCCGAGTAGCCTAACTGGGAGGCAATCCCAGTAGGGGCAGACTGACACCTCACAAGGCCGGGTACCCCTCTGAGACAAAGCCTCCTGAGGAACGATCAGGCAGCAACATTTGCTGTTCAGCAATATTCGCTGTTCTGCAGCCTCTGCTGCTGATACCCAGGAAAACAGGGTCTGGAGTGGACCTCTAGCAAAGTCCAACAGACCTACAGCTGAGGGTCCTGACTGTTAGAAGGAAAACTAACAAACAGAAAGGACATCCACACCAAAACCCCATCTGTACGTCACCATCATCAAAGACCAAAGGTAGATATAACCACAAAGATGGGGAAAAAACAGAGCAGAAAAGCTGAAAATGCTAAAAATCAGAGCACCTCTCCCCCTCCAAAGGAACACAGCTCCTTGCCAGCAATGGAACAAAGTGGGACGGAGAATGACTGACGAGTTGAGAGAAGAAGGCTTCAGATGATGAAACTTCTCCAAGCTAAAGGAAGAAGTACGAACCCATCGCAAAGAAGCTAAAAACCTTGAAAAAAGATTAGACAAAGGGCTAACGAGAATAACCAATGTAGAGAACTCCTTAAATGACCTGATGGAGCTGAAAACCACAGCACGAGAACTACGTGACGAATGCACAAGCTTCAGTAGCTGATTCGATCAAGTGGAAGAAAGGGTATCAGTGATGGAAGATCAAATGAATGAAATGAAGTGAGAAGAGAAGTTGAGAAAAAAGAATAAAAAGATACAGACAAAGCCTCCAAGAAATATTGGACTATGTGAAAAGACCAAATCTACGTCTGATTGGTGTACCTGAAAGTGACGGGGAGAATGGAAAAGTTGGAAAACACTCTGCAGGATATTATCCAGGAGAACTTCCCCAACCTAGCAAGGCAGGCCAACATTCAAATTCAGGAAATACAGATAATACCACAAAGATACTCCTTGAGAAGAGCAACTCCAAGACACATAATTGTCATATTCACCAAAGTTGAAATGAAGGAAAAAATGTTAAGGGCAGCCAGAGAGAAAGGTCGGGTTACCCACAAAGGGAAGCCCATCAGACTAACAGCGGATCTCTTGGCAGAAACTCTACAAGCCAGAAGAGAGTGGGGGCCAATATTCAACATTCTTAAAGATAAGAATTATCAACCCAGAATTTCATATCCAGCCAAACTAAGCTTCATAAGTGAAGGAGAAATAAAATCCTTTACAGACAAGCAAATGCTGAGAGATTCTGTCACCACCAGGCCTGCCCTAAAAGAGCTCCTGAAGGAAGCACTAAACATGGAAAGGAACAACCAGTACCAGCCACTGCAAAAACATGCCAAATTGTAAAGACCATCGAGGCTAAGAAGATTCTCCATCAACTAACAAGCAAAATAACCAGCTAACACCATAATGACAGGATCAAATTCACACATAACAGTATTAACCTTAAATGTAAATGAGCTAAATGCTCCAATTAAAAGACACAGGCTGGCAAATTGGATAAAGAGTCAAGACCCAGCAGTGTGCTATATTCAGGAAACCCATCTCACGTGCAGAGACACACATAGGCTCAAAATAAAGGGATGGAGGAAGATCTACCAAGCAAATAGAAAACAAAAAAAGGCAGGGGTTGCAATCCTAGTCTCGGATAAAACAGACTTTAAACCAATAAAGATCAAAAGAGACAAAGAAGGCCATTACATAATGGTAAAGGGATCAATTCAACAAGAAGAGCTAACTATCCTAAATACATATGCACCCAATACAGGAGCACCCAGATTCATAAAGCAAGTCCTTAGAGAGACTTAAACTCCCACACAATAATAATGGGAGAGTTTAACACCCCACTGTCAACATTAGACGGATCAACGAGACAGAAAGTTAACAAGGATATCCAGGAATTGAACTCAGCTCTGCACCAAGCAGACCTAATAGACATCTACAGAACTCTCCACCCCAAATCAACAGAATATACATTCTTCTCAGCACCACATCACACTTATTCCAAAACTGACCACATAGTTGGAAGTAAAGCACTCCTCAGCAAATGTAAAAGAATAGAAATTGTAACAAACTGTCTGTGAGATCACAGTGCAATCAAACTAGAACTCAGGATTAAGAAACTCACTCAAAACCACTCAACTACATGGAAACTGAACAACCTGCTCCTGAATGACTACTGGGTACATAATGAAATGAAGACAGAAATAAAGATGTTCTTTGAAACCAATGAGAACAAAGACACAACATACCAGAATCACACATTTAAGCAGTGTGTAGAGGGAAATTTATAGCACTAAATGCCCACAAGAGAAAGCAGGAAAGATCTAAAATTGATGCCCTAACATCACAATTAAAAGAACTGGAGAAGCAAGAGCAAACACATTCAAAAGCTAGCAGAAGGCAAGAAATAACTAAGATCAGAGCAGAACTGAAGGAGATAGAAACACAAAAAACCCTTCAAAATATCAATGAATCTGGGAGCTGGTTTTTTGAAAAGATCAACAAAATTGATAGACCGCTAGCAAGACTAATAAAGAAGAAAAGAAAGAAGAATCAAATAGACGCAATAAAAAGTGATAAAGGGGATATCGCCACCGATCCCACAGAAATATAAACTACCATCAGAGAATACTATAAACACCTCTACGCAAATAAACTAGAAAATCTAGAAGAAATGGATAAATTACTCGACACATACACCCTCCTGAGACTAGACCAGGAAGAAATTGAATCCCTGAATAGACCAATAACAGGCTCTGAAATTGAGGCAATAATTAAGAGCCTACCAACCAAAAAAAGTCCAGGACCAGAAGGATTCACAGCCGAATTCTACCAGAGGTACAAGGAGGAGCTGGTACCATTCCTTCTGAAACTATTCCAATCAATAGAAAAAGAGGGAATCCTCCCTAACTCAGTTTATGAGGCCAGCATCATCCTGATACCAAAGCCTGACAGAGACACAACAAAAAAAGAGAATTTATCCCTGATGAACATCAATGCAAAAATCCTCAATAAAATACTGGCAAACCGAATCCAGCAGCACATCAAAAAGCTTACCCACCATGATCAAGTGGGCTTCATCCCTGGGATGCAAGGCTGGTTCAACATATGAAAATCAATAAACGTAATCCAGCATATAAACAAAACCAACGACAAAAACCACATGATTATCTCAATAGATGCAGAAAAGGCCTTTGACAAAATTCAGCAGCCCTTCATGCTAAAAACTCTCAATAAATTTGGTATTGATGGGATGTATCCCCAAATAATAAGAGCTATTTATGACAAACCCACAGCCAATATCATACTGAATGGACAAAAACTGGAAGCATTCCCTTCGAAAACTGGTACAAGACAGGGATGCCCTCTCTCACCACTCCTATTCAATATAGTGTTGGAAGTTCTGGCCAGGGCAATCAGGCAGGAGAAAGAAATAAAGGGTATTCAATTAGGAAAAGAGGAAGTCAAATTGTCCCTGTTTGCAGATGACATGATTGTGTATTTAGAAAACCCCATCGTCTCAGCCCAAAATCTCCTTAAGCTGATAAGCAACTTTAGCAAAGTCTCAGGATACAAAATCAATGTGCAGAAATCACAAGCATTCCTATACACCAATAACAGACAAACAGAGAGCCCAAATCATGAGTGAAGCAAACAATTAGAAAATGAAACAAAAATTTTAATTACAGTCAACAAACATACCTTAGGAATAAAATCAGCATAGGATATCCAATACTGTATCATTTTAATGTCTCTATTATTTTAACGAAAAATAAAAATAAAATAATATGATCCAGAAGTAGCAGAAACCACATTGTAGAACTTTATAACCAGAAACAAGATTGGTGTAATTAACATAGTAGGGAACTGAGATGAAGTGGCTATCATAATGTTTTGATTCTATTGAACTTTTTTTTTTTTTGGAGAAGGAGTTTCATTCTTGTCAACCAAGCTGGAGTGCAACGGAGCAACCTCGGCTCACTGCAACCTCTTCCTTCCAGGTTAAGTTATTCTCGTGCCTCAGTCTCCTGAGTATCTAGGACTGCAGGTGCCTGCCAGCACGCTCAGCTAATTTTTGTGTTTTTAGTAGAGACAGGGTTTCACCATGTTGGCCTGACTAGTCTGCAACTCCTGACCTCAGGTGATCCACCCGCCTTGGCCTCCCAAAGTGCTGGGATTACAGGCATGAGTGATCGCGCCTGGCCTCTATGGAACTTTTGACAATGGCTAATTGACCACAGCATTCCTAAGAATAAAATAGATTGACAGTTTACTAAAGAATTACTGTACCTATATAACCAGAAATATTCTAAATCTAGCAATAAGAAGCTTGATGAATGGCCTTATAGAAAGTTAGAGCTTCTTGGCCGGGCACAGTGGCTCACGCCTGTAATCCCAGCACTTTGAGAGGCCCAGACGGGCGGATCACGAGGTCAGGAGATGGAGACCAACCTGGCTAACAGGTGAAACCCTGTCTCTACTAAAAATACAAAAAATTAGCCGGGCGCGGTGGCAGGTGCCTGTAATCCCAACTACTCAGGAGGCTGAGGCAGGAGAATGGCGTGAACCCGGGAGGTGGAGCTTGCAGTGAGCCGAGATCTGGCCACTGCATTCCAGCCTGGGCAACAGAGTGAGACTCCATATCAAAAAAACAATAAAAAAGAAAGTTAGAGCTTCTTGCAAGTTCTGAAAGCCCCTTGAAGGTAATATTGAGCCCTTCTGAGGAGGTCCCTGCATTACATCCACAGGTAAAAAATTTAAATCTTTCTACAAGTCTTACCCAGAAAGACTTGTGGCCATTTATGATGGTTACTTTGTACTGTGAAACCTTTAGAATTCCTAAATATGAGCTAAGTTGAAGCTAATATCTCAATGTTGCATTGTAGTGTAACATTTAATATTGAGGCTTACGGAGAATAGATGATAAGTAGTTTTGGCCAGGGAACATCTCACAGTAAGTCCAGTGAATCAACATACTCACCCTGTGATCACTCCCAATTTCCAGAATGTATAATCAGAATAGACATACTGAGCAACTGGTAGAATTCCTATACTGACCCCTTGAACTATAGAGTGGTGACTATTATGGCAGAAAGAAGCAAGTGGAGCCTCTGGAACTTCCTCTCTCTACCAGAATAGTTATTCCAAAAGAAACACCACATCCCACTGGGAATCACAGAGATCAGTAACACAAGACGTGATTAATACAGGAGTGGTAATTCCTATCACATACCCATTTAACTCACTCATTGGCCTATAAAGAAGAATGACAATGAATTATTGCAAACTTGATCGGGTGGTGTTCCAAATATAGTATCTTTTTAATGAAGCAAATCAATACAATCCTTGGCACCTGGTAGGCAGTTATTCTGCCAATTCTCTCTCTCTTTCTCATCTGGGCCTTCAGAATTCATTTCATTTATGTTTGGGACAGCAATACACCTTCCTTCCCTCTCTTCCCTTAAGGCTATGTTAATTCTCTTGCTTTCTGTCATAATCTAGCCACAGAGACTTAGTCATCTTGACATTCTACAAATCATTATACTAATCTATTAAAATGACATTCATGCTGATTGGATATGGTGAAAAGTATAAAACGCCTACCAGTACATGCACTACTAAAAGATAGGAGATAAACTCCATTAAAACTTAGAAACCAACCAACTTGGTGCAATTTTCTGGAGGCTTAATGGTCTGAGAATTTGTTAGGACATTGCTTCCAAAATAAAAGTTGTTTCTGCTCCCTGCATTGCCCACCACTAAGAAAGAGATCCAATCCTTGATAAGTCTCTTGGATTTTAAAAGCAGTATATAACACATCTGAGTGTGCTGCTCTGACCTGTTTACTGAGTAGCTCACATTACCCCCAGTTTTGTGTGGTGGAACAAAGCAAATGAAGGCTTTTGGGCAGGTTTGGTGAAATGCAAGCTGTTTTGCCTTTAGATCACGTGACCCCAAACACACAATAGTACTTGAGATATCTAAGGCAAGAAAAATACTGTATAAAGCCTCTCGAATTCTCCTAAAAGAGGATAAATAACAGCACAAGATTCTAGGGTTTTGAAGCAAGGCCGCGACCACTTTATGTAGTTATGTTAACTGTTACACCTGTTGAGAGAGAATTTTTGGCTTATACACCAGGAGAGAATGAATACCTGTCTGTGAAACATCAAATGACCAGATATGAGCTGTTCTTTGTCCATTTGGTAAAGCCATAAGACTAGGTATGTACAGCAGCTCCATCATGTAAAATGGTATATACAAGATCTATTTTGAACAGGTCCTTTGGGCACAAGTAAATTCCATGAGCAAGTAGCTGAGACTCTCACTTTACCTCTCCCTCATCTCAAACCTTCAGCATCATAGAAAATCTGTATGACCATTTGACAAATAATAAAAACTTAGGTCTGATTTACAGATATTACTGCACAATATGCTGGTACAAACTGAAAGTGGCAGCTGCAGAAGTTCAACCCCAATCAGGAGTATCTCAAAAAATAGTAGTCAAGAGAGACCCTCCTAGACCATTGAGCAGCACATTTTGTCATCTACTTTGTCTGGATAAGATTATCAGGAACTCGGGTCTACAATGATTCACAGGCAGTGGCTAATGGTTTGGCTACACAGATGGTGTTTGAAAAGAACAAGAAAAATATGTCTTTCCCCAGGGAGGTCTGCAGGGAGAGTATGTGGGTGTACCCCTACAAATGGGGATGAGTTGTGTACATTTGTGTCCTATGTGATTGCTCACTCATCCCACTCAGGAATGGAGGCTATGTATGAACTCAAAAAGGGCCTCCACCCATCAATCCTAATCTGCCTACCACCTCTGCTGAGTAGTAACTTGCCAGCAGCAGGGATCAATGCTGAAAGCCCAATGTGGTGCCATTTTCTGGAAAACCATCTAGTCACATGGTGGCACATTAATTACAGTGGATCTCTTCCATCACAGAGGAGCAACAGTTTCTCTCCACTATTAAATAGGCCTTTCTACAGAATGCAAATCAGCCTACTCTGCCCTTTGCCATCTGCGGATGTATGAAATGCTTATTCACTGTCTTACCACTCACAATATTGCTTCTGACCAAATAACTCATTTTCACAGCAAAAGAAACATAACAGTGACTCATGCTCATGGAATTCCAACTGGTCTTACCACATACCCCATCGCTAGATTGATAGAATCATAGAATAGCTTGCTGAAGACTCATTACAGAGCCAGCTGGGAAACAATACTTGCAAGGTTGGGGTACTATCCTAAAAGATGTTGTTGAATCTATGTCCAACATATGGTACTGTTTCCCCCAAAACTAGTGTACATGGGTCCAGGAATCAAAAGATGGAAGTAGGAATAGCCCCTTTCAACTTGAAGAATTGATACTTCCTGTCCCTATACTTTCAGGCTCTACTATTTTAAAAAGTCTTAGATCCCAAGAGAGAAATATTGTCACTGGGTGACACAACAATGGTTTCATTGAGTTGGAAGTCAAGACTGAGACCCAGTCATGTTGGATTCTGCATGCTAGGGTTACAACAGGCAAAGAAGTCGATTCTTCTTCTGCCTGGGACGATTAATCTTAACTATCAAGGGGAAATTGTGTTGCTGCAACAAGTGTCCATGTCTAGAACCCAACTAGTGGAACCCCTTCTACCTAATAAAAGCAAGTCATGCAGTACTGACAAGGACTCAGATTGTTCAAAGTAATCACACTGACGAAATAGTGTTAAGCAAACTCAGGAATGTCACAGAATGAGCATTATGAATAATAAGGCTGATGCTCCTTTTCATGCAGTTAGCACAAGAAAAACCTGAGAGTTCGCATTTAGCTCAGAGCTAATACAAAGTAAATACGTTGTTGACTTAATTCCATTAAGAAATTGCTTATTTTCCTTTGGAATTTAAAAAACTTTTATTGTAAATTAAACAGGGGAATGTGTCCTAGAAAGAAACGTGGCTCACCGTTTGGGAGCATAAATGTCCCCCAAAATTGGTCAATAAAAATAAAATGATTTCATAAAAAGAAAGCAACACTTCAAAGAACCTGGGTCCCAATACTGGGATATAGTTCCCAAGTGACTCTATGTTTCCTTGAGCTTTACCACATATTCACTCAACTTAAGAGTTTCCCAAAAGAGAGATCTCCCAAGTGGGAAGTGAAATGAGCTTCCTCAGGCAGAAGAAAGAAGCTCTCCATCACCAGAGTACAAGGAGAAGCTGGGAAGCATGAGTCAGAGATGTTGGGGGGAAGGCTTCTGTATCAACTTAGCTCATTTAACTCTCACAACCATCCAGTGAGGTAGATGTTACTATAATTCCCATTTTACTGAGAGAAAACTGAGGCATAGTGAGCTGAAGAGATTGCCCATAGAAAGCCAGATATAAGAGGCAGAGGCAGGATTTCCATCCAGATCTGGCCAATACCCAGAGTGTTTTCTTTTTACCTTCACCAGGTTGCCCTAATCTTTCTGTTCCCAAAAGATCTGCCAGGTTTGCTTACAGTGCAGTAATTCACGGATCAAGGAATGAAACATTCCCCAAGAAAATTAGAAGGTCACAGCCAATAGTGACTATGGAAGAAATATGGCTGCAAACTGCAGTGCAATCCTGTGCTTTTGGTAATTCTCTCAAGAGAAGATGCATTATGTTAGTTTATCATTTTAAATAAATTCTCAACAAGCTGTTTACCTGTCAGTCTGTATCTGTGGGGACTATTTGTGTAACATCAGATAAATGAGCAATTAGAGAGTTTAAAGGGCTCTTAAATGTGGTGGAGCTTGTAAACCTGAACTCCCAGGGATGGTAAATGTCACATCAAATGTCTTCAGTACATACTCCGTGTCTACCTTTTGTTTCAAAAGCTGGATCATGACACTCTCTATCCTAATCTAAGGACACCTGCCTCCCAGCAGCATATAATGGGAAAACTGGTGACCTGAGACACAAGTCACTTGGATTCTCGATTCAGCTATTCTTGGGTAACTTTGACCAAGTCAACATTCCTCTGTTATTTTGTTAATAAATTGAGAGGGTGAAATGAGAATTTTTAAAAGGGTACTCCAACCTCTTACTTTCTATGCCTGTATGGATCTATGACTTTATGTGTAGCTTCATTCTTTACAATTTCCTAGGCAGGATTCTAAACAAGAGCAAGTTTAGCCCTCAACAAATATTGGTGATCATCATCATCATTATTATTTGATAAAGTAGAAAAGCCTATATGAAAAACACTAGTAAAACTAGCAGAACCAGGATCTAAAATTTGACCATTAAAGACTAATTTATTTGGTTTTAAAAGGTTTAAAATATCTCAGACAGGAGGAATGCTTTAAGACAATGGATTTTTTTAAAGTAGAAACAATTTTTTAAAAAAGATAAAGCCCTGTACAAACCACAGGTATAAGTGTTTCTGTATGAATTGGGGATTGGGCAGAGACAGCTCAAGATCCCTCCAGTTAGCCATTATTTGACCCCCACTTGGGCCCCACGGCACTGTCTCAAATACCTAGGATTCCTCAGAGGACAATTTAAAATGTACTGCTTTAAGCCAACAACAATTTACACTCTTTAACGATTAAAGAGCCAGCAAAGATTAAGATGAGTGATTGGGAATGGAGAAGTGTAGGGTGAGACAGACTTAAGAATACAAGGGAAAGAAAAGAAACTGACCTTTATTGAGGGCCTTCTGTCCACCAGATATTTTGCTATGTTCTTTAAATTTGCAGTAATCGGAAAGAATTGAAATTATAAATATTTTCAGAGGCCCGGTACCATGCCATGGCTTTTTAAAGCCAATCCCTCTATTTGTGCAGCAAATCCCATCTCTACTACCCTGCTCAAGACATTGCCCAGAAAGTCTCACCTCTTTCTTCTGTCTCAGTCATCTCTCGTCTAGATCACACCCCTAGCTTCCTAATGGCTTCCCCACCCGTTCACAATGTATTCTAAAACTCACCACCAAAGTGACCTTTCTCAAGACACAAACCAGATCATACCTCTACTGTCTAGTGTCTGCAAATAATTCCCCATTATGCTCAGAGTAAAAGCCAAAGTTCTTCACAGGTCTCCAAGGGCCACACGATCTCAACCAGGTCCCTGCCTTCCCATCTTCCCTCACTTTCTCTCTGCTATAGCCACACTGGTTCCCTGCTGTTCCTGGAAAATCCCAAGCTTGCTCCAGCTTGGTGCCTTTGCATTGGCTATTCCCTCTGCTTGACACATGGCCCACTCTCTACTTCCTGAAGCCTTCATTCACTTAAGTGTCCCCTTCTCAACGAGGCCCCCCTTGAATTCCCTATTTAAGATTGCAACCCACCCACCCACTTGAGCATTTCAATGTCCTTTCCTTTTATGTAAATTTATATGTTGAAGTCCTAACCCCCAGTACCTCAGAATGAGATCTTATTTGGGAATAGGGTAATTGACGACATAATTAGGAAAGATAAAGTCATAGTGGAAAAGAGTGGCCCTAATCCAATATGACTGGTGTCCTTATGAAAAGGGGAAATTTGGACACAGAGATGGACACACAAACAGGGAGAAAACCTTGAGAAGTTAAAATTGTGCTGCCACAAACCAAGAACTATCAGACGCTAGGAAAGGGGCCTGGAACAGATCATTCCTAGTACCTTCAGAGGAAGCATGGCCTTACCCACATTTTGACTTGATTCCTGGCCTCCAGAACTGTGAGAAAATAAACTTGTATAACATAGTAAACATTAAATTAATATTTTCAAATTAATAAATGAAAAAATTTGCCTCCTTTGTGTTCTCAAGAAACAATCATAAAATTCTGCCTTACTTTTTTATGCCTTAGCTCTCAGACTTTTCTCTGACTCTCCCCCAACCACACCCCACCTTACCTATTTCAACTACCCATCTTCCTACCCCTGGAGACAATAATAACATGTTTGGTCCTAATAGTGAGAGGAGTGTGATCCAAGAAGGTATAGCTACACTCATGTTGCACATATTTAATTTTCATAGTAGCCCTGTGAGGCAGATATTGTAACACCATTTTACAAATGGGGGAATTGAGGCTCATAAAATTAAGTGATATGCCTGTAGCATCCTGTGCTTAAAATGTTGACCTTAGCACAGCAGCTTCTCAGAAGAAGGAGTGGCATCTTCACTTGTGTATTGCGAGCTCCCAGGCCAGGCTGGGCATGCAGTAGGTGCTCTGTGAACACTGCTAACCTCTCCATTGTGTCACCCCTGGCAAATGGCAAAGCAGGACTGAAACACAGCCTGACATGACAGCTCGCACTCTGGCCATACCCAGAGAACATGGCCCGCAGAACACGGGCCACACCATGGCTTCCTTTAATTTTTACTAAAGTTTTTCAGCAGCTTCACCTCCCTACTATCTACCCAAAACAATTTCCCAACCCATGTTAATAACCCTCTGGGCACCCTCACATATACAAATGTGCAAATGTAGGGTTTTTGTCTTTCTTTTTTTAATAGGATCTCATGCATACATATGTGCATCTCACTATTCTCATTCAGCAATATTCCTGAAAACTTCAGGTAAACTGGTTTGACGCTAAATTATTCTTTTTATTGACTACATGGTATGAATGCATCATCATTTATTCAACCTTATGCCATTGTTGGGTGTTTATTTCCTGGGCTTATTGGTCGGTTTTTTGTTGTTAGTGTTGCTACATAAAACATTTTTATTGGGGTGATATCTATAAATAGATTCCCTGGAGTGAGATTATCATATTAAAAATTAAATGTATATATGCTTCTAGTTGTTATAATGAAGACTTTCAAACATGTAATGAACTCTATTGCCCAGTTTCAGCAGTTATCAACTTATGTCCAATCCAGTTACCTCTAATCTTTTATCCATTTCCCTACAGTGCAGATTATTTTGGAAGGAAAAAGAACAGATTACTTTATTGCTTTATCTGTAAATATTTCTGTCTGTATCTCCAAAAGTTGAAGACTTTTTTTAGTTTTCTTTTTTACCTCATGAACTAAGACAGAGGACTCTTAAATAACATAATCAATATCATAATCACATCTGAAAAAACTAATAATTTCTTCCTCATGATCCTGAGGTCATCTGGGTGTCTCTATCATTAGAATGCTTAGGGATGGCCAGGAGTCTCTCCTGCTAAAATGCCTGAGGTTGGCCAGGAGTCTCTCCTGTTAGAATGCCTGGGGTCGGCCAGGTGTCTCTCCTTAGAATGCCTGGGGTTTTCAATGTTTAATTTTGCTCAACTGAATCATAAATTTACACATTGTTCAAATCAACATATATATGTTTTATGCATTATAATTGGTTAATATGCCTCTTGTCTCTCAGGTCTCTCTTATCTATGCATTCCCTTCTTCACGTATCCATGTCTCTCTGTCCTTCTGTTGGTCCCTGCTCCCCTCCCCTTCTCTCTCTCTCTCCAACCCCCCATGTCAATAACTTTGTTGTAGAAACCAGGCCATTTGTCCCGCAGAGATTTCCACAATCTGGAATTTGAAAATTGCGTCACTACAATATTATTTAGCTTATTCCTCTGTCCCCAAAAATTGGTACTTAGATCTAGAAGCTTGGTAAGATTCAGGTTAGACGTTTTTGCAAGAATACTACAGGTAGTATTGTGTACTTCCATCAGGGGGCACATAATGTCTAATTGTCTCCCCTTGGCGCTATTAGCAGTCACTGATGATCTTGGTCTAGATTCTTCTTTTCAGTAGAAGCGGCAAAGGGGAGATACTTTTTAATTCTGCCCTTCACTTATTAGCTGGCATACTTCTATCAAGAGGAAATTCCCTTTATCAATTCATTCATTATCCTGAGCTGCAGTTCCTATAAGAAAGTCTATATAAATTATTCTTTTCCTTTATTTACCAGGTTTAAAAATAATGAATTAGTTGGTCAAGCATGGTGGTGACATCTATAATCTCAGCAATTTGGGAGGTTAAGGCGAGAGGATCACTTGAACCCAAGTTCAAGATGAGCCTGGCCAGTATACGGAGACCTCGTCTCTACATAAAGATTAAAAATTAACCAGACATGTTGACATATGTGCCCATAGTTATCTGGGGGGGCTGAGGTCGGAGGATCGCTTGAGCCTGAGTAGAGATCATGCCACTGGACTCCAGCCTGGGCAACAGAGTAAGACCCCCTCTCAAATAATTATAATAGAATTTGTTTTCTAGTGAGAGTTGTTGGGATCTTTGTTTCACTTATCTTTATGAACTCATGGATTTTAAATGTGAACAGAGGGTTAATAAAACTCGTGCTCTTTCTCTATGGAAAAATGACCTTGATTTAACTTTCTATATCGGTTTCCCTGGAAACCTAGTAAAGGTGGAATGTCAGCTATGTTACCAAGCAACATTTCCTATGGTAAAAATGACTTCTAAACTATACCTGCTCTGGGAGAACTGTCAATGAATTATAAATGCCTGGTGGGAATCCATAGTTTGAACTTCTCTGAATGCAGTGCATTCTTGACACTGTGATGCACCTTGCTAGGACCCCTGGAAGCTAATCCTATGGGATGAAAAACAGATATTACCTTATATGGAGAATAAGGCAGTAAGCCAGATGGCTCCCATACTCATTCTCTTAGACCAAGTTCTGCAAGAAACAGACTGTGTGAGAGAGATTTGCACCCAAGTTTACTGGGGAGTGTTTTTGGGGAATGAGGCCAACAGGACTGGACAGATTACTGGGGAGTGCTCTTGGGGAATGTGCTGAACAGGACTGGACATAGGAAAAAGCTAAACTGTAATATAGTTACAGCTGTAAACTTTAGCCAATTCCTCAAGGACCTCCTCACTAGCGTGGGCGGCCCTTAAAGTTGTCTCAATTTAGGCAGGGCTGCTCCCTGAATAGGGGAGTAACCCTGGGCAAGAAGGCAGCTTCCCTCCTCTGAAAGCAATTCCCAGCGAAAGATTCAGCTGTGACCTATGAGCAGCCAACACTCTAAGCAATTAGAGAATGAGTGCCTCAGTCCTACAAAGGTAACTGTGCAGCACACCACAGCATCACTATACCCACTCATTTGGCTTCATTTCTTCACACCTGACCCTGCCCTGCTGGAGTGCTGTTTTTCCTGTTCTACTGTTTATCTTACATTTCCTGCCCAGATCGGGAATCACTCATTCCTCCAAAATGCCCTACTTCCTTTTAGTCATACTCAGAGACTACTTTGGGGAAAAAACGAGACCCATTACTACTGGGTAAGTCATGGTCTCTGGGCCTTTTATGTGGCCAGTGTTAGAAATATTCTTTTTTCCAGATAAAATACATCGTGGGTTGATATTGATATTTCAGACTCAAATTCAGGACTATAAGATTTTCCTGACTTCAGGAGTTGCCCATCGGTCTGTCCTTTCTATGTCAAAAATTCTGATTCACATTGACATCAACATAATTCATCATTTGTTTTATTGTATAATACATGCACAACACTTTCAGAATAACACTACCCCTAACAATATGACTACTGAAATAATTTTTAAATTATCTTTGTTTTATTTGTTTTTAGGGATAAACCCCACTGGAGATGTACAGTAAAATTACTGCGCTCTAAACTAACTTGAAATAATTCCCCACCAACTTAGTTTGTACTTACACTCATTTGTTTCACTTTGCTTTTTTTACAATTGCTCTTTTTACTTTTGTTTATAATTATGTAAAATATTTTGATGATTTTAAAACCACTTCTTTAAGTTGAGATATGCAGTCCCTTCCACTCTGTTCCCACCTTTGATCATAAATCTAAGCTTTTGGTTTATCTTTCCATATCATATGAATATATAAAACAGAGACCTAAGATGTTTACTGAGATGAATGGTAGCATATTATATGTACATTTCTACACCTTGCTTTTTTCACTCAATAATATATCTTTAAAACCAGTTTAGAATGCTAGACAGGGGTTTTTCTTGTTGTTATAATAGCTGCAGTAGACACCATTGTGTGGACGCACCCTAGTTTATATAACCAGTTCCTACTGATGCATATTCAGATTGTCTCTAGTTTTGTGCACAAATAATGCCATAATCATCCAATAAATGATTTTTATTTTTGTCCATGTATCTTTGGGAAAGATCCTCAGAAATAGTATTGTTAAGTCAACAGGTAAATGTAATTTAGAGAGTTATGTCAAATTCCCTTCTAATAGGGTTTGTGTCATATAACATTCTCACCAGTAATGTATGGGAACGCCTGTTCCCTGAGTTTCGCTATGGAGTGTGTTCACAGTTTTTTTGAATTTTGATAATCTGATGGGCAAAAAATGTTATCTCAGTCTAGTTTTATTTTGCATTTCTATTATGAGCAAAAGTGAGCACATTTACATACAGTTACAGGCCATTTATGTTTTTTCTGTAAACTGTCATATTCTTAGCTCATTTTTCTATAGGAGTCTTGATCTTTTTCATTTAAAATTTTAAGAAGCTTTCAAGATGTTAAGGAAATCAAATCCTTGCCTATGATGCAGGCCACAAATTATTTCTAATTTTTTATTGGTCTTTCTACTTTGTTAGTGGGGTTGGTATTCTTGTGGGTGTTTTTTTTCTTTTTTTCTTTTTGCTGGCTCTGTCCTTTAAAAAATTGTTGTTGTAATTATCAGTTTTTCATTATCAATCTTTTTCCTTTATTGCTTTTGTATTTTGTGTCATAATTAGAAAGTTTTTCCCCAATCCCAGGTAATAAAGCAATTAACACAAGCTTTCTTCTATTACTTATAAGATTTTTTTTAACCACATTTAAATCTCTGATCCTTTCAGAATTTTCCCTGGTGGATAGTATGAGAAATGGATCCAATTTTGTTTTTATACATAAGTCTATCCAGTCCTCCTAACCCCATATGTTAAATACTCCTTTTCCATCACTGATTTGAAAAGATATCATTATCAGACATTAAATTTCCATTTGCAATTTGGTCTATTTGAATTTTTTTATTCTAGCAGTCAGTCTATTATTTTACCACTACCAATACTGTTTGAAATGAAAAGTTATTGTGTTTTAATATTTATTATAACATTGTAATATTTAATACAGTATTTATTGCACATGGGTTTCTCAAATCTTTAAAGATTTATCAGAATTCCCTGTCAAAAAATATTTGGTCCTGGCGCCCATTTGTGGGAGAGCTCATTTGTTATTTTCTCTACTGATTCTATGACAGTTGGTCTGTTTAGACTTTCTATTACTGCTGGGATCAATATGGCAAGTTGCATTTTTCTTAAAAAATGTCCATTTCATTTAGGTTTCACAATTAATTTGTTTCCATAGTTGTACACAATAGTCCAGTATAATCTTTTAGAATTTCTGTTTTGATTATTACATGTCACTTTTATTTTGCGTATTTACACTTTCTCCATTTTTTTTCTGCTAGATATGTGGGTGTTTTGACAATGCAGTTCATTTATTTTTCAAAGAATAAACTTTTTAGTTTATTTGTCATTTGTTTGTCGACAGAAGTTTTCTGATGCATTAATTTCTGCTTTTATCTTTATTAATTTCTTCCTTCTGCTCTTTGTTTACCTTGTTCTTTTACAGGCTCTTTGAATTGGGTCTTAACTCACTTCTACTTTTTATTTTTATTGATAAAGATAGTTAATATTATAAATTTTTCTTTGAAGACTGCTTTATATAGATTATAATAGGTCATGCTTTTATTATTTTATCTATAATAAATTATGCAATTTTTTTTGCATTTTTGCTTTGATCTAAATGTTACTTAATATATGTTTTTTTAAGTTCCTGGGAGGAAGATCCTTTGGATATTTCCTTTCCAGCATTAATTTCATTAATTTTTTCATTGTGACCAGAAAATATTATTCCTACTCCTTGGAATTTATGGAGGTTTTCTCTGATTGCTAAAATATGGTTAATTTTCATGAATGACTCATGTGCATTTGTTTTTGCTTTTTAAGTTTTAAGTTTGGGGGTACATGTGAAGGTTTGGTACACAGGTAAACATATGCCACCGGGGTTTGTTGTACATATTATTTCATCAGCCAGTTATTAAGCCCAGTACCCAATAGTTACCTTTTCTGCTCTTTTCCCTCCTCCCACTCTCCCCCCTCAAGTAAACCCCAGTATCTGTTCTTTCCTTCTTTTGTTCATAAGTTCTCATCATTTAGCTCCCACTTTTAAGTGAGAACATATGGTATTTGGTTTTCTGTTCCTGTGTTAGTTTGCTAAGGATAACAACCTCCAGCTTCATCCATGTTCCCACAAAAGACATGTGCCTTTTCTTTTTTATTGTGGAATAGTATTCCATGGTGCATGTATACCTCGTTTTCTTTATTCAATGTGTCACTGATGGGCATTTAGGTTGATTTGGAGTCTTTGCTGTTATGACTAGTGCTGCAATGAACATTCATGTGCATGTGTCTTTATGGTAGAATGATTTATACACCTCCGGGTATATACCCAGCAATGAGATTGCTGAGTTGAATGGCAGTTCTGCTTTTAGCTCTTTGAGGAATCGCCATACTGCTTTCCACAATGGTTGAACTAATTTACACTCCCACCAACAGTGTATAACTATTCCCTTTTCTCTGCAACCTCACTAGCATCTATTATTGTTTTACTTTTTAATCACAGCCATTCTGACAGGTGTGAGATGGTATCTCATTCTGGTTTTGATTTGCATTTGTCTGATGATCAGCGATACTGAGCTTTTTTTCATATGATTTTTGGTGGCATGTATGTCTTCTTTTAAAATGTGTCTGCTCATGACCTTTATCCACTTTTTAATGGGGTTGATTTTTCTCGTAAATTTGTTTAAGTTCCTTATAGGTGCTGGATATTAGACCTTTATCAGATGCATAGTTTCCAAATATTTTCTCCCATTCTGTAGATTGTCTATTTACTCTGTTGACAGTTTCTTTTGCTGTGCAGAAGCTCTACAGTTTATTTAGATCTCATTTGTCAATTTTTGCTTTTGTTGCAATTGCTTTCAGTGTCTTTGTCATGAAATAGTTGCCCATTCCTATGTCCAGGATGATACTGCCTCGGTTGTCTTACAGGTTTTTTTTTTTATAGTTTTGGGTTTTACATTTAAGTCTTTAATCTATCTTGAGTTAATTTTTGTATATGGTGTAAGGAAGGGGTCCAGCTTCAATCTTCTGCATATGGCTAGCCAGTTATTCCAGAACCATTTATTGAATAGGGAGTCTTTTCCCCACTGCTCATTTTTGTCAGCTTTGTCACAGATCAGATGGTCATAGAAGTGTGGCCTTATTTCTGGGCTCTTTATTCTGTTTTATTGGTCTACGTGCCTGTTTTTGTACCAGTACCATGCTGTTTTGGTCACTATAACCTTGTAGTATAAAGTTGAGTAACATCATGCCTCCAGCTTCATTCTTTTTGCTTAGGATTGCTGTGGCAATTTGGGCCCTTTTTTGGTTCTATATGAAATTTAAAATAAATTTATCTAGTTCTATAAAGAATGTCATTGGTAGTTTGATAGGAATAGCATTGAATCTGTAAATTGCTGTGGACAGTATAGCCATTTTAATGACACTGATTCTTCTTATCCGTGAGCATGGGATGTTTCTCCATTTGTTTGTGTCTTCTCTGATTTTTTTGAGCAATATTTTGTAATTTTCATTGTAGAGATCTTTCATCTTCCTGGTTAGCTGTATTCCTAGGTATTTTATTCTTTTTGTGGCACTTGGAATGGGATTGCCTTTCTGACTTGGCTCTCCATTTGGCTGTTGTTGGAGTAAAGGAATGCTAGTTATTTTTGTACACTGATTTTGTATCCTTCAACTTTGCTGAAGTTATTTATCAGCTGGAGGAGCTTTTGGGCCAAGACTATGGAATTTTCTAGATACAGAATCATGTCATCTGTAAACAGAGATAGTTTGACTTCGTCTCTTCATATTTGGATGCCTTTTATTTCTTTCTCTTGCCTGATTGTTCTGGCTAGGACTTCCAATACTATGTTGAATAGAAGTGGTAAGAGAGGGCATCCTTGTCTTGTGCTAGTTTTCAAGGGGAATGTTTCTAGGCTTTGCCCATTCAATATAATGTTGGCTGTGGGTTTGTCATACATGGCTCTTATTTTGAGGTATGTTCCTTCAACACCTAGTTTATTGAAAGTTTTTAACATTAATGAATGTTGAATTTTACGAAAAGCCTTTTCTGCATCTATTGAGATAATCATGTGGTTTCTGTCTTTTTATGTGATGAATCACATTTATTGATTTGGGTATGTTGAATCAACCTTGCATCCTGGGAGGAAGCCCATTTGATCACAGTAGATTTGTTTTTGGATGTGCTGTTGGACTCAGTTTGCAAGTATTTTGTTGAGGATTTTTGCATCAATGTTCATTAAGAATAACAAATGGGAGAAAATTTTCGCAACCTACTCATCTTGCAAAGGGCTAATATCCAGAATCTACAATGAACTCAAACAAATTTACAAGAAAAAAACAAACAACCCCACCAAAAAGTGGGCGAAGGACATCATGAACAGACACTTCTCAAAAGAAGACATTTATGCAGCCAAAACACACATGAAAAAATGCTCACCATCACTGGCCATCAGAGAAATGCAAATCAAAATCACAATGAGATACCATCTCACACCAGTTAGAATGGCAATCATTCAAAAGTCAGGAAACAGGTGCTGGAGAGGATGTGGAGAAATAGGAACACTTTTACACTGTTGGTGGGACTGTAAACTAGTTCAACCATTGTGGAAGTCAGTGTGGTGATTCCTCAGGGATCTAGAACTAGAAATACCATTTGACCCAGCAATCCCATTACTGGGTATATACCCAAAAGACTATAAATCATGCTGCTGTAAAGACACATGCACACGTATGTTTATTGCGGCACTATTCACAATAGCAAAGACTTGGAACCAACCCAAATGTCCAACAATGATAGACTGGATTAAGAAAATGTGGCACATATACACCATGGAATACTATGCAGCCATAAAAAATGATGAGTTCATGTCCTTTGTAGGGACATGGATGAAATCGGAAATCATCATTCTCAGTAAACTATCGCAAGGACAAAAAAACAAACACCGCATGTTCTCACTCATAGATGGGAACTGAACAATGAGAACACACGGACACAGGAAGGGGAACATCACACTCTGGAGACTGTTGTGGGGTGGAGGGAGGGGGGAGGGATAGCATTAGGAGATATACCTAATGCTAAATGATGAGTTAATGGGTGCAGCACACCAGCATGGCACATGTATACATATGTAACTAACCTGCACATTGTGCACATGTACCCTAAAACTTAAAGTATAATAATAATAAAATAAAACAAAAAGAATATTGGCCTGACGTTTTTGTTGTTGTTGTTGTGTCTCTGCCAGGTTTTGGTATCAAGCTGATGATGATTTCATAGAATTAGTTGGGGAGGAGTTCCTCCTCATTTTTTTGGAATTGTTTCTGTAGGAATGGTACCAGCTCTTCTTTGTACATCTGGTAGAATTCAGCTGTGAAACTATCAGATCCCAGGCTTTTTTTGGTTCACAGGCTATTTAGTACTCATTCAATTCTGGGACTTGTTATTGGTCTGTTCAGGGAATCAGTTTTTCCCCACTCAGTTGTGGGTGGGTATATCTATCTCTTTTCTAATGTGTGTATGTAGAGGTGTTTGTAGAAGCTTCTGATGGTTGTTTTTATTTCTGTGGGGTCAGTAGTAACATTCCCTTCATCATTTCTAATTGTGTTTATTGGGATATTTTTTCTTCTTTATTAATCTAGCTAATGGCCTATTTTATTATTTTTTTCAAAAAAATCAACCCTTGAATTCATTGATCTTTTTTTTATTATTATACTTTAAGTTCTGGGGTATGTGTGCAGAACATGCAGGTTTGTTACATAGGTATACACGTGCCATGGTGGTTTGCTCCACCCATCAATCCATCACCTACATTAGGTATTTCTCCTAATGCTATCCCTCCCTTAGCCCCCCAACCCCTGACAGGCTGGTGTGTGATGTTCCCCTCCCTGTGTCCATGTGTTCTCATTGTTCAACTCCCACTTAGGAGTGAGAACATGTGGTGCTTTGTTTTCCATAGTTGTGATAGTTTGCTGAGAATGATGGTTTCCAGCTTCATCCATGTCCCTGCAAAGGACATGAACTCATCCTTTTTCATGGCTACATAGTATTCCATGGTGTATATGTGCCACATTTTGTTTATCCAGTCTATCATTGATGGGCTTTTGGGTTGGTTCCAAGTCTTTGCTATTGTGAACAGTGCTGCAATAAACATATGTGTGCAAGTGTCTTTATAGTAGCATGATTTATAATCCTCTGGGTATATATCCAATAATGGGATTGCTGGGTCAAATGGTATTTCTAGTTCTAGATCCTTGAGGAATCACTACACCATCTTCCACAATGGTTGAACCAATTTACACTCCCACCAACAGCGTAAAAGCGTTCCTATTTCTCCACATCCTCTCTAGCATCTGTTGTTTCCTGACTTTTTAATGATCACCATTCTAACTGGCATGAGATGGTATGTCATTGTGGTTTTGATTTGCATTTCTCTAAGGACCAGTGATGAGCATTTTTTCATATGTTTGTTTGCTACATAAATGACTTCTTTTGAGAAGTGCCTGTTCATATCCTTTGCCCACTTTCTGATGGGGTTGTTTGGTTTTTTTCTTACAAATTTGTTTAAGTTGTTTGTAGATTCTGGATATTAGCCCTTTGTCAGATGGATAGATTGCAAAAATTATCTCCCATTCTCTAGGTTGCCTGTTCGCTCTGATGATAGTTTCTTTTGCTCTGCAGAAGCTCTTTAGTTTAATTAGATCCCATTTGTCAACTTTGGCTTTTGTTACCATTGATTTTGGTGTTTTAGACATGAAGTCTTTGCTCATGTCTGTTTCCTGAATGGTATTGCCTAGGTTTTCTTCTAGGATCTTTATGGTTTTAGGTCTTACATTTAAGTCTTTAATCCATCTTGAGTTGATTTGTGTATAAGGTATAAGGAAGGGGTCCAGTTTCAGTTTTCTACACATGGCTAGCCAGTTTTCCCAACACAATTAATTAAATAGGGAATCTTTTCCCCATTGCTTGTTTGTGTCAGGTTTGTCAAAGATCAGATGGTTGTAGGTGTGTGTGGTGTCACCGATCTTTTGAATGTTTTTTTCTGTCTCAATTTTCTTCAGTTCAGCTCTGATTTTTGTTATTTCTCATTTTCTGCTAGCTTTGTGATTTGTTCTTGCTTCTCTAATTCTTTCAGTTGTCAAGTTAAGTGGTTAATTTGTTATCTTTCTAACTTTTTGATGTGGACATTTAGTGCTATGAGTTCTCCTATTAACACTGCCTTAGCTGTGTCCCAGAAATTCTGGTATGTTGTATTTTTGTTTTCATTATTTGCAAAGAACTTCTTGATTTCTGCCTTAATTTCATTATTTACCCAAATGTCATTTAGGAGCATGTTGTTTAATTTTCATGTAATTACATGATTTTGAGCAATTTTCACAGTCTTGACTTCCATTTTTATTATGCTGTGGTCCAAGACCATGTCTGGTATGATTTTGGTTCTTTTACATTTGTTGAGATTGTTTTATATCCAATTATGTGGTTGATTTTAGAGTATGTGCCATGTGATGATGAGAAGAATGTATATTCAATTGTTTTGGGGTGGAGAGTTCTGTAGATATCAGATCCATTTAACCCAATGTTAAGTTTAGGTCCTGAATATCTTTACTTTTCTCCCTCAGTGATCTGTCCAATACTGTCAGTGGAGTGTTGAAGTCTCCCACTATTATTATGTGAGACTGTATGTCTCTTTGTAGGTCTCCAAGAACTTGCTTTATGAATCTGGGTGCATATGAATCTGTGTTGGGTGCATGTATATTTATGATAGTTAGGTCTTATTGAATTGAACCATCTATGATTATCTAATCCTCTTTTTTCTTTGTTGGTTTGAAATGTTTTGTCTGAAATTAGTATTACAACCCCTGCTTTTTTCTGTTTTCCATTTGCTTGGTAGATTTTCCTCCATCCCTTCATTTTGGGCCTAGGAGTGTCATTACATGTGATATGAGTCTCTTGAAGACAGCATTTACAATTGGCTCTTGCTTTTTTACAATTGGCTCTTGCTTTTTTATCCATCTTGCTACTCTGTGCCTTTTAAGTGGGGCATTTAACCTGTTTATATTCAAGGTTAGTATTGGTATGTGTGGATTTGATTCTGTCAATGTGCTGTTAGCTGGTTATTATGTTGGCTTGTTTGTGTGGTTGCTTTACAGTGTCACTAAGTCTGTGTGTTTTTATATTAGCTGATAGAGTTCTTTTCTTTCTATATTAGTGCTCCTTTCAAGATCTCTTGTAAGGTAATTAATTCCCTCAACATTTGCCTATCTGAAAAGGATCTTATTTTTCCTTTATTTAGGAAGCTTAGTTTGGCTGAATATGTAATTCTTGAAGATTTTTTTAAGAATGTTGAAGATAGGCCCTCAATTTCTTCTGGCTTGTAGGGTTTCAGCTGAGAGGTAAGCTGTTATCCTGATGGAGTTCCCTTTGTATGTGACCAGTCCTTTCTCTCTAGTTGCCTGTAACATATTTTTTTCATTTTGATCTTGGAAAATCTGATAATTATGTGTCTTGGGGATGATCTTGTGTAGAGTCTTGCAGGAGTTCTCTGTATTTCCTGAATTTGACTGTTGGCCTCTCTAGCAAGGCTGAAGAAGTTTTCATGGATGATATTCTGAAATATGTTTTCCAAGTTGTTTGCTTTCTCCTCCTCTCTTTCAGGGATGCCAGTGATTCATAGATTTGGCCTCTTTACATAATCCCATACTTCTTGGAGGTTTTGCTTATTCTTTTTTTCTTTATTTTTGTCTGGCTGCCTTATTTCAGAGCACCAGTCTTCAAGTTCTGAGATTCTTTCCTCAGTTTAGTTTATTCTACTGTTAATACTTGTGAATGCATTGTGAAATTCTTGTATTGTGTTATTCAGCTCTGTCAGACCTGTTAGTTTCTTTTTTGTACTGACTACTTCATTCTTCAGCTCCTGTATTGCTTTATTGTGATTCTTATTTTCCTTGAATTGGGTTTTCCTATCGTCCTGAATCCTGATGATCTTAGTTGTTATTTATATTCTGAATTCTATTTCTGTCATTCTAGCCAGTTCAGCTTGGTTAAGAACTCCTGTTGGAGAATTGGCACAATTATTTGGAGGACAAATGATAGATACTCTGGCCATCTGAGTTACCAGAGTTCTTGCACTGGTTCTTTCTCATCTCTGCATGTGGGTGTTTTTTTTAACTGCAGAGTAGATTGAGTACAGTCAATACACTTATTTTCCAGATGTCTTGACTGGGCCAAGACTTTGTGCAGGATCTTTATTTGAAGCTGGTTTCTGTCTCTGGATTCAAAGGAAGATATGTTAGTGAGGCATTTTTGGTGTTGAAGGTTTAGGGTGCGATTCAGCAGGTGGAACTTAGGTTTATTGGTCAGTTGGTAGACTCTTACTTGGTTGTGTGGCTCCCTTATGTTCTGTCACAGTTGCAACCATGTTCCCTGCCAAAGCTTTGAAAGTGTGGGTTCCTCTCTCCCTTGAGTGATGGCTATAGATTGTAACTGGGCATTCCTGGGCTGCCCACTGCAGCTCTGAGATGATCTCCGTGTTTGTGTCCCTTCCCCAACTTGGAGGTAGTAGAGAAAGGGATCTTAGTAGTGGCTGTGTCCAAGGGTCATTTGCGTGTCTCCTGGCAGCTCATACCCCAGAGAGATGCAGGCCAGCAATCACTCAGTGCAATCAGCCTAGGATGGAGGGTCTGTTCTATGGGCCCAAGCCAGGGGTTTCCTGTCTTGTGATGAGCAGTAGGGGGCAGGGGGAACCCTTGGGAGAGAGACTGGACACTTCTCCTTGGGTTGACTGCAGCTTGTTGGAGGTATGGATAAGGCACTTAGGGTCTTTGGTCCTTCATTAGTACAAGGGTGGCAAGGGCAGTTCCACTGCCAGGCTTTCAGTTGCCCCTGGAGGCTCTCTGTCTGGGGAGTTGCCAAGTTGCTATTGGCTCAATAGCTCTGGTGAGGGGTGGCTGGAGGCCCAGGCCTGGAGGACCTGCCTTGTGAAGAGATACGGGAACGAGCACCCATGTAACAATCTGGCCACTTTTCCATAGAGCTGCTGTAGTATGCTTGGGGCCCATTCCATTCCCTGTTACCACAGAGGCAAGTTAGTGCTTTCTTTGTAATTAGACTATATCTGATATCTGTACAATATCTTCAGTTCTTCTTTACCAGGGGTCTTACTCTGTTCTGAAACATGGTATCTCAGGCAGCTCCAGCACCACTGGACACAGGAAACTCCTGGGTCTCTGACTCTAGCTCTCCTCAACCCCTTCTCTCATGTGCATTTGAAAAGATGGTCTGTTGTCTGTTACTAGGATTCAGAAGTATTCATTATATTCTTTAGATTTACAATCTTACAAATGTTTGTACAGTTGATCAGTCTTTGATTGAAGAGCTGTATTAAAGTCTTTAATTTTTTTATAGGTGAGTTAAGCCTATTTATGTTGTTTGATTTGAGCAGTATTGTTGGCTTTACTTCTATCATATTATTTTATATTGTACTTTTATTTTTACTATATATACAAAGACTATATTTAAGCTATATGCTCTATTTATGTTCTCCATTTTAGATATTTTTCCATTTAAAAATTATTTGTTTAATGGTTACTATACCAGATTAAAGATAGTGAAAAAAAATTCTACTCTTATATTGAGAAATAAAGTCTATAAAGTCTAATTCTTCCCCTTAAATCTTGTCTGGCTTTAGTAACTGCTTGATCAATAGAATGCAGCAGAAATGGTGTTGTAAGACATCAATATTAGGTCATAAAATGCCTAGTATCTGTCACACAGATCCCTTAAAACATTTTCCCTGAGAGCCTGAGCTGCCATATAAGAAGTTTGATTACTTGAGGCCACCAAACTAAAGAGACCATGGCAGTCTTAGCTGAACCCAGTCTTTGAATGAACTCTGCCAAAGTGGCAGACATGTGAGAAAAGCCAACTTGAATGTTTCAGAGTAGAAGACTTCTTAGTTCCAAGTCATTAAACAAATCTATGTCCAATCATTAGCTGACCATTAAGTTAACAGAATAGAGATTTCAGTGACCACACATAAAAAGAATACAGACCTTACAGAATTTGTTCAGAAAGTTACCTAGCAAACCAAAACTATAAGCAGCAACAACTAACCCTGGGGAAGGCAGAGTTTGAATTCCAGAATTCAGATTATTATCTTTGAAATGTCTGGCTTATTACTCTGTTTTTGTATTACTATAAATATATACCTGAGACTGGGTAATTATTAAAAAAAAATTCGCTCATCGTTCTGCAGGCTGTACAAGAAATACAGTGACTTCTGCTTCTGGGGAGGCCTCAGGAAACTTACAATCATGGTGTAAGGTGAAGGGAGACCCAAGATTTCACATGGCCAGAACAGGAGGAAGAGAGAGTAGGGGGAGGTAATAAATACTTTTAAACAACCAGATTTCATGAGAACTCTCTCACTAACACAAGAACAGCACCAAAGGGGATGGTGTTAAGCCATTCCTGAGAAACTGCTCCCATGATCCAATCACATCCCACCAGGTCCCACCTGCAACACTGGGGATTACAATTCAACATGAGATTTGGCTAGGTACACAGAACCAAACCATATCATCTCGTTATCAACAAAAAATTACAAGACATACAAAAAAAGAAAAAAAAGAGAAAGTATGGCCCATTCATGGAAAAAAAACAAGCAGTCAATATATATTATCCCTGAAGTGCAGACATTGGTTTTCTAGGAAAGGACTCAGAATTCACTATTTTAAAAAACATTGAAGAACTAAAGGAATTTATGCCTGCAGAACTAAATGAAAGTCTAAGAACAATAATAAAGATTATGAGTAAAGAGAAACATTAAAAAAAAGAAATTCAGCAGTCCATTAAAAAAAAATAGAAATTCAGGATGATGTAAGACATCATTGTCAGGCATGGTGCTTCATGTCTGTAATCCCAGCACTTTGGGAGGCTGAGGCGGGCAGATCATGAGGTCAGGAGATCGAGACCATCCTGGCTAACATGGTGAAACCCCACCTCTACTAAAAATAGAAAAAACTAGCCAGGCGTGGTGGCACGCACCTGTAGTCCCAGCTACTTGGGAAGCTGAGGCAGGATAATCGCTTGAACCCAGGAGGTGGAGGTTGCAGTGAGCCAAGATCCCACCACTGCACTGCCTGGACAACAGAGCAAGACTCCATCTCAAAAAAAAAAAAGACATCATCAAGCATACTAGCATAGGCTGGTATACGGTAATTATAGAAGTACAAAAGAGAGAGAATGAGGAAGAAAGAAAATTGAAGAAATAATGGCTAAAAACTTCCCAAAGTTGATGAAAAACACGAAGCTACATATCAAAAATCTCCACAAATTCAAAACATAATAATAAACTCCAAGATATTCACCCTGGACACATCATAATCAAACTATTCAGATAGAAACTTGAAAAAATAAGAGAAAAGCAATGAATTTACTTATCTCACATGAGAAGTGAATCACACACAATCTTCAGTAAGATTAACAGTAGATTTCTCCTCAGAAATAATGGAAGCCAAGACTACAGGGAGGCAGAGCAAGATGGCCAAAGAGAAATTTCCATCAATCATCCCCTGCCCGGGAACACCAAATTGAACCACTATTCACACACACAAAAAAACCACTTTCATAAAATCCAAAACTCAGGTGAGCAATCACAGTACCTGTTTTTAACATCATAGTAAGAAAAGAGGCACTGAAGGGGGTAGAAAACATAGTCTTGAATCACCTGCAACACACCCCTCTCTCATTCCCTGGCGGCAGCTGCGTGGCACACAGAGAGAATGTATGTGCTTGGGGGAGGGAGAGCAAAGTGATTGTGGGATTTTGCATTGGAACTCAGTGCTGTCCTGTCACAGCAGAAAGCAACACAGGGCAGAACTCAGTGGCACCCACAGAAGGATCATTTAGATAAGCCATAGCCAGAGGCAGATTGTCTATCCCAGCAGTTGAAACCTAAGTACTGGCAAGCCCCTCTACTGTTAGATAAGGTTCTCTGGGGTCCTAACTAAACTTGAAAGGCAATCTAGGCCACAAGGTCTGCAATTCCTGGGCAAGTCCTGGTGCTGTGCTGGGATTAAAGCCATTGGACTTGGGGTGCACATGACCTAGTGAGACACCAGCTAGGGTGACCAAGGGCTTGTGTCACCCCTCCCCGACCCTAGACAGCTCAGCTCACAGCTCTGGGAGAAACTCCTTTCTTCTGCTTGAGGAGAGGAGAAAAGACAGTAAAGAGGACTTTGTCTTGCAGCGTGAATACCAGCTCAACCACAGTAGAGCAGGGCACCAGGAGGGGTTGGGAGGCCACTATTCCAGGCCCTAGTGAGAGGTGACAGCGTGCTGGCAGCCCTCGCAGCCCTCACTCACTCTCGGTGCCTCCTCGGCCTCAGCGCCTATTCTGGCCGCGCTTGAGGAGCCCTTCAGCCTGCCACTGCACCGTGGGAGCCCTTCTCTGGGCTGGCCGAGGCCGGAGCTGGCTCCCTTGGCTTGCAGGGAGGTGTGGAGGGAGAGGCGCGGGTGGGAACCGGGGCTTTGTGTGGTGCTTGTGGGCCAGCGTGAGTTCCGGGTGGGTGTGGGCTCGGCGGGCCCTGCACTGGGAGCAGCCGGCCGGCCCCGCCGGCCCAGGCAGTGAGGGGCTTAGCACCTGGGCCAGCAGCTGCTGCACTCGATTTCTCGCCGGGCCTTAGCTGCCTCCTCATGGGGCAGGGCTCATGACCTACAGCCCACCATGCCTGAGCCTCCCCCCACCACTCCCGCCCCACCATGGGCTCCTGTGCGGCTGGAGCACCCCCAACAAGCACTGCCCCCTGCTCCACAGGGTCCAGTCCCATCGACCACCCAAGGGCTGAGGAGTGTGGGCGCACAGCACGGGACTGGCAGGCAGCTCCACCTGTGGCCCTGGTGTGGGATCCACTGGGTGAAGCCAGCTGGGCTCCTGAGTCTGGTGGGGACTTGGAGAATCTTTATGTCTAGCTAAGGGATTGTAAATACACCAATCAGCACTCTGTATCTAGCTCAAGGTTTGTAAACACACCAATCAGCACCCTGTGTCTAGCTCAGGGTTTGTGAATGCACCAATCGGCACTCTGTATCTAGTTAATCTGGCGGGGACTTGGAGAACCTTTATGTCTAGCTAAGGGATTGTGAATGCACCAATCAGCACTCTGTATCTAGCTCAAGGTTTGTAAATGCATCAATCAGCACTCTGTGTCTAGCTCAGGGTTTGTAAATACACCAATCAACACTCTTTATCTAGCTAATCTAGTGGGGACGTGGAGAACTTTTGTGTCTAGCTCAGGGATAGTAAACGCACCAATCAGCATCCTGTCAAAATGGACCGATCAGCTCTCTGTAAAACAGACCAATCGGCTCTCTGTAAAATGGACCAATCAGCAGGTCAGCAGGATGTGGGTGGGGCCAGATAAGAGAATAAAAGCAGGCTGCCAGAGCCAGCAGTGGCAACCCGCTCGGGTCCCCTTCCACACTGTGGAAGCTTTGTTCTTTCGCTCTTTGCAATAAATCTCGCTGCTGCTTACTCTTTGGGTCCATACTGCCTTTATGAGCTGTAACACTCACTGCGAAGGTCTGCAGCTTCACTCCTGAAGCCAGCGAGACCATGAACCCCCCGGGAGGAATGAACAACTCCAGATATGCCACCTTAAGAGCTGTAACACTCACCGCAAAGGTCTGCATCTTCATTCCTGAGCCAGCGAGACCACAAACCCACCAGAAGGAAGAAACTCCGAACACATCCGAACATCAGAAGGAACAAACTCCGGACACGCCACCTTTAAGAACTGTAACACTCACCACGAGGGTCCACGGCTTCATTCTTGAAGTCAGTGAGACCAAGAACCCACCAATTCCAGACACACTAGCTTCCAGAGGACATTTCTAGACACACTTTGGGCCAGAAGGGACCCACTGCCTTGAAGTTAAGAACCCAGTCCTGGAAGGATTCATCATCTGCTAACTAAAGTACCCTTGGGCCCGAAATAACCAACAGCGGTAGACAGGCTGTACTCACCTTGATGAGTACTGGGTCTCACCTTTGGTCAGAGTCAGTGCCATGCTGGCTTTAGTTGTGGTCCAGCATATTCCCAGCTGTGATGTTTAGGGTGAGAGGCTTCTTATGCTTGAGGAAAGGAGAGAAAAGATTGAAGGAGACTTTGCCTTGCAGCATAATATCAGCTAAGCCACAGTGGAGTAGAGCACCCAGTGGGATCCTGCAGTCCTCGATTCAAGGCCTTGGCTCCTGGACAGTATTTCTGAACCTGCCCTGGGCCAGAGGGGAGCCCAATTCTCTGAAGGAAGAGACATAGGCCTGGCTGCATTCATCACAGGCCAACTAAAGAGCCTCTGGGATGTGAGTGAACATCAGCAGTTGCCAGGCAGTGCTCACCGTGGGCCTGTGGTGGTGGTGGCTATGCAGAGAGACTTCTCTGCTTGAGGAAAGAATGGGAAGGACTTGGTCTTGCAGCTTGGGTGCCAGCTCAGTAATAGTAGAATAGAGTACTAGCTAGATTCCTAAGGTTCCTGACTCCAGGTCCTAGCTCCTGAACAGCACCTGTGGGTCTACCTTGGGCCAGGGAAACTTATGTCTTGAAGGGAAAGACGCAAGCCTGGCTGGATTTGCCATCTGCTTACTGTAGAGCCCATGGGCATTAAGTGAACGTAAGTGGTAGCCATGCAGTGGTCTCTGTAAGTTTTGGATGAGCCCCAGTGCTGTGATGCCTTTGAGTCTAACCTGGCACGGTCCCAGTGGTGGTGGCCACAGGGGTGTCTGTATCACCCCACAACCAAGTCCATGAAGCTCATCATGGAGAGAGAGACTTTGTTTGGGAGAAAGTAGGAGAAGAGAACAAGAGTCTCTGCCTAGCAATTGAGGGATTTCTACTGGATCTTACCCAAGACCCCAAGATGGTACCTATATGAATCTGCAAGAGCCACAGTGTTACTGGGCTTGGGGCATCCCCTAATGCAGATCTGGCAGTAGTAACCAAAGACTTAGATCACAACACCCAAATCCTTTTGAATACTTGGAAAGCTTTCTCAAGAAGGATGGGTACAAACAAGCCCAGAAGGCAAAGACTATAATAACTAACTCTTCAATGCCCAGACACCAATGAACATCCACAAACATCAAAACCATCTGGAAAAACATGACCTCACCAAATGAACTAAATAAAGCACTAGTGAACAATTTCAGAGAAACAGAGATATGTGACCTCAGACAGAGAATTCAGAATAGCTGTTCTGAGGAAACTGAATGAAATTCAAGATAACAGAGAGAAGAAATTCAGAATCCTATCAGATAACTTTAACAAAGAGATTGAAATAATTTAAAAGACTCAAGCAGAAATTCTGGAGCTGAAAAATGCAATTGACATATAGAAGAATGCGTCAGAATCTCTTAACAGCAGAATCGATCAAGAAAAAGAAATGATTCATGATCTTGAAGACAGGCTATTTGAAAATACACAGTTGGCGGAGACAAAAGAAGAAAGAATAAGAAAAATGAAGGACGCCTACAAGATCTAGAAAATAGCCTCAAAAGGGCAAATCTAAGAATTATTGGCCTTAAAAAGAAGGTAGAGGGAGAAATAAGAGTAGAAAGGTTTTTCAAAATAATAATAAAAGAGAACTTCCTGAACCTAAAGAAAGATATAAATATTTAAGTACAAAAAGATTATAAAACATCAAGCAGATTTAACCCAAACAAGACTACCCAAAGACGTTGAATAATCAAACTCCCAAAAGTCAAAGGTAAAGAAATGATCCTAAAAGCAGCAAGAGAAATCAAACAAATGATATACAAAGGAGCTCCAATATGTCTAGCAGCAAACTCCTCAGTGGAAAACTTACAGGCTAGTAGAGAGTGGCATGACTATTTCAAGTGCTGAAGGAAAAATATCTTATTCTAGAATAGTATATCTGGCAAAAGTATCCTTCAAACATGAAGGAGAAATAAAAACAAACAAAAGGGCTGGGTGCGCTGGCTCATGCCTGTAATCCCAGCACTTTGGGAGGCCAAGGTGGGTGGATCATGAGGTCAGGAGATTGAGACCATCCTGCCCAACATGGTAAAACCCCGTCTCTACTAAAAATACAAAAATTAGCTGGGTGTGGTGGTGCATACCTGTAATCCCAGCTACTCGGGAGGCTGAGGCATGAGAATCACTTGAACCCAGCAGGCGGAGGTTGCAGTGAGCTGAGATCGCGCCACTGCACTCCAGCCTGGCAACAGAGTGAGACTCTGTCTCAAAACAAACAAACAAAGAAACAAACAAACAAAAAAACCAAACAAAAGCTGAGAGATTTCATCAACACCAGACCCATCCTACAAAAAAAATGCTAAAGGGAGTTCTTCAATCTGAAAGAAAAGGACATTAATGAGCAATAAGAAATCATCTGAAGGTACAAAACTCACTAAATATATAGAAAAATAGAATATTATAACACCATAACTGTGATATATAAGATACTCATATCTTGAGTAGTAAGACTAAAAGATGAACCAATCAAAAATAATAACTACAAAAACTTTAAGAAATAGTAAAATAAAATATAATTAGAAACAACAGTGGAATGAATTTAAAGAGTTGTATCAGTTTTCTCTTTGGCTTTCTTATGCATTCATTATTAATTTGTCATCGGTTTAAAATTTGGGATTGGAGGTCAAGATGATCAATTAGAAGCAGCTGCAGTCTGTGGCACTCACAGAGAGGAATGAAAAAACAAGTGAATCCAGGATCTTCAACTGAAATATCCAGGTTCTCACATTAGAACTGACTAGGCAAACAACTCAAAGAAAAGCAGGGTGGGGTGATGGCCCACCCAGGTGTGGCACACAGCCAAAGAAACCCCCACCCCCAGCCAAGGGAAGCAGTGAGTAATTGTGCAGCCTGGCCCAGGAAACCACACTTCTCCACAGAGCTTTGCAACCCACTGATCAGGGGATCCCCTCATGAGCCCACACCACTAGGGCCTTGGGTCTGCTACACAGGGCTCTGTGAAGTCTTGGCAGAGCAACCACTCAGGCACACACAGAGACCCAGGAGTTTTATATTCTCCATCCCCAGGATCTCCAGCAAGGTGGAATATCTGTCTATACGTATCACTAGGAAGGGGACTGAATCCAGGGAGCCAAGCAGCACTCTTCTGTGGGCCCCACTTCCACATCACCTCACAAGATGAGAACCACTGGCTTGCAATTCCAGCTAGCCAATGGCAGTAGGCTGAAATCTTCCTGAGAGGTGACTGAGTTTCCAGAGAAAGGGGTGGTTACCATCTCTGAAGTTTGATAGACTCAGCCATTCCAGCCTGCCAGTGTTGGAGAACCCAAAGAGTCTGGACAAGGAAATGTTCCCCAAAAGGCAGCACAATTGCCTTGCCAGACTGGTCAGACTGATTCCTTAAGAGGGAACCCAATCCATTCCTCCTCACTGGGCAGGACTTCTCTGTGGGGGCTTCAGCCAATCCAGCCACGGATAGAGCTCTGATCTCTCCCTGTGACAGAGCTCCCAGTGGGGAGGGGCAGCTGCCATCTCTGTGGTTCAATAGATGCAGCCATTCCAGGCTTTGAAGAACCCAAATGGTCTAGACAAGGAAGGGTCCCCCCACCAACACAGGACACCTGCTCTACAAAGAAGTAGACAGACTGTGTCTTTAAGCAGGTTCCCTGATCCCATTCCTTGTGACTTGGTGAGAACTCCTAACAGGGGTCTCCTGCCACCTCTTACAGGCATGCTTGGGCTGGCAACAGGTCAGTACCCACCTGGAACAAAGTTTCCAGATGAACGATCAGGCTGCCCTCTTTGCTGTTTCCCAGGCTTCACTGGTGACATCTCCAGGTATGGGAAAAACCAAGGCAACTAGGGTCTGAAGTGGACCCCCAGAAAACCAAAGTAGTCCTATGGAAGAGTGGCGTGTTAAAACAAACAGACAAACAAACAGAAAACAAAAACAACATCAACAAAAAAATACCCCACAAAAACCTTATTCAAAGGTCAGCAACCTCAAAAACTGAAGGTAGATAAGCCCACAAAGATGAGAAAGAATCAATGCAAAAATGCTGAAAACTCAGAAATCAAGAGTGCCTCTTCTCCTCCAAATGACCACAATCCCTCTCCAGCAAGGGCATAGAACTGGGTAGAGGCTGAGGTGGCTTAATTGGCAGAAGTAGATTTCAGAAGATGGGTAATAATGAACTTCACTGAGCTAAAGGAGCATGTTGTAACCCAATGCAAAGCTAAGAATAATGATAAAGCAATACAGGAGCTCATAACCAGAATAGCCAGTTTAGAAAGAAACATAACTGACCTGATGGTGCTGAAAAACACAACATGAGAACTTTACAGTGCAATCACAAGTAGCAACAGTTTACAAGCCAGATTAGACCAAGCAGAGGAAAGACTATCAGAGCTTTGAAGACTATCTTTCTGAAATAAGACAAGCAGACAAGAATGGAGAAAAAAATAAAAAGGAATGAACAAAATCTCTGAGAAATATGGGATTATGTAAAGGGACCAAACCTACAATTGATTGGAGCACCTGAAAGAGATAGGGAGAATGGAACAAAATTGGAAACATACTTTAGGATATCATCTAGGAGAAGTTCCCCAATGTAGCAAGACAGGCCAACATTCAAATTGAGGAACTGCAGAGAACCCCAGTAAGAAACCCATGAGAAGGTCAACCCCAAAACACATAATTATCAGATCCTCCAAGGTGGAAATGAGAGAAAAAAAAATGTTAAGGGCAGCCAGAGAGAAAGGCCAGGTCACCTACAAAGGGAAGCCCATCAGACTAACAGCAGACTTCCCAGCAGAAACCCTACAAGCCAGAAGAGATTGGGGGTCAATATTCAACATTCTTAAAGAAAAGAATTTCCAACCCAGAATTTCATATCCAGTCAAACCTAAGCTTCATAAGTGAGGGAGAAATAAGATCCTTTTCAGACAAGCAAATGCTGAGAGAATTCATCACCACCAGGCCAGGCTTGTAAGAGCTCCTGAAAGAAACACTAAATAAGAAAGGAAAAACTGTTACCACCCACTACAAAAACAGGCTGAATTCCACAGACCAGTGACACTATGAAGCAACCAAATAAACAAGTCTGCAAACTAACTGGCCACCATCACAATGATGGATCAAATTCACACATCACAATACTAATCTTAAATGTAAATGGGCTAAATGCCCCAATTTAAAGACACAGAATGGCAAGCTGGATAAAGAGCCAAGAGCCATCAGTATGCTGTCTTTAAGAGACCCATCTCACCTGCAAAGATGCACATAGGTTCAAAATAAAGGGATGAAGGAAATTTTACCAAGAAAATGGAAAATGGAAAAAAGCATGGGGTGCAATCCTAGTTTCTGACAAAACAGAATTTAAACCAACAAAGGTGAAAAAAAGACAAAGAAGGGCATTATGTAATGGTAAAGGGCTCAATTCAACAAGAAGAGCTATCTTAAATATATATGCACCCAATACAGGAGCACCCACACTCATAAAGCAAGTTCTTAGAAACCTTCAAAGAGACTTAGAGTCCCTTACAATACAATAATAGTGGAAGAGTTTAACACTCCACTGACAATATTAGATACATCATCGAGATAAAAAATTAAGATACTCAAGACCTGAACTCAGCTCTGGCTCAAGTGGACTTGATAGATATCTACAGGACTTTTCACCCAAAACAAGAGAATATGCATTCTTCTCATTGCCACATGGCACTTACTCCAAATTCATCACATAATTGCAAGTAAAACACTCCTCACCAAATGCAAAAGAACTGAAATTATAACAAACAGTCTCTCAGACCACAGCACAATCAAATTAGAACTCAAGATTAAGAATTTACTCAATGCAACTACATGGAAATTGAACAACCTGCTCCTGAATGACTCCTGGGTAGATAATGAAATTAAGGCAGAAATCAAGAAGTTCTTTAAAACTACTAATAACAAACAGACAATGTACCAGAATCTCTGGGACACAGTTAAAGCAGTGTTAAGTGGGACATTTATAGCACTAAATGCCCACATCAAAAAGCTAGAAAGATCTCAAATTGACATCCTAACATCACAACTAAAAGAACTAGAGAACCAAGAGCAATCAAACCCCAAAACTAGCAGAACACAAGAAATAACCAAGATCAGAGCTGAACTAAACTGAAGGAGATAAAGACAAAAAAAAATACTTTCAAGAAAAATTAATGAATCAATCCAGGAGCCAGTGTTTTGAAAAAAATTAATAAAATAGATAGACAGCTAGCTAGTCTAATAAAGAGGAAAAGAGAGAAGAATCAAATAAACACAATCAGAAATGACAAGGTGGATATCACCACTGATGCCACAGGAACACAAACAACCATCAGAGAATATTATAAACACCTTTATGCATATGAACTAGAAAATCTAGAAGAAATGGATAAATTTCTGGACACATACATCCTCCCAAAACTGAACTGGAAAGAAATTGAATCCCTGAATAGACCAATAATGAGTTCTGAAATTTAGGCAGTAATAAATAGCCTACCAATAAATAAAAGCCTAGGACCAGAGAGATATACAGCTACATTCTACCAGAGATACAAAGAAGAGCTGGAGCCATTTCTACTGAAACTATTCCAAAAAAATTGGAAAAAAAGGGACTCCTCCTTAACTCATTCTATGAGGCCAGCATTATCCTGAGACTGACATCTGGCAGAGATACAACAAAAAAAGGAAACTTCAAGCCAATAACCTTGATAAACCTCAATGCAAAAATTATCAACAAAATATTGGCAAACCAAATCCTGCAGCACATCAAAAAGCTTAGCCACCACGACCAAGTTGCCTTCATCCCTGGGATACAAGGTTGGTTCAGCATATGCATATCAATAAATGTGATTCATCACAAAAACAAAACCAAAGACAAAAAACACATGATTATCTCAATAGACACAGAATAGGCCTTTGATAAAATTCACATTCCTTCATGTTAAAAACTCTCAAACTAGGTATTGAATAAACATACTTCAAAATAATAAGAGCCATCTATGACAAACCCATAGCCAATATCATACTGAATGGGCAAAAGCTGGAAGCATTCCACTTGAAAACCGGCACAAGAAAAGGATGCCCACTTTCATCACTCCTATTCAACATAGTATTAGAAATTCTGGCCAGGCAAATCAGGCAAGAGAAAGAAAGACAGGGTATTCAAATAGGAAGAAAGGAAGTCAGATTATCTTTGTTTTTTTGAAGATGACCTAATCCTGTATCTAGAAGACCCCACTGTCTCAGCCCAAATGCTCCTTAAACTGATATCAACTTCAGCACAGTCTCAGGATACAAAATCAATGTGCAAAAATTGCTGGTATTCCTATGCACCAAAAACAGGCAAAGAGCCAAATCATGAATGAACTTCCATTCACAACTGCCACAAAAAAATAAAATACCTAGAAATACAGCTAACAAGGGATGTGAAGGACCTATTTAAGGGATCTACAAATCACTGCTCAAAGAAATCAGAGGACACAAATAAATGGACAAACATTCCATGCTCGTGGATAGGAAGAATCAATATTATGAAAATGGTGATACTGTCTAAAACAATTTATAGATTCAATGCTATTCCCACTAAACTACCATTGACATTCTTCACAGAATTAGAAAAAAAACTATTTTAAACTTCATATGAAACCAAAAAAGAGCCTAAATAGCCAAGGCAATCCTAAGCAAAAAGAACAAAGCTGGAAGTATCATACTACCCGACTTCAAACTATACTACAAGGCTACAATAACCAAAACAGCATGGTGCTGGTACAAGAACAGACACATAGACCAATGGAACAGAATAGAGGACTCAGAAATCAGACCACACACCTAAAACCATCTGATCTTTGACAAAACTGACAAAAGCAAGCAATGAGGAAAGGAGTCTCTATTCAATAAATGGTGCTGAGAGAACTGGCTAGCTATATGCAGAAAATTGAAACTGGACCCCTTTCTTACACCATATACAAAAATTAACTCAACATGAATTAAAGACTTAAATGTAAAACCCAAAACTATAAAAACTCCAGAAGAAAATCTAGGCAATACAATTTAGGACATAGGCAATACCATTTAGGACATAGGCATGGGTAAATATTTCATGAGGAAAATGCCAAAAGCAATTGCAATAAAAGCAAAAATTGGCAAATGGAATATAATTAAACTAAAGAGCTTCTGCACAGCAAAAGAAACTATCATCAGAGTGAACAAACAACCTACAGAATGGGAGAAAAATTTTGTAATCTATCCATTTGACAAAGGCCTAATATCCAGAGTCTACAAGTACCTTAAATTGACAAGAAAAAAACCAAACAACCCCATTAAAAAGTGGGCAACAGACATGAACAGACACCTCTCAAAAGAAGACATACATGTGGCCAAAAAACACATGAAAAAAAGCTCAATATCACTGATCATTAGAGAAATGCAAATCAAAACCACAATGAGATACATCTTATGCAAGTCAGAATGGCTATTAAAAGGTCAAAATACAACAGATGCTGATGAGGTTGCAGAGAAAAGAGAATGCTTTTGCACTGTTAGTGTGAGTGGAAATTAGTTCAACCATTGTGGAAGAGTGTGGGGATTTCCCAAGGACCTAGAAGCAGAAATACCATTTGACCTAGCAATTTTATTACTGGGTATATACCCAAAGGAATATAAATCATTCTTTAATAAGATACATGCATCCATATGTTCTTTGCAGCACTATTCACAATAGCAAAGACATAGAATTAACCTAAATGCCCACCAATGACAGACTGGATATAGAAAATGTGATACATATACACCATGGAATACTATACAGCCATAAAAAGAATGAGATCATGTCCTCTGTAGGGACATGGATGGAGCTGGAAGACATTATCCTCAGCAAACTAACTCAGGGACAGAAAACCAAATACTGCATGTTTTCATTTATAAGTGAGAGATGAATGATGAAAACACATCAACACAAGGGGTAACAACACAAACTGGGTCCTGTCAGGGATGGATATCCTCAGGAAGAATAGCTAATGGATGCTGGGCTTAATACCTAGGTGAGGGGATGATCTGTGTAGCAAACCACCATGGCACATGTTTACCTATGTAACAAACCCACACATCCCGCAAATGCACCCCTGAACTTAAAAGCTGAGGGGAAACAATTGGGTTATAAGATATTATTTGCAAGCATCATAGTAACTTCTAGTCAAAAGACATACAACAGATACACAGAAAATGTAAAGCAAGAAATTAAAACAGGCCATCAGAGAAAATCACCTTCACTAAAAAGAAGACAGGAAGAAAGAAGGAAGACAAGACCACAAAACATCCAGAAAACAGATAACAAAGTGGCAGAAGTAAGTTCCTACTTACCAATAAGAACATTGGCGGTAAATGGACTAAACTCTCCAATCAAAAGACAGAGTGCCTGAATGGAATCTTTTAAAAGCAAGACCTAACAATCTGTTGCCTAGAAGAAACACATTTTACATATAAAGACACACATAGACTAAAATATAAAGGGATGGAAAAAGATATTTCATGCCAATGGAAACCAAAACAGAAAAGGAATAGCTACACTTATATCAGAGAAAATAGATTTCAGGACAAAAACTGTAAAAAGTTACAAAGAAGGTTATAATATAATGATAAAGAGGTCAATTTAGAAAGATGATATAACAATTGTAACTATATATGCACCCAACACTAAAGCACCCAGACATAGAAACTGGGTATAGAAGGAACATACCTCAACATAGTAAAAGCCATATACAACAGACCTATAACTAGTATCATACTGAATAAGGAAAAACCAAAAGAATTTCTTTTAAGATCTAAAGCAAGACAAGGATGCCCACTTTCGCCTCTGTTATTCAACACAGCACTAAAAGTCTTAGCTGGAGCAATCAGACAAGAGAAAGAAATAAAGAGCATCCAAATTGAAAAGGAAGAAGTAAAACTATCCTTGTTTGTAGATGATATAATCTTATATTTGAAAAAACCTAAAGAGTCCACAAAAAAACTGTTAGATCTCATAAACAAATTTAGTAAAATTCTAGGATACAAAATCAATATATAAAAATCCGCAGCATTTCTATATGCCAACAGCGAACAATCTGAAAAAGAAATCAATAAAGTAATTCCATTTACAATAGCTATAAATGAAATTAAATACATAGGAAGTAACTTAACCAAAGAAGTAAAAGAGCTCTATAATGAAAACTACAAAACATTTATTGAAGAAAGTGAAGAGGAGACAAAAGATGGAAAGGTATTCCATATTCATGAACTGAAAGAGTCAATATATTGTTAAAATGTCCATACTTCCCAAAGCAATCTACAGATCTAATGCAACCCTTATCAAGATACCAATAACATTTTTCACAGAAATAGAAAAAGAATCATCCAAAAATTTATATGAAACCAAAAAAGACCCAGAATAGCCAAAGCTGTCCTGAGCAAAATGAACAAAACTAGAAAAATCATATTGCCTGATTTCAAATTGTAACACAGAGCTATAGTAACCAAAACAGTATGGTACTGACATAAAACAGAGACCAATGAAACAGAAAATAATCCACATACTTACAGTGAACTCACTTTCAAAAAAGGTGCCAAGAATGTACACTGGAGAAAAGACAGTCTTTTCAATAAATGGTGCCAGAAAACTGAATATCTTTATGCAGAAAAATGAAACTAGACCCCTATCTCTCGCCATATAGAAAAATCAAATTAAAATCAATTAGAGACTTAAATCTAAGACATCAAACTATGAAACTCCTACAAGACAACATTGGGGAAGCTCTCCAGGACATTGTTCTGGGCAAAAATTTCTTAAGGAATACCCCACAAGCAGAGGAAACCAAGGCAAAACTGAACAAATGGGATCACATCAAGTTATAAACCTTCTGCACACCAAAGGAAACAATTAACAAAGTGAAGAGATAACCCACAGAATAAGAGAGAATATTTGCAAATTATTTATCTGATAAGGGATTAATAACCAGAATATATAAGGAGCTCAAACAACATCTATAGGAAAACATCTAATACTGCTATTTAAAAATGGGCAAAAGGGGATCATGGCAGATGGGAGGCAAAACTAAACTGTAGCTCCACTCAGACGAACAGAGGAGCTTGTGGAGTCTCACATTATGAACTCTTACTCCAGAACCACCGCACAAGTAAGTCAGGAAAGCTGAGGGAACCCACATATCCACGGAAGAAAGCAGATTGCTCCTGCAGGACCCAGGAGACAGCCCAAATGCTATGCTGTTATCCATGGCTGAGAGACCCACAGACGGTTCACATCACAGGACTCTGTGCAGACAACCCCCAGTAGCAACCCGGAGCCTGGTAAACCTGCTGGGTGGCTAGATTTAAAAGAGAGATAACAATCACTACAGCTTGGCTCTCAGGAAGCCACATCCCTAGGAAAATGGGCAGAGTACTACATCAAGGGAACACCGTGTGGGACAAAAGAATTTGAACAACAGCCTTGAGCCCTAGACATTCCCTCTGACAGAGCCCACCCAAATAAGAAGGAACAGAAAACCAACTCTGGTAATATGACAAAACAAGGCTCATTAACACCCCCCAAAAATCACACTAGCTCACTGGCAACGGATCCAAACCAAGAAAAAAATCCCTGATTTACCTGAAAAAGAATTGAGAAGGGCAGTTATTAAGCTAATCAAGGAGGCACCAGAGAAAGACAAAGCCCAATTTAAGGAAGTTGAAAAAAATGATACAAGAAATGAAGGGAGAAATCTTCAATGAAATAAATAACATAGATAAAAAGCAATCAAAACTTCAGAAAAAATGGATGCACTTATTGCAATGCAAAATGCTCTGGAAAGCCTCAGCAATAGAATCAAACAAGCAGAAGAAAGAACTTAAGAACTCAAAAACAAAGTTTTCAAATTAACCCAATCCAACAAAGACAAAGGAAAAAAAATAAGAAAATACCAACAAAGCCTCCAAGAAGTCTAGCATTATGTTAACCTAACAAGAATTATTATTCTTAGGAAGAAGAGAAATATTCCTGAGAAAGAAGAGAAATCTGAAAGTTTGGAAAACATATTTGGGGAAATAATCAAGAAAAACTTCCCTGGCCTTGCTAGAGATCTAGATATCTAACTACAAGAAGCTCAAAGAACACCTGGAAAATTCACCGCAAAGAGATCATTGCCTAGGCACAATGTCATCAGGTTATCTAAAGTTGAGAGAAAGAAAGGAATCTTAAGAGCTGTGAGGCAAAAGCACTGGAAAACCTATCAGATTAACAGCAGATTTCTCAGCAGAAATCCTACAAGTCAGAAAGGAATGGGGCATGATCAGCTTCCTTAAACAAAACAGATATCAGCCAAGAATTTTGTATCCAGTGACACTAACCTTCATTAATGAAGAAAAGATACAGTCTTTTTCAGACAAATGCTGAAAGAATTCACCACTACCAAGCCAGCACTACAAGAACTGCTAAAAGGAGCTCTAAATCTTGAAACAAATCCTGGAAACACATCAAAACAGAGCCTTTTTAAAGCATAAATCTCAAAGAAACCATTAAAAAATACAATAAATGTATTCCAATGAATGGAATAGTACCTTCCATCTCACTACTAACATTGAATGTAAATGGCCTAAATGCTCCACCTAAAAAATACATAATTGGGCTGGGTGCGGTGGCTCACGCCTGTAATCCTAGCACTTTGGGAGGCTGAGGCGGGCAGATCATGAGGTCAGGAGATCAAGACCAACTTGGCTAACACAGTGAAACCCTGTCTCTACTAAAAATACAGAAAATTAGCTGGGCATTGTGGCGGGCGCCTGTAGTCCCATCTACTCGGGAGGCTGAGGCAGCAGAATGGTGTGAACCCAGGAGGCGGAGCTTGCAGTGAGCCGAGATCGTGCCACTGCACTCCAGCCTGGGCAACAGAGCAAGACTCTGTCTCAAAAAAAAAAATACAGAATTGCAGAATGGATAAGAATTCACCAACCAAATATCTACTGCCTTCAAGAGACTCACCTAACACAAAAGGACTCACATAAACTTAAGGTAAAGGAGTGGAAAAAGATAGTCCATGCAAATGGACATAAAAAATGAGCAGGAGTAGCTATTCTTATATCAGACAAAACAAACTTTAAAGCAACAGCAGTTAAAGACAAAGAGGGACATTATGTAATGGTAAAAGGCCTTGTTCAACCGGAAAATACCACAATCCTAAATATATATGCACCTAACACTGGAGCTCCAAAATTTATAAAACAATTACTACTAGACCTAAGAAATGAGATAGACAGCAACACAATAATAGTGGGGGACTTCAATACTCCACTGACAGCAGTAGACAGGTCATCAAGACAGAAAGTCAAAAAAGAAACAATGGACTTAAACTATACCCTAGAACAAATGGACTTAACAGATATTTATACAACATTTTAACGAAAAACCATAGAATATATATTCTATTCGTCAGTACATGGAACTTTCTCCAAGACAGACCATATAATAGGCCACAAAATGAGCCTCAATAAATTTAAGAAAATTAAAATTATATCCAGCACTCTCTCAGACCACAGTGGAAGAAAACTGCAAATCAACTCCAAAAGGAACCTTCAAAACCATGCAAATACATTGAAATTAAATAAACTGCTCCTAAATGATCATTGGATCAAAAATGAAATCAAGATGGAAATTTAAAAATTTCTTTGATCTGACTGAATGACAATAGTAACACAACCTATCAAAACCTCTGGGATACAGCAAAGGCAGTGCTAAGAGGAAAGTTCATAGCCCTAAATGCCTTCAAGAGACACAAAAAGTCTGAAAGAGCACAAATAGACAATCTAAGGTTACACCTCAAGAAACTAGAGAAACAAGAACAAATCAAACCCAAACCCAGCAGAAGAAAGGAAATAACACAGATCAGAGCAGAACTAAATGAAATTGAAACAAAAAACTTACAAAAGATAAATAAAACAAAAAGCTGGTGCTTGGAAAAGATAAATAAAATTGATGGACCATTAGCAAGATTAACCAAGAAAAGAAGAGAGAAACTCCAAATAAGCTCAATAAGAAATGAAATAGGAGATATTACAACTGACACTACTGAAGTACAAAAGATCATTCAGGGCTACTATGAACACCTTTACACACATAAACTAGAAAACCTAAAGGAGATGGATAAGTTTCTGGAAAGCTACAACCCTCCTGAATCAGTAAGAATTAGATACTGTGAACAGACCAATAACAAGCAGGGAGATTGAAACAGTAATTTTAAAATTACCAACAAAAAAAGTCCAGCACCAGACAGACTCATGGCTGAATTCTATCAGACATTCAAAGAAGAATTGGTACGAATCCTATTGACACTATTCCATAAGATAAAGAGGGAATCCTCCCTAAATCATTCTATGAAGCCAGTATTATCCCAATACCAAAACCAGGAAAGGACTTAACCAAAAAAAGAAAACTATAGCCCAATATCCCTGATGAACATAGATGCAAACATCCTTAACAAAATACTAGCTAACCGAATCCAACAACATATCAAAAAGATAATCCACCATGATCAAATGGGTTCCATACCAGGGATGCCGAGATGATTTAACACATGCAAGTTAATAAATGTGATATACCACATAAGCAGAATTAAAAACAAAAATCACATGAACATCTCAATAAGTGCAGAAAAAGCATTCAACAAAATCCACCACGCTTTTATGATTAAAACTCAGCAAAATCAGCATATTAAGGGACATATCTCAATGTAATAAAAGCCATCTATGACAAACCTACAGCCAATATAATACTGAATGGGAAAAAGTTGAAAGCGTTCCCTCTGGGAAGTGGAATAGGACAAGGATGCCCACTCTCACCACTTCTATTCAACACAGTACTGGAAGTCCTAGCCAGAGCCATCAGACAAGAGAAAGAAAGGGCACCCAAACCAATAAAGAGGAAGTCAAACTGTTGCTGCTTGCTGATGATATGATTCTATACCTAGAAACCCTAAAGACTCCTCCAAAAAGCTCCTAGAGCTGATTTAAAAAAAATTCAGCAAAGTTTTTGGATGCAAAATTAACATACACAAATTGGTAGCTCTCTTATAAGCAAATGGTGATCAAGTGGAGAATGAAATCAAGAACTCAACCCCTTTTATAATGGCTACAAAAAATAAAACAAAATACTTAGGAATATACCTAACCTAGGAGGTGAAAGACCTCTACAAGGAAAACTACAAGACACTGCTGAAAGAAATCATAGACAACACAAACAAATGCAAACACATTCCATGCTCATGGATGGGTAGAATCAATATTGTGAAAATGACCATACTGCCAAAAGCAATCCACAAATTCAACACAATTCCCACCAAAATACCACCATCATTCTTCACAGAACTAGAAAAAATAATCCTAAAATTCATTTGGAACCAAAAAAGAGCCTGCATCATCAAAGTAAGACTAAGCAAAAAGAACAAATCTGGAAGGATCACATTACCCGACTTCAAACTACACCATAAGGCCATGTCACCAAAACAGCATGGTACTGGTATAAAAATAGGCACACAGACCAATGGAATAGAATAGAGAATGCAGAAACAAAGCCAAATACTTACAGCCAACTGATATTTGACAAAGCAAACAAAAACAAAGTGGGGAAAGAACACCTTATTCAACACATGGTGCTGGGATAATTGGCAAGCCACATGTAGAAGAATGAAACTTGATCATCTCTCACCTTTTGCAAAAGTCAACTGAAGATGGATCACAGACTTAAATCTAAGACATAAAACTGTAAAAATTCTAGAAGATAGCATCAGAAAAACCCTTCTAGACATTGGCTTAGGCAAGGATTTAATGACCAAGATCCCAAAAGCAAACGCAATAAAAACAAACATAAATAGCTGTGACTTAATTAAACTAAAGAGCTTTTGCATGGCAAAAGGAACCATCAGCAGAGTAACAGACAACTCACAGATGGGGAGAAAATCTTCACAATCTATACGTCCAACAAAGAACTAATATCCAGAATCTACAATGAACTCAAATTAGCAAGAAAAAAAAAATCATCAAAAAGTGGGCTAAGGACATGAATAGACAATTCTCAAAAGAAGATTTACAAACTACCAACAAACATATGAAAAAAAATGCTCAACATCACTAATGATCAGGGAAATGCAAATCAAAACCACAATGCTATACCACCTTACTCTTGCAAGAATGGCCATAATAAAAAAATAATAGATGCTGGCTTGGATGCAGTCAACAGGAAACACTTCTACACTGCTGGTGGGAATTTAAACTAGCACAAAATCACTATGGAAAACAGTGTGGAGATTCCTTAAAGAACTAAAAGTAGAACTACTACAAAAGCAATCCCACTACTGGGTATCTACCCAGAGGAAAATAAGTATAAGGAAAATTTCGTATAAGGAAAATTATACGAAAAAGATATTTGCATATGCATGTTTACAGCAGCACAATTCACAATAGCAAAAGTGTGAAACCAACCCAAATGCCTATCAATCAATGAGTGGATGAAGAAACTGTGGTATATATATATATATATATATATATATATATATATATATATATATATATATATATGACGAAATACTACTCAGTCATAAAAGGAATGAATTAATAGCATTTGCAGCAACCTGGATGAAACTGGAGAATATTATTCTAAGTGAAGTGACTCAGAAATGGAAAACCAAACATTGTATGTTCTCACTGATAAGTGGGAGCTAAGCTATGAGGATGCAAAAGGCATAAAAATGACACAATGGACTTTGGGGACTCAGAGGAAAAAGGTGGGAAGGGGATGAGGGATAAAAGATTACCAACTGCATGTACTGTATTCTTTTCGGGTGATGGGTGAAACAAAATCTCACAAATCACCACTAAAGAACTTACTCATGTAACCAAACACCACCTGTTCCCCAATAACCTGTGAAAATAAAAAAATTAAAAATTAAATAAAATTAACAAAATTTTAAAAATAAATAAATAAAATGGGCAAAAGATCTGAATAGACATTTCTCAAACGACATATAAATGGCAAACAGGTATATGGAAGGGTGCTCCACATCATTGATCATCAGAGAAATGCAAATCAAAAGTACAATGATATATCATCTCACCTCAGGTAAAAATGCTTTTATCCAAAAGACAGACAATAACAAATGCTGGCGAGGATGTGGAGAAAAGGTAATCCTTATACATTGTTGGAGGAAATGTAAATTAATACAACCACTATGAAGAAAAGTTTAGAGATTCCTCAAAAAACTAAAAATAGAGCTACCATATGATCCAGCAATCCCACTGCTAGGTATATACCCCAAAGAAAGGAAATCAGTATATTTAAGAGACATCTCACTCTCATATTTGTCGCAGCACTATTCACAATAGCCAAGATTTAGAAGCAAACTAAGTGTCCATCAACAGATGAAGGGATATAGAAAATAAGGTACATATACAAAATGCAGTACTATTCAGCCATAAAAATAATGAGATCCTGTCTTTTGCAACAATACGGAAGGTACTGGAAGCCAATATGTTAAGTGAAATTCGCCAAGCACAGAAAGACAAACTTCTCATTTTCTCACTTATTCAAAAGAGCTAAAAATTAAAAACAATTGACTCATGGAGATAGAGAGTAGAAAGAAGGTTACCAGGGTCTGGGAAGGGTAGTGGAGTGGGGGGAAATGGGGATGATTAATGGACACAAAAATATAGGTAGGTAGAATGAATAATATCTACTCTTTGATAGCATAATAGGGTGATCACAGTCCATAATAATTTATTGTACATTTAAAAATAACTTAAAAAGTATGATTGGAGTCCTTGCTTGTAACACAAAGAAAGGATAAATACTTGAGGTGATGGATACTCCATTTATCCTATTATTATTATGTACTGTCCTATTATTATTATGCACTGTATGTATCAAAATATCTCATGTACCCCATGAATGTATACATCTATTATGTACCCACAAAAATTAAAGACAAAAAAAAAGAAGTAATGGAAGCCAGGGGGAAATGGAATGACATATGCAGAGTGCTGAAAAAAAATAACTGTCAACCAAGAACTTTATGTCCATCAAAACTTTCCTTCAAAAATGAAGGAAAAATTAAGACATCCAAAATAAGCAAAACCTGAATTTATTGTAAGCAGGTCAGCCATAAAAAAATACTAAAGGGAATTCTTCAGGCTGATAAAAAAAGGATACCAAACAGTAACTTAAATCCAAATATTTAAAGAAAAATTAACACCAATCCTTCACAAACCCTTCAAAAAATTAAAGGAAGATAAACACTTGATAACTCATTTTATGAGGTCAGCATTATCTTGATACCAAACCAAAGACATCACAAGAAAGTAAAACTGCAGACCAATAACCTTTATGAATATAAATATAAAATTTCTCAACAGACTCAGTCCAAAAAATTCCTTAAGCTGATATACTTCAGCAAAGTCTCAGGATACAAAATCAATGCACAAAAATCACAAGCATTCCTATATACCAATAATAGAAAAGCAGAGAGCCAAATCATGAGTGAACTCCCATTCACAATTGCTACAAAGAAAATAAAATACGGTCGGCTGGGCGCGGTGGCTCACGCCTGTAATCCCAGCACTTTGGGAGGCTGAGGCGGGCGGATCACGAGGTCAGGAGATCGAGACCATCCCGGCTAAAACGGTGAAACCCCGTCTCTACTAAAAATACAAAAAAAAAAAAAAAAAATTAGCCGGGCGTAGTGGCGGGCGCCTGTAGTCCCAGCTACTTGGGAGGCTGAGGCAGGAAAATGGCGTGAACCCGGGAGGCGGAGCTTGCAGTGAGCCGAGATCCCGCCACTGCACTCCAGCCTGGGCGACAGAGAGAGACTCCGTCTCAAAAAAAAAAAAAAAAAAAGAAAAAAAAAAGAAAATAAAATACGTAGGAATACAACTTACAATGGACGTGAAGGACCTCTTCAAGGAGAACTTCAATCCACTGCTCAAGGAAATAAGAGAGGACACAAACAAATGAAAAAACAATCCATGCTCATGGATAGGAAGAATATCATGAAAATGCCCATACCCCCCAAAGTAATTTGTAGATTCAATGCTATCCCCATCACGCTACCATTGACTTTCTTCACAGAACTAGAAAAAAACTACTTTAAATTTCATATGGAACCAAAAAGCCCATATAGCCGAGACAATCCTAAGCAAAAAGAACAAATCTGGAGGCATCATGCTACCTGACTTCAAACTACACTACAAGGCTACAGGAACCAAAACAGCATGGTACTGGTAGCAAAACAGATATATAGACCAATGGAACAGAACAGAGACCCCAGAAATAACATCACACATCTACAACCACCTGATCTTCAACAAACCTGGCAAAAACAAGCAATGGGGAAAGGATTCCCTATTTAATAAATGGTTCTGGGAAAATTGGCTTGCCATATGTAGAAAACAGAACCTGGACCCCTTCCTTACACCTTCTACAAAAATTAACATGAGATGGATTAAAGACTTAAACATAAAACCTAAAACCATAAAAACCCTAGAAGAAAACCTAGGCAGTACCATTCAGGACATAGGCATGGGCAAAGACCCATGACTAAAACACCAAAAGCAATTGCAACAAAAGCCAAAATTGACAAATGGGATCTAATTAAACTAAAGAGTTTCTGCTCAGCAAAAGAAACTAGCATTAGAGTGAACAGGCAACCTACAGAATGGGAGAAAATTTTTGCAATCTATCCATCTGACAAAGGTCTAATATCCAGAGTCTACAAGGAACTTAAACAAATTTACAAGAAGAAAACAACCCCATCAAAAAGTGGGCAAAGGATATGAACAGACACTTCCCAAAAGAAGACATTTATGCGGCCAACAAACATATGAAAAAAAGGTCATTATCACTGGTCATTAGAGTAATGCAAATCAAGACCATAATGAGATACCATCTCATACCAATTAGAACGGCGATCATTAAGAAGTCTGGAAACAATAGATCCTGGTGAGGATGTGGAGAAACAGGAGCGCTTTTACACTGTTGGTAGGAGTGTAAATTACTTCAACCATTGTGGAAGAAAGTGTGGCAATTCCTCAAGGATCTAGAATCAAATACCATTTGACCCAGCAATCCCATTACTGGGTATATACCCAAAGGATTATAAATCATTCTACTATAAAGAACATGCACACGTATGTTTATTGCAGCACTATTTACAATAGCAAAGACTTGGAGCCAACCCAAATGCCCATCAATGACAGACTGGATAAAGAAAATGTGGCACATATACAATATGGAATACTATGCAGCCATTAAAAAGAAGGAGTTCATGTCCTTTGCAGGGACATGGATGAACCTGGAAACCATCATCGTCAGCAAATTAACACAGGAACAGAAAACCAAATACTGCACGTTCTCACTCACAAGTGGGAGTTGAACACAGGGAAGGGAACATCACACACCAGAGCCTGTAGCGGGGTGAGGGAAAGGGGAAGGAGAGCATTAGGACAAATACCTAATGTATGTGGGCTTAAAACGTAGATGATGGGTTAATAGGTGCAGCAAACCACCATGGCACATGTATAGCTATGTAACAAACCTGCACATTCAGCACATGTATCCCAGAACTTAAAGTTAAATTTTTTAAAAAAAGAGAAACCAATTTTTCTTATTTTTATTATACTTTAAGTTTTAAGGTACATATGCACAACGTGCAGGTTAGTTACATATGCATACATATGCCATGTTGGTGTGCTACACCCATTAACTCATCATTTAACATTAGGTATATCTCCTAACACTATCCCTCCCCACTCCCCCCACCCCACAACAGGCCCCGGTGTGTGATGTTCCCCTTCCTGTGTCCATGTGTTCTCATTGTTCAATTCCCACCTATGAGTGAGAACATGCGGTGTTTGGTTTTTTGTCTTTGCGATAGTTTGCTGAGAATGATGGTTTCCAGCTTCATCCATGTCCCTACAAAGGACATGAACTCATCATTTTTTATGGCTGCATACTATTCCATGATGTATATGTGCCACATTTTCTTAATCCAGTCTATCATTGTTGGACATTTGGCTTGGTTCCAAGTCTTTGCTATTGTGAATAGTGCCACAGTAAATATATGTGCACATGTGTCTTTATAGCAGCATGATTTATAATCCTTTGGGTATATACCCAGTAATGGGATTGCTGGGTCAAATGGTATTCCTAGTTCTAGATCCCTGAGGAATCACCACACTGACTTCCACAATGGTTGAACTAGTTTACAGTCCCACCAACAGTGTAAAAGTGTTCCTATTTCTCCACATCCTCTCCAGCACCTGTTGTTTCCTGACTTTTTAATGATCACCATTCTAACTGGTGAGAGATGGTATCTCATTGTGGTTTTGATTTGCATTTAAGAGAAACCAATTTTTCTACAAATTAATTTGAGTGCCATTTTGTTCCTACCAGGAACTTGATGGGAATCACAGGTTCCTGTATATTTATAAACCGTATATTTACTTCAGAATAATAAATCATATTGTCTTAGTCTGTTAAAAAATTTCTCAACAGAATACTAGCAATCCAAATCCAACAAAATATAAAATTACATCATTATGAAATGGGATTTATGTCAGGAACAGAAAATTGACTCAACATATGAAAATCAAATAATTAATTTGATTATTAAATTGACTCAGCATATGAAAATCAAATAATACAACTGAATCTGATAAAAGGACATCTGTAAATAACCGACAGCGAATGCCATAGTTAATGTTGAAAAACTAAAATTTTTTCCCTTAAGATTAGGAACAACACAAGGATGTCCACTCTTGCCAATTCTATTTAACATTGTACTTGAAGATCTAACCAGGGAAATTAGGCAAGGAAAATAAAAAAGGGCCATCTAAATTAGAAAGGAAAAACTGAAAATATCTTTATTCACAGATAACACAAAGTTATATATATAAACCCTTTAAAATAAATTTTAAAAATAGAGCTAATAGTGATTTCAGCAAGGTTGCAAGATATACACAGAAGTCAATATAAATGGCCCTATTAAAAATCAGTTGTATTTCTACACACTAACAATGAACAATCCAAATATAAAGAAAATCAATTTTATTTACAGTAGCATCAAAAGAATGAAATGCTTAGGAATAAATTTAACCATATAAGTGCAAGACCTGTACAATGGAAACTACAAAATATTGTTGAAAGAAATTAAAGGTGACCTAAATAAATAGTGAAATATTCTGTGTTCGTGGATCAGGAAACTTAACATGGCAATTCTCCCCAAATTTATCCACAGA